>NC_000014.9:65369288-65672319 GCF_000001405.40 Homo sapiens
AAATGATAAGAATAAGGACAAGGTACTGAGTTTTTCTTAGAGGCAAATATATTCAATTTTTAAATTTCGAGATTGTGTCTCTGCCGACTTGTCAGAGATGTTTAAATCAGAGTGACTTCATCTTGTATAGGGGCTGGGTAAAATAAGGATGAGACCTACTGAGCTGCATTCCTAGAAGGTTAGGCATTCTAAGTTCCAGAAGGAGAAGATCAGGTCAGCACAAGATACAGGTCACAAAGACCCTGCTGATAAAAGGGTGCGGTAAGGAAGCTGGCCAAAACCCACCAAAACCAAGATGGTGACAAAAGTGACCTCTGGTCCTCCTCACTGCTCATTATACACTAATTATAATGCATTACATGCTAAGACTCTCCTACCAGAGCTATGACAGCTTATAAATGCCATGGCAATATCAGAAAGTTACCCTATATGGTCTAAAAGGGAGAGGAACCCTTAGTTCCAGGAAGTGCCCACTCCTTTCTCAGGAAACTCATGAATAATCTACCCCTTGTTTGGCATATAATCCAGAAATGACTATAAGTATACTCAGTTAAGCAGCCCATGCCACTGATCTGTCTATGGAGTAGCCATTCTTTATTCCTTTACTTTCTTCATAAACTTGCTTTCACTTTATGGACTCGCCCCAAATTCTTTCTTGCTGGAGGTCCAAGAACCCTCTCTTTGGGTCTGAATCAGGACCCCTTTCCGGTAACAAAGATGAGATGCTCCTCACAGAAATAGTCATTTATGAAATTATAATAATGATAGATGCTAGTATTATTCTTCTTCATGTCATCGTGTGGCTAAATAAAAAAAATGGTAACTACAGTGTTTCTCCCATTAAAAAAAAAAAGTTTTATAGGACCATGAAATCCAAATGGCAGGAAGTCACTGCTTTAGAGCACACATAGTCTTTTTTTTTTTTTTTTTTTTTTTTGAGACGGAGTCTTGCTCTGTCACCCAGGCTGGAGTGCAGTGGCACTATCTCCACTCACTGCAAGCTCCGCCTCCCGGGTTCACGCCATTCTCCCACCTCAGCCTCCTGAGTAGCTGGGACTACAGGTGCCTGCCACCAGGCCCGGCTAATTTTTTGTATTTTTTAGTAGAGACGGGGTTTCACCGTGTCAGCCAGGATGGTCTTGATCTCCTGACCTCGTGATCTGCCTGCCTCGGCCTCCCAAAGTGCTAGGATTACAGGCGTGAGCCATTGCGCCCGGCCACACGTAGTCTTTTTTAAAACACATTGGCCCATTTAATCATCACAACTATATGATACATATAAATATATATAAACAAAAATATATATAAGTATATGTATAACTATAACTATATATAGTTAGGTACAATTTGTCTATATATAAATTATATATTATGTATATAATTTGTCTTGAAACTGTAGAAGAAGAAAAAACGTTTTCCTCTATTCTCCTAGGGTCTCCAGCTGGAGCTCTAGGAATTAAGCTGACAAAAAAACAGATTAGCAAGAGAAAAACAAACCGTTTATTAACATGTGCAGCATGCGATAGAAACTCAGTGATGAGCAGTGATAAGTAACTCAAAGTGGGTGGCTAAAACTTGGGACTTTTTAACATTTGAACAACGAACAATATGTTGAGAAGTGACAAGACAAAGGAAAAGGGGTTTAGGCTTTTCGGGGCAGCAAACTGTGGGACGCTAAATATATGGGCGAAATTCCTGGAAGATAAAAGTTGGTTTAGTAATGTTTGTCATGTAGATTTCTCTTAGTGCCGTCTCTGGGCCAATAAGAGTTTCAGATGATTAAGAAACTAAATCTTCTTTTAGTCAAATGGGAGTGTGGGAGGGGTGGGCAGAGAGCTTTTTTCCATTTCTCAGTTGTCTTCAGCTTAAAATAATCCTGTGTCAAAGGGCCATATTTGGGTGTAGCCCATTCTAGTCCCCTGCAAAACGATCACACTTTCACAGTGTACAGAACTTTTCTTCCTGAATTATTTGAGAGTTAATTGTTTATCTGATGCCCTATCACCCTACAAATTTTAATGTATATTTCCTACAAACAAGGATGTAACCTACAAAAACCATAATAAAGCTGTGAAAATTAGGAAATTAACGTTGATGTATTACTATCATTCAATATTTAGATCCCATTCAAGTTTTAGTAGTTGTCTCAATAATGTCTTTATCCTCCTTCAGTCTAGAAGAATTAATTGGTCAGTCTCTTTGACTTACATGACCTTGGCACTTTTGAAAATTACAGACCAGTTATTTCATAATAAATAAGTAATTATGAGGGATTTACTTAGAAACTGCAAATATTCCATTCCTCATCAGACTTTTAACTTATTAGTTACATATTTTGATGCTCAAATTGTTTCCAGCTTAGTCATTAGGAGTCCTTCAAGCTGATTTCCATGTCCTTTGACATGTCACCATCATTCTTTAAGCACTTTCTTGTTTTCTGACACAACACATTTTCCAGGCTTATTTTGTACTTTCCTTGTCCCAGGAGTCAGCCATTTCTCCGAAGAGCCCTAGTGAACAATTAAGTTTAGAAGCCGAGATCTGGGTGCTAGATGTGCTTGTTACTATTGAGGCATCACTGTTGCCCAGGGCTGCTCAGTGAGCAGAGCTAAGGAATGTATGTATATATATATACAAACACATACATTTACATCTCTAGTTTTCTATTTATTTCTTCTGTATTGGAAACCATGAGTTCATAGTGATACCTCCAATTCTAATTCAGTATCACAGAGCACATCTTCATTTTCTCTCTTTCTGTATTTGTACCTCCCTTCTCTGGCAGTAGAAAACTGACCCTTGTTATCTGTAATTTATTTACATATTTGATCAATCCCCCATGTGTAACCAAGCTCCTGTTCCCAATGCCACCTCCTCCCCTACACAAATTCTTTTCTCTCCCCCTTTGACCTCTGATGCCTTGTGCTGGGGCATTCCCCACATGGAGATCCTCATCCACCTTGGCCTTCAACATCTCAGACCAGGACTCCTCTATGTATCTTCCAACGCTTCTAGTAAATTTTTAAGAAAACTGAGAAAACGGATTTCTGTAACTGAGATAATTGAAAAAATGATTTCTATATTTTCAAACTATCTTAGTTTCATAACTAACCTCTTTCCCTTCCTTCTTTTTTTTTTTTCTTTTGGGACAGAGTTTTGCTCTGTCACCCGAGCTGGAGTGCAGTGGCGCGATCTTGGCTCACTGCAACCTCTGCCTCCCGGGTTCAAGTGATTCTCCTGCCTCAGCCTCCCGAGTAGCTGGGATTACAGGCGCCCACCACCATGCCCGGCTAATTTTTTGCATTTTTAGTAGAGACGGGGTTTCACCATGTTGCCCAGGCTGGTTTCGAACTCCTGAGCTGGGGCAATCCGCCCACCTCGGCCTTCCAAAGTGCTGGGATTACAGGCATGAGCCACTGTGCCCGGCCTCCTTCTTTCTTTAGTAGAATGCTGTTCCTGTTTCATGGAGCAATTTTTCTCTTATCTCTCTGATAATACTTTCAGTTTGTTTAGCCTCTTCTGCTTCCTTCATTGTTCATTTCTCCTGAGTTCCTTTGTACTCTTACTTGCTTTTGGTCTCTCTTTCCGGTTGGAGGCTTTCCTCACATACCTGGTGTGTTCCTAGCTTTCTATTCCTGTATGAGAATGAGGCACTAAGGAGCCAACTAGAACAGAATTCGGGGTAGGGAGTAGAGATGCCAGATAAAATATAGGCTGCCCAATTAAATTTGAATTTCAGATAAGTAATAAATAATTTAAAAATATAAGTGTGTCCCAAATATTACTATGAACATCATAATAATAAGAAATTATTCATTGTTTATCTGAAATCTGAATTTATCTGGCCATTCTACCTGGGATCTTAGTCAACTGTTGACTTCCTTCAGGGCGATTGTGATATGGACAGGATGCAGGAGGGTGGAGTCCCTGGCGAGGGCTCCACCCTCAAGCTTGGACCTGCAGCCGTAAATGACAACAGGCATTCCTGTTTTTGCACCCAAATGTTGCCTTTTGGCCTGTCATGTCCCCCTATCCTGTGGCCATATAAACCCCAAACCCCAGGCTCCACAAGCAGAAGAGTGGCAGAGTGACAGAGCAGCAGAGTGGCACGGCAGAGATGGAGAGAAGAAAGGAAGCGTCTGAATGTTGAGAGGAGTTCGGCTGGGGCAGTCAGAGAGGAGATAGGATGCAGAAAGACCAAACTCCAGGGGAACGGCAGGGCTAAAAGAGCGTTGTAACACCACTAGACACTGCTGTGGCGCCAGAGCCCAAAAGTGCTCGCCCCGGCTCCTGCATCTGCTCACCTGTGTGCTTCCCCTCCCGTAAGGAGTTCCAGCGTGCAGCGGCAAAATAATGAGCCACACCCCTGTTGCACGTACCACGGTGGGTCAGGGAACTCTCCCATTTCAATTGTATGGGATCCCAATTTTTCATAGGTTTATCAGTTTTCTCAGAGAAAAATTCTTCCATTCGCCCCTGGGTGCTACAAGCCTAGCTGCTAATGCGCCAAAAGCCAGTTGTAGGAGGGAAACAGTGTAGAGATGGTCTTCAGTGCCACCATCCGTCCGTCTTTCTTCCAGCTGTGCCAGATCTCCCTCTCCCAGGCAGAATCCTGCAGGAGTGGGGCACGGACAGCTGCCTGGCAAGGAGGGTTAAGAGGAGAAGAACCGGAAGAGATCTAACTTGGTTTTTATACGAAGTTTCAACCAGTCCTCCTGTTTTCAGGCCTGCCCAGCACTCCCACCTTCGGAGGAACCAGTTGCCCCCAAAGGCTGAGTCTTTCTGGGATTCTCAGACTCGTTGATCTGTTTTTCCTGTAGGTTTAGGTTTCAGCTTTCTCTTAATATTGTTTATTTCTCTCATTTACTGTGTCTTTGTCTAATGCTCTGTTTGTCTTTGTGTGTTTATGTCATTTAAAAATTTCTTTGCTGAGTTTGTTTTTGTGAGAATAGAGATAAATGTGAGTGTACAGTCTGCCATGTTTCACTGGACAATAATGATTTTCCATTTATTTTATTGGTTTATATACCTGGAGGAGAAATTGTCTATAATGTACTACATACTCAAATGTCCTGGGAAAAAGGGGTTTGGATAAACATGGATTTTTCTCTGATTCTCTCTTTCCTCTATACCTCCACTTCCCCTGCCCCTGCCCACACCATGAAAGACCAAAGGTAACTCTGACTGATATGAGTTCTTTGGCTTTCCATACTTGGTATTTTGGCACTATTGGTTCCTCAAGTTCCCCAAAGACAGCTGGACTAGTGTGCCTATAAATCTTCAATCCTAACCAACGGTGAGTTGTTTTTTTTGTTTTTTTTTTTTTGATGGAGTCTTTCTCTGTCACCCAGGCTGGAGTGCAGTGGTACAATTTTGGCTCACTGCAACCTCTGCCTCCTGGGTTCAAGTGATTCTTCTGCCTCAGCCTCCCAAGTAGCTGGGACTACAAGTGTGTGCCACCACGCCTGGCTAATTTTTTTTTTTTGTATTTTTAGTTGACGTGGGATTTCACCATATTGGCCAGGCTGGTCTCGAACTCCTGACCTCGTGATCCACTGGCTTCTGCCTCCCAAAGTGCTGGGATTACAGGTGTGAGCCACCACACTGGCTTACCAAGGGTGAGTTGTAAATGTAACTATTCCCTGCAGGTCTGTGGCTTAGAGCAATGAATTTAGATAAGGTCAGGGTTTACTGTTGTTTATTGCCTTACAATAAGAGCTGTTTGTTCATTGTAATTGGCTTATAAAAGTTCTTGAGTCACTAATAAATAAACACAGGGGTGGGGTGGTCATTTCTTAAGTGGAAGGTGAGAAATCCTAAGGGTATATGAAGTCTGAGAACCCTTGTCTTTGTTTAGTTCCTCAATACACCCTTTAAGATGAGCCCAGGAAATTTCAGATATCTGATTACTTCCAAAAAATTATTTTCTGCCAACTCATATCATCGTAATTAAACTAGTTGCCACACGTGGCAAATATTGTAGGCAATGAAATTCAGGCTGATCACCATAGTTAAGACATGGACATAAATAGCAAGAATAGGGTGGGAGGACCAGGTGGGGTGGCTCACACCTGTGATCCTAGCACTTTGGAAGGCTGAGGAGGGAGGATTGTTTGAGCCAGGAGTTTGAGATCAGGCTGGGTAACACAGCAAGACCCCATCTCTACAAAAAAAGTTTTAAAATTAGCTGGTTGTGGTGGTGCGTGCCTGTGGTTCCAGCTACTTGGGAGGCTAGGGTGGGAGGATCACTTGAGCCCAGAATGTTGAGGCTGCAGTGAGCCACGGTCGTGCCTCTGCACTCCAGCCTGGGTGACAGAGCAAGACCCTGTCTAAAATGAAAAGAATAGGGCGGGAGTACTAATAGCTCTCACTTGACTTGGCCCCATTTTACGGATGAAATAGGCTCAGAGAGCCTTGTAGCAAGTAAGTAGTGTCACTGGTATTCAAACTGATGTTTGTCAGACATTGCCTCTTAGAGAGGAATATTTTGAATTCAGAATCTAAAAGGTTTGTATTCTGTGGCTGGGTGCAGTGGCTCATGCCTGTAATCCCAGCACTTTGGGAGGCCAAGGCGGGCAGATCACTTGAGGCCAGGAGTTCAAGACCAGCCTGACCAACATGGTGAAACTCCGTCTCTACAAAAAACACAAAAACTAACTGGGCATGGTGGCGCATGCCTGTAATCCCAGCTACTCAGGAAGCTGAGGCCGGAGAATCGCTTGATCCAGGGAGGTGGAGGTTGCAGCAAGCCAAGATCATGCCACTGCACTCCAGCCTGGGTGTCAGAGTGAGACCCTGTCTCAAAAAAAAAAAAATAATAAAATAAATAAAATAATAAGAAAAGGTGTGTATTCTGGAAAGCATAGAGTAAAACCAAAGAACTTTCCGCAGAAGAAAATTTCTATTTGTCAAGTATGGTTTTCCATGATTATTATTCTAGCAAATATTACAGGGCAGTGAGACTAGGAAGACAGTTGGCAGAAAGGCTTCTGTTTTGGTGGAGAGAGATGGAGCAAATACAATATTGTGAACCTGATTTTAGTATCAGCCAAACAAAATCAAGAAGAACATGTGGTGGTGGTAGAAGCAAGAAATGAAAATCTCTCGTTTCATCCACAGATTGTTTTTGTTTTTGTTTTTGAGACAGAGTCTCTTCCTGTCACACAGGCTGGAGTGCGGTGGTGTGACCTTGGTTCACTGCAACCTCCACCTCCTGGTTTCAAGTGATTCTCTTGCCTCAGCCTCCCAAGTAGCTGGGATTATAGGCGCCCACCACCATGCCTGGCTAGTTTTTGTATTTTTTAGTAGAGATGGGGTTTCACCATGTTGGTCAGGCTGGTCTTGAACTCCTGACCTCAAGTGATCCACCCGCCTTGGCCTCCCAAAGTGCTGGGATTACAGGCATGAGCCGCTGTGCCCTGCTCACAGTTATTAAAAGCACTGATTTTTTTTCTTTCATAGCAGACAAGTTCATCTTCAAGAAAACTAAGAGATCTCTTCCCCTGACAAAAAACAACTCCATGTTTGATGGGACTCAGACCTGGGCTCTTCTGTCACCTCTAGGTAGGGAGGTCTTGGAGAGCAAGGTGAGTTCCTATGAAGAGTTTCACGTGAGGGATAGAAAAGGATGGATGTGTCAGTTACTCTCAGGTAGCCCGGAAGAGCCTGGCAATGTTAGATTTTTATGTTCATTTTAATTGTTTTGATGTCTTAACCTAGTAATAAATTGTCAGTTAATCACTTTTATGCAATAATAAAAGGTGCATAAAATGTTACTGCTGCTTCCTGCTCAGGCCCCCTCCCCAGCATGGAGTGTTATTGAGATACATTTCATTCAGATAAGTTGGCAGTTTTATCAGAGCATAGAGGACACCCTGACAATTATCCTACATGCTGCAGCAGACAATATGAAAAGCTTCTAGGTCCAAACTCCCTCTAGCTCCCTAGAGTATATTTTACAAAGGGTGCAGCTTTGATGGAACTGGAGAGTTTGGTCACCAGGTTATTTGATTGTAGGAAAAGTCCATATTCTGCTCCAGGACTTAGAGACTAAGGTCAGTAAATGGGGAGATAAGTGATTAACAAATGTGATATTCTTGCCTGGTGGTAAAAATAAAAAAAATTTAAAAAAACCCAAATGTGATAAAATGGGCATTCTGTGTTAAATCAAAGCTGCATGGGTTTTAAAATCAGGTTTATGTAATAATATTTTGGAATTCTTTCCAATTATAGTGAGACCAGAGTGTTCATGGAAAGTCACCATCCACAGACATTGGAAAAATAGTCATTCCCAATTTCTGCTATGTGATCCCGGTATGGCCTTGCTGATTTGTTTGCTTTCTAATTCCTTGGTTTAAGTAGAAAGGAGGATCCTCTTTACAGTGTTACTGTGCAGAGTAGTAATTGTCAACCTCGATCTTGTAAAAAGCAAGAATCTTTCTGAGGATGTTGCAAACTCTCAAGAGGTTTGAATCTAGCCTGGTATGCCCCTCCCACCGAGCACATGACATCAGGAGAACCAGTTGTGAAATTAAACAATGATAGGGTGATGCAACTTCAAAGAAGTTGGAAATTTTTGATATAATACGGTTATAAAGCTACAGGTTATAAGAATAAGTGACTTGAATTTATGGTGAGTCATATGACAATCTCAGCACTTCACTTGGTGGCTGTTTCCAAAGGAGGGAGAAGGAAAAGACAGAGAAGAGATGAGGGGCAGAGGGAGAGCTGCCTCAGTTGTGACAGTTCTACCAGACCATAAATTAAGCTATTATTAGTATCAGCTGTTACTTATTATTTAACTCAGTAGTGCTGCACTGTAATTCTACAACTCTTAACTTGGCAAACATGTTGTAATGGAGCCAGCTGTATGAAAGAGTCTATATAAAATTAACTTTACTATTCTTGTTATTATAGTTTAGGAGTCACCCTACCAAGTGGGTATGATGATGAAGGTGAGCTGCTAAGAAAGAGGTTGAGAGACAGCTGATGTTTGTTTCAAGCAAATCTTCTTTAACCCGAGGCACCAGGAGCAGAGGGCCAGTGGGTAAAAAGGTTAAGTAGGATGGAATCTACAATAAAGCCAAATGTGTGGGTTCTATTGCTGATCTTGTCGTTATTTTGGATTTTTGGAGTGGAGATGAAATGAAAATGTTTGTTTTGTATCTACCTGCCCAGGATGTAAGTAAGAGGGAAGAACAAGACTCTAGGAGAGAAATAGAGGCTCCCCTAAAAAAACACCTTAAGTAAATGTCAGGTGATGTCACCCATAAAGTCTTCCAGCCATAATAATTTCACCTGAAAGCTATTTATTTTGGAAACAGACAGAAAGCCCTGTCTGTTCCACTTTAAAGTTTCACATTAATACTCCCTCATTTTCCGATGTTAGAATACTTCCAGGACTATAGGTGAAATAAGTCTACTAGAAGATTAGCCAAACATCTGTTTGTCTACATAGTGACCCTTACAGCATCAAAATTTTCTTTGACTCTTCCATGTAAAGAATTATGAAAAATATAGTAATACTTCTAAAAAAATTTCACAAGAAGGTTTTTTTTTTTTTTTTTTTTTTTTTTGAGATGGAGTTTCACTCTTATTGCCCAGGCTGGAGTGCAGTGGCATGATCTCAGCTCACTGCAACCTCCGCCTCCTGGGTTCAAGCGATTCTCCTGTCTCAGCCTCCCTAGTAGCTGGGATTACAGGCACATTCCACCATGCCTGGCTAATTTTTGTATTTTTAGTAGAGATGGGATTTCATCATATTGGTCAGGCTGGTCTCGAACTCCTAACCTCAGGTGATCTGCCTGCCTCGGCCTCCCAGAGTGCTGGAATTACATGCGTGAGCCACCTCTCTCGGCCAACACAAGAAGCTTTTTAAACAAATAAAAATAACATGCAGAAACACAAGAAAGCAGCATCATATAAGCAAGGTTCAAACATTCAATAAATATCTAGTGAGTGGCCAGGTGTGGTGGCTCATGCCTGTAATCCCAGCACTTTGGGGGGCTGAGGCGAGCAGATCACTTGAGGTCAGGAGTTTGAGACCAGCCTGGCCAACATGGTGAAACCCTGTCTCTACTAAAAATAGAAAAAACTAGCTGGGCATGGTGGTGCACACCGTGGTCCCAGCTACTCAGGAGGCTGAGGCAGGAGAATCGCTTGATCCTGGGAGGCGGAGGTTGCAATGAGCCGAGATGGCGCCACTGCACTCCAGCCTGGGCAACAGAGGGAGACTCTGTCTCAAAACAAAAAACAAAAAAAAAAAGTGAGTACTAATTACTTTATGTGCTTGGAGCTGAAATTGTAGTGGGTGAGTGATGCAAACCAGGATCCAGTCTCCACAGCACTGCATGCCGTTCTGGGTTCAAGAAAAGGGGGCCTGATTATTTTGAGTCTGTTTTTTGTAAGTGAGTGTCTTACTCCGTTTGTGCTGCTATAACAGGATACCATGGACTGAGTAATGTATAAACAATCGAAATTTATTTCTCATAGTTGTAGGGGCTGGGAAGTCCAAGATCAAGGTTCTGGCATTTGATACCTGGTGAGGGCCATCTTGCTGGGCATCCTCACATGGCAGGAGGGGCGAACACTGGGTCCTCACCTGGAAGAAGGCAAAAGGGCAAAAAGGGCCTTAGCTAGTTCCCTAGCCCTTTTATAAGGCACTAATCTATTCAGGAGGGCTCTGCCCTCGTGACTGAATCACTTCCCCAAAGGCCCCACCTCTTAATACCAGCACAATAGGGATTAAGTTTTAACAGGAATTTTGGAGGAGACACATTGTAGTAGTCCATTTTTGCGCTGCTGATAAAGACATACACGAGACTGGGAAGAAAAAGAGGTTTAATTGGACTTACATTTCTACATGGCTGGGGAGGCCTCAGAATCATGGCAGGAGGTGAAAGGCACTTCTTACATGGCAGTGGCAAGAGAAAAATGAGGAAGGAGCAAAAGCAGAAACCCATCAGATCTCATGAGACTTATTCACTATTACTAGAATAGCATGGGAAAGACAAGCCCCCATGATTCAATTACCTCCCCCCGGGTCCCTCCCACAACACATGGGAATTCTGGGAGATACAATTCAAGTTGAGATTTGGGTGGGGACACAGCCAAACTGTATCACACATTAAAACCATAGTAGAAGGTTAGACAAAAATAATAAATGGATAGGGATAGAATAATGTAGTATTTTAGAGGCATGGTTCAGCAGCCTGTGGCAAGGGGTCCAACAGCAGCTTTGGAAACAATTTCTAGTGGTTCAATATTCACGCTGTGGAGAGCCAAGTAGGGATGCTACCCTGATTTTATCCCAACCTCTCCCAGCCTTCTGCAACCTCATCCCCAACTTTACTCCCACTTGAAGGGTCATCCCTCTGGGGTCCTCCAAGGCTCTTTCAGGCAGGCTGGTCATGTTTCTTGCCTTTTCTTGCAGCTACCCCCAATCTCAACTTGGTTCACTTGGATGTCAATGAAGGAAATCCTTGGCAGCTACTTCTGAATGTATTGATCCCAATTTTGGAAAGTGTTTCGCAGAGAAAGGGACAGTCAATGTCACAAGTTTCCCATTTAGAGGTTCCCATTTACCATCTGGAAAATTAGAAGTCTTCTAGCTTGCTGGTCTGGTTGCCTGTACCACATGGCAAAGATAATAATAGGAGGGTCAGGCAGTGCAGGATGGCTCAACCTCAGCTGCCATCCACTGAGCCTCCACAATTGCCTAGGCATTGTAGAAAGAGGTGGCACAGTCCTAGCCCTTGATAGATTTGGAATCTAAAGTTATATTTTTTTACATTTGAAAGAAGAACTTAAAAATATGCAGGTTAAATCCACTTCCTAAATATTTATTGATTGCCGTTAACTTGGACCATTTAACACTATCTTTTTGAAGCCCCATCTCCCTTTGCTCTCACTAATGGAGTGTTCTCAATAATAGGCTTTTTCTCTTTCTTAAATGATCTTCTACAGCTCTTTCCTTTAAACTAAACTAAAGGAATATTATCATAACTGAAATGTTTTCCTATTCAGCTAGAAATGAGCATTTAACTTAAAACAAATTGCAGGCCAGGCTTTAAAGGGCCATTAATTAGTAATGGTACCAGAGGAGCAAGGTGACTAGATGGCTGAAAGTGGACAAAGTGGTCCTAATTTTTGCTTCTTATTCCATCTGACAACATTTGTCCTTGAAAAGCACATTTAATTACTGAATGAGGTAATGTGGTAAAATTTCAGTATGGTGCCTGGCACATGGAAAGCGTCAGTAACTATTCCGGGCCTCTTGACCCTTTGCCTTCTACCTTCTTTGCTCTCAGCAGTCATTCATACCTTCCATCTCATAATGAAAATAATGGCTTGAGCTCACTCAACTTTCCTCAACTTAAAGCTTATCTTTTTGGTATTCCTTTCCCAGGCTGACTACTACACTGATAATTTTGATGCCACCCACCCCAGGCTGCTCCAGGGCCATGTTCTTCCAATAACTTCTTCTCTACTGTGTATCTTCGTTCTCTCTTCTTTATCTCCTTACCCATAGTCAACTCATATGCTCTAAATTAAAATCCAGCAACACTTTCTCTCCACCTTTTTAATTGTAAGTTACTGGCTGTTTTCTCCTACCTATTGCACGAAACTTCTTGAAAGAGTAGTCTACACTCTCTCCCTCCAGGTCCTCATCTAAAATCTACCCCTTGCCTATTGCAACTTGGCTTCTGCAAGTACTAAAACTGTGTTCCCAGAGATCTGTAATGACCTTCTATTTACCAAAGCTAGAGGCTTCTTCCCATTCTTCTTTCACCTCTCCGTGGCATGTGATGTGCTTGTCCACTCCTTTGATGAAATTCTCTTTGCTGCTTTTATCTGCTGTTCTTTAGCATCTGTGCTCTTTATCACCTCTCTGTCAGTACCTTAAATGTTTGTGTTCTCAAATGTCCACCCTTAGCTGCTTCTGTTTTGCTCTGGATTAGTGCTTCTCAATCTGGATGCCTCTAAGAATTATCTAGGGAGCTCTTTGAAAACCCAGATGAAATCCCATTAAATTTGGGTAAATATCTACTGATTTTTCTTTATTTTTGAGACAGAGTCTCGCTCTATCACCCAGGCTGGAGTGCAGTGGCGTGATCTCGGCTCACTGAAACCTTCGCCTCCCGAGTTCAAGTGATTCTCATGCCTCAGCCTCCGAGTAGCTGGGACTATAGGCACACACCACCAGGCCTCGCTAATTTTTTAAAATGTTTTTAGTAAAGTTGGGATTTCACCACCTTGGCCAGGCTGGTCTTGAACTCCTGACCTTGGGTGATCTGCCCGCCTGGACCTCCCAAAGTGCTGGGATTACAGGAGTGAGTCACCGTGCTCGGCCAGTTACATCTGATTTCTAGCTTCACCCAGAAATTCTGTTTAATTGATCTGGGGTTGGGCCCTGACATCTCTTTTTTATAACACTTCTCAGTGCAGCTAGGAATGAGAACCACAGCTCTAGAATAGCTGCTTTTGTCCTTAGTTCTTGCCTCATTCCTGATACATAGACTCTATTGTCTAGCTCTTTGCTGAGCATCTCAGTCTAAATGCTCTGTAGTATCTCACTTTCTATGTGGTCCAGATCAAATTCATTATGCCCCAAATCTTTTTTTTTTGCCCCAATTCTAAGAACTTCTTCTGTGTTATAGGGTCACCATTTTCTCATGCTGCCAAGCTGGAGACCTGGAAGTCATCTTTAAAAATCCCTTCTGCTTTGCCCTTTCTCTTACTTAGTTGCCATATCCTATAGATTTTACTGCAGACCCTTTTGAAATCCATTCTCCCTACCACCAACCAACGCCCCATTTTAGAATCTTATTGCAATCACTTCTTACCTGGCCTCCCTGCCTTCAGGCTCTTTCCTATTCATTCCATCTTTCACATGCTAGTAGAGAGATCTTTCTGGAACACAGTTCTGTTGATACGTACTCAATAACCACCATTGGATTCTTTTTTCTTTTTCTTTTCTTTTTTTTTTTTTTTTTTTTTTTTTTTGAAACAAAGTCTTGCTCTGTTGCCCAGGCTGGAGTGCAGTGGCATGATCTTGGCTCACCGCAATCGCCGCCTCCGAGGTTCAAGCGATTCTCCTGCCTCAGCCTCTCACGTGGCTGGAACTACAGGCATGTGCCACCACACTCAGCTAATTTTTATATTTTTAGTAGAGACGGGGTTTCACCATGTTGGCCAGGCTGGTGAACTCCTGACCTTGTGATCCGCCTGCCTTGGCCTCCCAAAGTGCTGGGATTACAGGCGTGAGCCACTGTGCCTGGCCCCATTGGATTTCTTTTACCCAAGAATAAAATACAGATTCCATAGTAAGGCCCTCATTATCTGGCCCCAATTCTCTAAAACCATTCCTAGATTCCCATCTCCATGATGTTACCTAAATTGCAGTTGTGTTTCCCCAATCATGAGTTCCTTCTTGTCTTTGCGTATACTATTCTCTTTGATTAGGACTGGTTTCAACTCAGATGGTTCAAATGAAGGGATAATTTACAGAGATACAGTCAGGGTAAAGGGAAATCACAAGAGTGGTTGAGATAACCAAAGACTAGCAAAGTGGGAACCTCTTATCTTCCCTAGGCCCAAAGGTCCCATGGGATGAAACACTGCCATCATAGCTCAGTGCAAGTTGGAGCCATGGGAAAGGGGCCATCAGTAGGAAATGCAGGCAGAGAGGGTGGCAGCCACTGCAAGAATCACAGTGTGGAAGCAGAATGGGCACAGTGAAGAAATATCCCAACTTCTCTGTCCTCCTGCCCTCTGATCTCCAGCCAGTGTCTTTCACTGGCCAAACTCAACCAGAAGCCAATGAACCACCAAGGATAGTCAGTTAAGGCAGGATACTAGTTAGGAAGCAGGGCAGTGAGAGGTGGGGAATAGATGGTGGTGCAATTAATGGTGGAGAAATTAAATGGATAATAACTACAAAATTCTCTTCTTAAAATTAAAGGAAATTTATTAATTTTGAGATAGGGTCTTGCTCTGTCACCCAGGGTGGAGTGCAGTGGTGTGATCATAGCTCACAACAGCCTCCATCTCCTGGGCTCAAGTGATCCTCCTGCTTCAGCCTCCCAAGCAGTGGGACTACAGGCATGCACCACCATGCCTGACTAAAATTCTTTTGTATATAGTAAAATTCTTTTTCTCTTCTAGGACACAGTTCAAATGTCACCTTTTATGTAAAGTCTTCCACCATTTTTGTCACCCCAAGATCCAGTTATTTCAATTCTCTATGTTACTTTAGCTGTTGTAATGCCTTCATTATTGAAGCTATCAGTCAGATTTATGATACAATTATTTATGAGATCTGCATCCATCTCTTGTATAATATTTTGTGATTTTGAATGAAAGGGATAGTGCTTCATTTGGTTCAGTGTCTTGCAGGTAACAGGCACTCAACTGTTGGGTGCATTTAAATGCATTTTCATGTTATCACCTTCTCAGCCTCTGTCGGGAAGATTTGTATATACTTGTAAACCATTGTCCTCACATTTTAAAATATTTCTAATTTTCATATGAGTTTGTTTCTTGGTTCTAATTCCACTTCTTGCTGGACTTTTCCCTTCTCTTTACCTACATTTCTTAGGTTAGATACTTTTTTTTTTTTTGAGACAGAGTTTCGCTCTTGTTGCCCAGGCTGGAGTGCAATGGCATGATCTCAGCTCACCGCAACCTCCACTGCCCGGGTTCAAGCAATTCTCCTGCCTCAACCTCCCGAGTAGCTGGGATTACAGGCATGTGCCACCATGCCTGGCTAATTTTTTTTTTATGTATTTTTAGTAGAGACGGGATTTCTTTATGTTGGTCGGGCTGGTCTCGAACTCCTGACCTCAGGTGATGCACCTGCCTCGGTCTCCCAAAGTGCTGAGATTACAGGCATGAGCCACCGCGCCCGGCCTTAGGTTAGATTCTTAACTGTAGCTCCTTAACAGTTTGTTGGGAATAAGCCCTCACTGATCCTGGCAAGGGTCTAAAAATCACTAGCTTTTTCCATATCCGAAGTGTTGCATATAAAAAAACTTTTCTTTAATTTTTGTATGCACTATGCTTAAAAATGAAGTCACAGTAAACCAATTTTTATTCTCCCTTAAACTCTGAACTCTTCTGAATAGAAGTTATGCTTGGCTTAACATGTTTTGCATATAGAAAAGGCTGTGAGATGCTCCTATTCTTTATAAATACCAACACCAAATGCAGACAACATATTTTTACTATGCAAACACTATTGTACATTAATGGTTTTGACTCACATTTGATTGTGGCTTTTAGATTTTTTATATGAAAATGGCTGTTTTCAGGCCCAATGAAAATATTATTTTTACATTTGTCATATTGAAAATGATAAAATAATGGCAGAAGTTATAATTGTCTTAGCAATTATGAGTTTTCACGGCAACTATTGTATTTTTCTTTGTCTTTTTTGTAGAGACAGTGTCTTGCCATGTTGCCCAGGCTGGTCTCAAACTCCTGGGCTCAAGCAATCCACTCACCTCAGTCTCCCAAAGTGCTAGGATTACAGGCGTGAGCCACGGCACCCAGCCTATTATATTTCGCATTTTAAGAAGTTCAGTCCAGCCATGGTGGCTCATGCCTGTAATCCCAGCACTTTGGGAGGCCGAGGCGGGTAGATCACCTGAGGTCAGGAGTTTGAGACCAGCCTGGCCAACGTGGTGAAACCCCGTCTCTACTAAAAATACAAAAATTAGCTGGGCGTGGTGGCATGTGCCTGTAATCCCAGCTACTTGGGAGGCTGAGGTGGGAGAATCGCTTGAGCCCAGGAGGCGGAGGTTGCAGTGAGCAGAGACTGCGCCCTTGCACTCCAGCCTGGGTGACAGAGTAAGACTCCATCTAAAAAAAAAAAAGAAGTTCAGTGGTGCATGCCTGTAGTCCCAGCTACTCAGGAGGCTATGGCAGGAGAATTTCTTGAACCCAGGAAGTGGAACTTGCAGTGAGTCGAGATGGTGCCATTGCACTCCAGCCCAGGTGGATGGCTTGAGCATAGGCATTTGAGACCAGCCTGGGAAACATGGTGAAACTCTGTTTCTGCAAAAAAATTAGCTGGGCATGGTGGTGTGCGCCTATAGTTTTAGCTACTTGGGAGGCTGAGGTGGGAGCATCTCTGAGCCCAGGGAGGCAGAGGCTGCAGTTAGCTGCGATTGCGCCACTACCCTCCAGCCTGGGCCACAGAGTGAGACCTCGTCTCAAAAAAAAAAAAAAAAAAAAAAAAAAGAAAGGGAAGTTCAACTTGGGTCTTCGTTTTTTAATATCTTTTCTTAACATGCTCATGCCTTCCTCTACTTTCTGGAACATATGGAACATAGTTATGATTGCTGTTTCAATGTCTTTGTCTACCAATTTTATTTATTACCTGTATCATATCTGGATATGTTTCTATTGATTAATTTATTTTTTTCCTCATTATGGATTATATTTTTCTGATTCTTTATATGCCTGGTAATTTTTTCTTGTATTCCGTATTGTGAATTTCACATTGTTGGATGCTGAATTTTTGTTTATTTGTGTTTGTCTTCCTTTAATTTTTTTTTTTTTTTTTTTTTTGAGACAGAGTCTCACTCTGTTGCCCAGGCTGGAGTGCAGTGGTGCGATCTCAGCTTACTGCAACCTCTGCCTCCTGGGTTCAAGTGATTCTCCCACCTCAGCCTCCCCAGTAGCTGGGATTACAGGCGCCTACCATCACGCCCGGCTAATTTTTGTATTTTTAGTAGAGACAGGGTTTCACCATGTTGGTCAGGCTGGTCTTGAACTTCTGACCTAAGGTGATCCGCCTGCCTTGGCCTTCCAAAGTGCTGGGATCACAGACATGAGCCACCATGCCCGGCTAAATATTTTTGAGTTAAATATTTAAATATCCTTTAAGTATTTTGACACTTAAATTTAAGTGACTTGGAAACAGTTTGAGCCTTCTGAGGCTTGCATGTAAACTTTGATAGGCAAGTGCAGAGCAACTTTTAGTCTAAGGCTAATTTGGCCTCACCTTTCTGAATCCTCAACCTGATGCTCCACATATCGCCAAGTTTTTCCATTCGGGGAATGTGAGCTATTTCCATTCCTGCGTGATTGCCAGTAACCGCTCCATTCAGGTGTCTCTTTCCCTGGTCAAAGGTAGTTTCCTCACACATGTGTGCTGACAGATACGCAGCTGAAGACTCAAGAGGAAGCCCCTGCACAACTCTAGAACTAGCTCTTTTTGTGCAGCTGTCTCCTATCTGGTAATCTACCCTACGAATTCAAAATGGTAACAGGCACAGTTATCAACAGTTGTTGAGTGCCTGTAAATTCAGGACTCCGCCTCTCTGAATTCTCAACTTCATCTGTTCAATTCAGAATATCTGCCAGGCTTTGTTGGGGTTTCTCTTGCCTGTGCTGTAGCCTGGAATCTTTCCAGGCAGTGAGCTGGGGCAATTATAGGTTCACCTGATTTGTTTTTCTTCTTTCAAAGATCATTGTCTCATGTTGCATGTTGTCCAACATCTGAAAACTGTTTTGTATATTTTATCTCATTTTCAGTTGCTTAAGGTACACAGTAAATCAGGCCCATGTTATTCCATCATGACCACAAGTAGAAGTCGCACTTTTGGTTTTTAAATAGGGGATGAGGAGGTATGTTTAACCAATTTTGTGTCAGAAAAAGAAGCCAGAGTATGATCATGGCCCAGTTATTTATCTTCTTCTTAGCCTTACTGTCTTATTTATAAGATGAAGAGGTTGGTCTATATATTATAAAGTTCTTCTCTGCCTCTTAAATTCTGTGATTTTATAAGTAAGCACAGGAGTATCTTTATAGAGAAACTGTTGTATCTTCCCAAAGTGATAAAGTTTCAGCAGTATGGAACTCCCATTTTGCCATAGTCGAGCAAATTTAGGAGGGAAGATTTGTGTTTTAATAGATAAAGAAGGAGTCTTTAGTTAAAAACTTGAAATGGACAATACCAATCCTACAGTACACACATGAAAAATGACCAAATAATCTGAAGATGAGGAAATATATAGGAATATTCTTTGTTGCATTATTGGGCCTAAGCAAACTGTATTAGATATGTAGTAAGTGTTCAGTGCATATCTGTTGACTATCTTAGTGGCACATGGATCCATTTACCTAATAAGGAAAACTAATTGAAAAAGCTTCCACTATAGCAAAAGTAAAAATTTATCAATATCGGCCGGGCATGGTGGCTCACGCCTGTAATCCTAGCGCTTTGGCAGGCCAAGGCGGGCAGATTGCCTGAGCTCAGGAGTTCAAGACTAGCCTGGGCAACATAGTGAAACCCCGTCTCTGCTAAAATACAAAAAATTAGCCGGGCGTGATGGTGTGCACCTGTAATCCCAGCTACTCAGGAGGCTGAGGCAGGAGAATTGCTTGAACCCAGGAGGCGGAGGTTGCAGGGAGCTGAGATCGCGCCACTGCACTCCAGCCTGGGTGACAGAGTGAGATTCCATCTCCAAAAATAAAAAATAAAAAATAAAAAATAATCCATCAATATCAGATTTGCTAGTGGTACATCCACATAATGGAATATTGTGCAGCAAACACAGTGCAGCTGAGTGGTATGCGTTAATATGGAATAGTTTCAAAGAAAAATTGTGAAATTTTTTAAAATATAAAAACAAGATCACTACATTTTATATATATAAATGAATATGTTAAAATATAAATGTATATATGCATATATAAATGAATACATACATATTTATATATTTGAGACAGGGGCTTACTCTGTCACCCAGGCTGGAGTGCAGTGGCATGATCCTAGCTCACTGTAGCCTTGGACTTAAGTGATCCTCCTGCCTTGGTCTCCCAAAGTGCTGGGATTACAGGTGCAAGCCACTGTACCTGACATACTATATATATACATATATATATAAAAAAATTATTTTTTATTTTTATTTTTTATTTTCTTTTTGAGACAAGGTCTCATTCTGTCACCCAGGCTGAAGTGCAGTGGTGTGTGTGATCGTGGCTTCCTGCAGCCTAAACTTCCCTGGGCTCAAGCGATCCTCCCACCTCAGCCTCCCAAGTAGCTGGGACCACAAGAGTGTGCCACCACACCCTGATATTTTTTTTTTTTTGAGTCAGAGTCTCACTCAGTTGCCCAAGCTGGAGTGCCTCAGCCTCCCAAGTAGCTGGGATTACAGGCACTTGCCAACAAGCCCGGCTAATTTTTCGTATTTTTAGTAGAGATGGGGTTTCACCATATTGGCCAGGCTGGTCTTGAACCCCTGACCTCAACTGATCCACCTACCTCAGCCTCCCAAAGTGCTAGGATGACAGGCTTGAGCCACTGTGCCCAGCCCTGGCTAATTTTTATATTTTTAGTAGAGGTGGGGTTTTTGCCTTATTGCCTAGGCTTGTCTCGAAATCCTGAGCTCATGTGATCTGCCCACCTCAGCCTTCCAAAGTGCCGGGATTACAGGTGTGAGCTACCATGCCCAGCCATGGCATACTGTATACAGTTTTGTTCTCTTTAATTTATATAATAATTTTATAATAAAAAAGATTTAAAAAGGAAAAAGAAACATGCATAATAGTATATACATACTATATATAAAAATATGTTTAAAGGCAATATATAAGTACAATTGGGAGGCTGAGGTGGGCGGATCATGAGGTCAGGAGATCGAGACCATCCTGGCCAACATGGTGAAACCCCGTCTCTACTAAAAATACAAAAATTAGCTGGGCCTGTTGGTACACGCTTGTAATCCCAGCTACTTGGGAGGCTGAGGTGGGAGGATCGCTTGAGCCCAGGGAGGTTTAGGCTGCAGGAAGCCACGATCACACACACCACTGCACTTCAGCCTGGGTGACAGAATGAGACCCTGTCTCAAAAAGAAAATAAAAAATAAAAATAAAAAATAATATTTATATATATATGTATATATACAGTATGTCAGGTACAGTGGCTTGCACTTGTAATGGCTTGAACCCGGGTGGTGGAGGTTGCATTGAGCTGAGATTGTGCCACTGCACTCCAGCCTGGCGACAAAGCGAGACTTCGTCTCAAAAAAAAAAAAAAAAATACATGCTTGTAAGTAAGATAATACATCTAGAAGGATAAACAAATTGGTGACACTGGTGCTTCAGGGAAGGGGGACTAGGGGATAGTGTAGAAGAGAGGTTCACTTTTCCTTTTATGCCTTTTTACATAACTTTTGAATTTTTTATCATGTGCATGTTGTCTAGTTTTCAAAAAATGCAGCTACTAGATATACATAAATTGACTTTTTTCAATGAAGTAATTCAGGTTTTCTAAAAGGGTTATTATATTACTACATATCAGTTTGAGGAAATTTCCACATCTCTAGACTAGATGATGTATTTAAAGGAGGCAAACCACACCCACTTTTACTACTATCACCCCAGGAAAGTACAGGACACCACCAAGTCTACGATTAATTTCCTATTCTTTTTTTTTTTTTTTTGAGATGGAGTCTCGCTATGTCACCCTGGCTGGAGTGCAGTGGCGCCATCTCGGCTCACAGCAACCTCCGCCTTCTGGGTTCAAACGATTCTCCTGCCTCAGCCTCTTGAGTAGCTGGGACTACAGGCACACGCCACATTAGCACCTGGCTAATTTTTTGTATTTTTAGTAGAGACAGGGTTTCACCGTGTTAGCCAGGATGGTCTCGATCTCCTGACCTCTTGATCGGCCTGCCTTGGCCTCCCAAAGTGCTGGGGTTACAGGCATGAGCCACTGCGCCCGGCCTAATTTCCTATTCTTTGTGGAAATAATTATCATGCTAGTGATACCTACTGATACCTACTGGCATCTGGAACATGAGGGAAAGAACAAGACCATTTGTATCCTATGGTCCTGTGTACATTTTTATACTATTTAATTAATCTTTATAATCTAACCCCCCATATTTCTGGCTTCCAGAGGGGCTACCAAGAAATCACAGGGTATGAGAGCTGGACAGTGAGGCTGTGTGATTTACAAGATGTTAACTTTTGGCCAGTTTGCTACTTTCATATTCTACAGATGATGTAGCTGTTTGAAAGAGAATAAAATTACACCCACCCAGTGGAGATGCTAACTTTTTTGTTTTTTTTGAGACGGAATTTCACTCTTGTTGCCCAGGCTGCAGTGCAATGGTGTGATCTTGGGTCACTGAAACCTCTGCCCCCCAGGTTCAAGCGATTCTCCTGCCTCAGCCTCAAGAGTAGCAGGGACTACAGGCAAATGCCACCAAACTCAGCTATTTTTTGTGTTTTTAGGAGAGACGGGGTTTCACCATATTGGCCAAGCTGGTCTCGAACTCCTGACCTCGTGATCCACCCGCCTTGGCTTCCCAAAGTGCTGGGATTACAGGCATGAGCCACTGTACCTGGCTAATTTTGTATTTTTAGTAGAGATGGGGTTTCACCATGTTGGTCAGGCTGGTCTCGAACTCCTGACCTCAAGTGATCCACCCGCCTCAGCCTCCCAAAGTGCTGGGATTACAGGCATGAGCCACTGTACCTGGCTAATTTTGTATTTTTAGTAGAGATGGGGTTTCACCATGTTGGTCAGGCTGGTCTCGAACTCCTGACCTCAAGTGATCCACCCGCCTCAGCCTCCCAAAGTGCTGGAATTACAGGTGTGAGACACTGTGTCTGGCCAGCTAAGTGTTTTGTTTTGTTTTGTTTTGAGATGGAGTTTTGCTCTTGTTGGCCAGGCTGGAGTGCAATGGTACGATCTCAGCTCACTGCAACCTCCACCTCCCATGTTCAAGTGATTCTCTGGCCTCAGCCTTCCAAGTAGCTGGGATTACAGGCATGTGCCACCACGCCTGACTAATTTTGTATTTTTAGCAGAGTTGGGGTTTCTCAATGTTGGTCAGGCTGGTCTCAAACTCCCGACCTCAGGTGATCCGCCTGCCTCGGCCTCCCAAAGTGCTGGGATTACAGGCATGAGCCACCGCGCCCGGCTAACTTTTTTGTTAGAGGGCAGAATTACTCCTCTGGCAAGCTAACTTAAAAGAAGGACTTCTAGACATAACCTGTGTTCCTTTGAGTGTCTGATACCCCTCAGGTAAAACCCAGCTAAGTATTCCCTGGAAGATATGGAGAAATATTTGGAAACATATGTGCAAGGCCACAATTATAAAATCCGTGGCTCATTATGCAAGTCAGAAAATTGCTATGCCCAAGGTATTTTCTTTTGACTCTTATCTGCTTTAAAATTTCTGGTGCTGTTGCCGGTTTTGACTTCCTGAAATACCAGTGCAGCAAGTAGGTAGTCAGTTCATGAAAAATGCCTCCAAGATCCAGCCAGCCAATGAAAGAATACGAAGAATAAGATTCCTGACTTCATGAAGTTTGTTTTGTCACATGAGAGGCTTATTATTGTGTAGAAATCACTATAATACATGAATAATAGGAGCGAAAACATTACTGTTCAAGGAGAAAAATGTTACTTAAAATGGCAGTGTTTTTGGTGGATTACGCATTGGCTGGAAGCGTCCTGCTTCTTCCTCTAATCTGAGCAAAAGATTAAGAATTTAACAAAAAGGGGCCCACTGTTAGTGTTGCCAGATTTAGCCAATAAAAATGCAGAACACCCAGTTAAATCTGAGTTTTAGAAAACAACAAATGATTTTTTAGCATAAGTATGTCCCAGGCGATACCTGGGGCGTACTGAAAAATGATTCGCTGTTTATTTGAAAGTCAAATTTAATGAGCATCTGTATTTTATCTGGCAATGTTAGCGGCTACAGACTAGGAGTGGATGTATTGTTGCTGTCTTTCCTTGCCTTTTGGTTCCTTTGTGATAAGGTGGGTGCTACTGACACCCTCCACACAAGTAGGATGCGACTAGGGGTGAGAACACAGCTGAGAGTTCTTGCTATGCTGCAGAGCCAGGGTGGAAGAACAGGTGTAAGTGAACTAACTGAGAAACAACTGTGAGACATGCCTCCATTTTGCCCCCAGATAACCTAGATGGAGGTGGCTTTATAATATATAGGATGGAAATTTAGCCCTTTAATGCCAATACTAAAGGGAAGGGTGGCCCAAGAAAGCAGAAGGACCCAAAGAGATTCTGTGCTGTGGAAATTGTGGAGTAAGTGATTGATAGAGATTCTGTAGACTAGGAGGATGTGAGATGGGGTGCATCTGCTATGTGGAGTCAGGCTGAGGGAGCTCTTCGCCTCATGCCAGCTAGATTCCAGAGCTGGAGAACACAGGTATGAGAAGACAAAGATAGTGAGTGGGCTGCATAGGTGGATTTTTTTCAATGAATTGTGGAGGATTTTGGAGACCATGTTAAAGATTTGAGTGTTAATCCATGAAGCCACGGAGCCTTTCTCAGGGTTTCTGAGCAGGAAATGGCCTTAGCAGAGCTTGCTTTAGAATCTGGCATCTCTTTATAGTGGGATTATAAAGGGGAAATATCAGTGGAGACAGAGTGATCATGTGGGAGGGGGACTAGTCAGGGCTACTTCTAGTCCGTGTGGCATCTGTATTAGTCTGTTCTCACACTGCTAATAAAGACATACCTGAGACTAGATAATTTATAAAGAAAGAGAGATTTAATGGACTCACAGTTCCATGTGGCTGGGGAGGCCTTACAATCATGGCAGAAGGCAAAAGGCATGTCTTACATGGCAGCAGGCAAGACAGAGTGAGAGCCAAGTGAAAGGGGGTTTCCCCTTATCATTATTATTATTATTTTAGACGGAGTTTTGCTCTTGTTGTCCAGGCTGAAGTGCAATGGCGCAATCTTGGATAACCAAAACCTCCACCTCCTGGGTTCAAGTGATTCTCCTGCCTCAGCCTCCCACGTAGCTGGGATTACACGCATGCACCACCATGCCTGGCTAATTTTTTTGTATTTTTAGTAGAGACAAGGTTTCTCTATGTTGGTCAGGCTAGTATTGAACTCCCAGCCTCAGGTGATCTGCCCACCTTGGCCTCCCAAAGTGCTGGGATTACAGGCATGAGCCACTGTGCCTGGCCTGGGGTTTCCCCTTATAAAACCATCAGATCTCATGAGACTTATTCACTACCATGAGAATAGTATGGGGGAAACCACCACTATGATTCAATTATCTCTCACCAGGTCCCTCTCACAACACATGGGAATTATGGGAGCTACAATTCAAGATGAGATTTGGGTGGGGGCACAGCCAAACCCAATCATTCTGCCCCTGGCTCCTTCCAAATCTCATGTCCTCCTATTTCAAAACCAATCATGCCTTCCCAACAGTCCCCCAAAGTCTTAACTCATTTCAGCATTAACTCAAAAGTTTACAGTTCAAAGTCTCATTTGAGACAAGGCAAGTCCCTTCCACCTATGAGCCTATAAAATCAGAAGCAAGTTAGTTACTTCCTAGATACAATAAGTTACAGGCATTGGATAACTACACCCATTCCAAATGGGAAAAATTGGCCAAAACAAAGGGGCTAAAGGCCCCATGCAAGTCCAAAATCCAGCAGGGCAGTCAAATCTTTTTTTTTTTTTTTTTTGAGACGGAGTCTTGCTCTG
This sequence comes from Homo sapiens, assembly GCF_000001405.40. Classification (NCBI taxonomy): domain Eukaryota; kingdom Metazoa; phylum Chordata; class Mammalia; order Primates; family Hominidae; genus Homo; species Homo sapiens. The sequence goes on from NC_000014.9 coordinate 65,394,788, forward strand.
TTGCCCAGAGTGCAGCGGCATGATCTTAGCTCACCACAACCTCTGCCTCCCAGGTTCAAGCGATTCTTCTGCCTCAGCCTCCTGAGTAGCGGACTACAGGCATGTGCCACTATGCCAGACTAATTTTTGTATTTTTAGTAGAGATGGGGTTTCAGTATTTTGTCCAGGCTGGCCTTGAATGCCTGACCTCATGATCCACCTGCCTCAGCCTCCCAGAGTGCTGGGATTACAGGCGTGAGCCACCACGCCCAGCTACAGTCAAACCTTAAGGCTTCAAAATGATCTCCTTTGACTCCATATCTCACATCCAGGTCATGCTGATGCAAGAGGTAGGCTCCCACGGTCTTGGGCAGCTCTGCCTCTATGGCTTTGCATGGTACAGCCTCCCTCCTAGCTGCTTTCATAGGCTGGTATTGAGTGTCTGTGGCTTTTCCAGGCACATGGTACAAGCTGTTGCTGGATCTACCGTTCTGGGATCTGGAGGATAGTGGCCCTCTTGTCACAGCTCCACTAGGCAGTGCCCCAGTTGGAACTCTGTGTGGGGGCTTCAACCCCACATTTCCCTTCTGCACTGCCCTAGCAGAGGTTCTCCATGTGGGCCCCTCCCCTGCAGCAAACTTCTGCCTGGACATCCACACACTTCCATACATCCTCTAAAATCTAGGTGGAAGTTCCCAAACCTCAATTCTTGATTTCTGTGTATCTGCAGGCTCAATACAATGTGGAAGCTGCCAAGGGTTGGGGCTTGCACCCTCTGAAGCCATGGCCCGAGCCATACCTTGTCCCCTTTTAACCATAGCTAGAGTGGCTGGGATGCAGGACACCAAGTTCCTAGGCTGCACACAGCAAGGGGTCCCTGGGTCCAGGCCATGAAACCATTTTTCCCTCCTAGGCCTCTGGGCCTGTGATGGGAGGGGCTGCCACAGATGGCTCTGACATGCCCTGGAGGCATTAACATTTGGCTCCTGGTTACTTATGCAAATTTCTGCAGCCAGCTTGAATTTCTCCCCAGAAAATGGGTTTTTCTTTTCTATCACATTGTCAGGCTGCAAATTTTCCGAACTTTTATGCTCTGTTTCCCTTTTAAAACTGGATGCTTTTAACATCACCAAAGTATCTCTTGAATGCTTTGCTGCTTAGAAATTTCTTCTGCCAAGTACCCTAAATCATCTTCCTCAAGTTCAAAGTTCCACAAGTCTCTAGGGCAGGGGCAAAATGTCATCCATATCTTTGCCAAAACCCAGCAAGAGTCATCTTTACTTCAGTCCCCACAAGTTCCTCATCTCCATCTGAGACCACCTCAGCCTGGATTTCATTATCCACATCACTATCAGCATTTTGGTCACAGACATTCAACAAGTCTCTAGGAAGTTCCAGACTTTCCCACATTTTCGTCTTCTTCTGAGCCCTCCAAACTGTTCCAACCTCTGCCTGTTACCCAGTTCCAAAGTCACTTCCACATTTTCAGTTATCTTTATAGCCGCACCCCACTCTTGGTACCAACTTACTGTATTAGTCTGTTCTCATCCTGTTAACAAAGACATACCTGAGACTGGGTAATTTATAAAGACAAAGAGGTTTAATGGACTCACAGGTCCATGTGGCTGGGGAGGCCTCACAATCATGGCAGAAGGTGAAAGGCATGTCTTATATGGAAGCAGGCAAGACAGAATGAGAGCCAAACAAAACGGGGTTTCCCCTTATAAAACCATCAGATCTCATGAGACTTCTTCACTACCACAAGAACAGTACAGGGGAAACCACCTTCATGATTCAATTATCTCACAATGGTCCTTCCCACAACACATGGGAATTATGGGAGCTACAGTTCAAGATGAGATTTGGGTTGGGACACAGCCAGACTATATCAGCATCTGTGTGTAAATTAGAAATGGCTGGGAGGATGCAGCCTAGGGCACTCAGTTTGGCAAGACTATGCCAAGACACGTGGTTTGGTGACTAAATCAGGGGCTGGATTTTAGTTCCCCATTATCCTCTAATATTAATTAACATTAGTGGCTTAATGCAATAAATATTTATTTAGTTTTAGTTTGAGTTATTTTAAGAGATGGAGTCTTGCTAGTTTGCCCAGGCTGGAGTGCAGTGGCTGTTTATAGGCGTGATCATAGCTCACTGCAGCCTTGAACTCTTTGACTCAAATGATCCTCCCACCTCAGCCTCCTGAGTAGCTGGTACTACAGGCCCATGCCACCAGGCCTGGCTAAGATTTATTTCTTGCTCATGTCACAGTCCAATGCCTATAGGGTTGCTCTCCTCATAGTGGATAATTAGGGATCTAGGCCACCTCTATCTTATAGTGGGATGATTGGAATATGTAGCGTCTAAGATCACCAAGGCAGAGGAAGAAAGAGCTGGAAGTTCTTGAAGGGGCACTTAAGACCAGGCTTGGAAGTGACTCACATCACTTCTGCCCACATTTTATTGGCTAGAGTGTGGTGTGAACTTGACTACCATGGTGGCTTGGAAATATAAAGGAGCACAGTAACTTGTAATGTTCTATGGCTAGAAAGCACTAGAGGATGATTCTAGTAGTTTGAGAGGATTATAAGAATATTAGGGGAAATCTGGTGTACAGCAGGTCCTTGAATAATGTCATGTGGTTCAATCTCATTTCATTATAATGATGATGAGAAAAAAATTTTCCAACACAACCAGGGGCCACTGTCTGCAGAGTTTGCATATTTTCCCCATGTCAGTGTGGGTTTTCTCTGGGTACTCTGGTTTCCACCTATATCCCAAAGATGTGCACATTAGGTGGATTGCCATGTCTACACTGTTCCAGTCTGAGTGTGTCTGTGCGTGTGTGTGTGCACACGTGCACGCCTGCCCTGTGATGGGACAGCATACTGTTCAGGGCTGGGTCCTGCCTTGACCCCTGAGCTGCTGGGACAGGCTCCAGCCACCTGTGATCCTGAACTGGAATAAATGGGTAAATAATTATCTTCCTTGTTTTTATTAATTCTTCTTAAATGTATGTATAGCTCACATTTATTTCAGTGTTAAATATTAGAAGTGTTTTGGTCTTTATTTAGAAGTTTGGTGATTTTTCGTGACCAGAAATAGGCCATAGGAACTTAACTCTTGTTTATATCAATTAGCCTGTGGTACAATTGGTTTCCTTATATGGCATTTTGCTTAAAGTTGCAGTTCCCAAAAGCCTATTGATGCCTTAAGTAAGGACTTGCTGCTGTTTATTCAATTTTCATTTTGACTGTAATAAAAGTGTAATATCCTTTCTCTTATACACATCACTGTAGAGATTTAATGAGCATCCATGTCTAGCAATTTAGTTTTTCTAGAACTGTACATATGGAAAATTGAGTCACAAATACAGAAGGACCTCCAGACATTATATTTATTTATTTATTTTGAGACAGGGTCTCATTCTGTTGTCCAGGCTGGAGTATAGTGGCACAATCATAGCTCACTGCAGCCTTGACCTCTGGGGTTAGGTGAGCTTCCTGTCTCAGCCTCCCAAGTGGTGTGTGTCACCACACCCTGCTAATTTTATGTATTTGTTTATTTGTTTATTAGAAGACCAAGACAGTACCAACACTCTGCTTATTAAAAAAATTACTTATTTATTTATTTATTAGAAGACCAAGACACTGCCAACACTCTGCCTATTAAAAAAAATTTTTTTAGGGCCAGGCATGGTGGCCCATGCCTGTAATCCCAGCACTTTGGGAGGCCGAGGCGGGTGGATCACAAGGTCAAGAGATCAAGACGATTCTGGCCAACATGGCAAAACCCCATCTTTACTAAAAATACAAAAAAATTAGCTGGGTGTGGTGATGTGTGCCTATAGTCCCAGCTACTTGGGAAGCTGAGGCAGGAGAATTGCTTGAACCCAGGAGCTTGCAGTAAGCTGAGATCGCATCACTGCACTCCAGCCTGGGTGACAGAGCAGACTCCATCTCAAAAAAAAAAAACAAAGAAACAAAAACAAAGAAACAAACAAAACATCCAAGTTGGCATCTACGTGTAAAAATGTTCTTGTTTCATCTGCATGTGACACTAGAGTTCTAGATTTACTGTGATGAATGTAGAATTTATCCCAGTTCTTTTGGTGAGCAAAGTGGTAAGCTGTGATTGGGATACAGTCAAGGAAGGATAAAAATTTCCCCACCACAAAATCAAAACTATCTGGGTTCAAACCTATTTATCATAGCTTCAGTTAGCCTCTCTGTTACTAAGTTAAGCTCATGGAGGATAAAGACATTTTTTGAGCCGGGAACGGTGGCTCACGCCTGTAATCCCAGCATTTTGGGAGGCCAAAGTGGGTGGATCACGAGGTCAGGAGTTTGAGACCAGCCTGGCCAATGTGGTGAAACCCCGTCTCTAGTAAAAATACAAAAATTAGCCAGGCATGATGACACATGCCTGTAATCCCAGCTACTCAGGAGGCTAAGGCAGGAGAATCGCTTGAACCCAAGAGGCGGAGGTTGCAGTGAGCCGCGATCGCGCCACTGCACTCCAGCTAGGGCGATAGAGCGAGACTCCATCTAAAAAAAAAAGATATTTTTTGAATAGTATTGCATAGGCTCAGACAATCAAAACAGACCACTGACCAATGAGAATTTTGCCATGTTGGTGAACATCAGCCCTGACAAACAGCCCAGGACACTTGAAATCCAAGGCCATGAATGTTCATAGGTCTTAGACTTTCATGAAAATCCAGATTTTTAATATTAGACTTAGTTGTTGGATCACTTGCCATTTGGTGAAAAAAATATGGTCATCACAGGCATAGTTACATGGTAGGAGCTGGCAAATGCATTCCTTGTAAGTTGCAGAGGAAAGTTAATCACGCATAGTTTTGTGTTAGAGGGACATGGAATATTAAAGGTAAAAGGACTGCATGGATTATTTTATTAGGGTAAGAATATTCTTCATCTTTAAAATAAGGCCAAGGAAGGAAAAAGTTAATTAGATTTCTTCTATTATTTAGGAATGGGGACATAAGCTTGTATAAGGTTTCCTATGATATTTTAAAAACAGCTATTTTAAAAGCTATTAAAACTTCATTGGAAACCATTTGCAAGATCTAATAACATGTAAAGACAAAACTTCTTTCATTTAGTCTGTTGTAATAAAATCTACTTTCTTCATTCATTCATTCACTCATCCACTTATTCAATAACTGTTCATTGAACATTTCCCACAGGCCAAGCACTGTTCTAGACACTGGGGATATCATGGTCAACCCATCTGATTCCAGAATTTTTAAAAATATATTTTGCTATTTTGTACATGAAATATGGAACCTGAAAGAGTGAATAGAACATTGGGTTTAGGATTGGAAGACCTGAATTCTAAATGCAGTTATCACAAGCATAAACTATTTTTCTTTTTCTTTTGTTTTCATACCCTTCATGTGGCATCCAGTCAACCATAAACTATATCAATGGTATCAAATAACTATTCAACCGTGCCCCAAATCTCATTAATCTTTAGTTACTTTTTTACCCAATCATCAAGTTCTTCAAAATTTTTGAAATTTGCCTTCTGCCATCCATTCCATTATTCTTGATATTTCTTAAGTTGTTATCCAGAGCTATACCTCATATGGGTGTGTATGTCATGTACCACAAGTGGCAGAGACATTAGTGTCCATCAAATATCCATATACTCCTCTATATTTCCCTGTTAATTCCCTGTTAGTCTTCCCTGTTGGTTCAGGGGTATACGACTTCTGTTGCCATTATTTATATAAACTCTTTACTTCAACACATGATAGCATTAGCTTTTGATAAACCTACTCTGGAGATTAGCTTTCCAAATGGCTGTCTTAAGGCTGGGTGTGGTGGCTCACACCTATAATCCCAGCACTTTGGGAGGTTTGGGAGGGAGGATTGCTTGAGCCTAGGAGTTCAAGACCAGCCTGGGCAACATAGAGAGACGCTGTCTCTACAAAAAATTAAAAATTAGCCAGGCTTGGTGGTGTGCACCTGTGGTTCCAGCCACTTGGAAGGCTCAGGTGAGAGGACTGCTTGAGCCTGGGAGGTTGAGGCTGCAGTGAGCCAGGATCGTGCCACTGCACTCCAGCCTGGGCAACAGTGGGAGACCCTGTCTCAAAAAAAAAGGGCTGTCTTTCTTATATGAAGACAGTTTTGTACCATTATCATACCGCTTTCACCTTTTTGCTATTTTTAAAAGAAGCCATGAGGGTTGCACTTATATAACTCATAACTTCTCCTGAGCCCACCTTTTACCAGACCAATGTAAGGGAGGCTGAGTCAGTTGGTGAGAAGCTACATGGTGTAAAGATGAGCTCCAAAAGCCCACTTGACTTCATAAACAGAACCAAATCCAACAATTATTGGAAACAACACACGGGGGAATTTGCAAAAACCAATATGAGGACTGACGCTGAACTGAATTGCTAAGTACTGGGAATAGAAGGAGGGAATGGTAAGATCTATGAGTGAATATTGGAGAGATTAGGAGAATTGCAGAAAATTGAAGGAGAAAGCAAGGGAAAAAAGTATAGCAGGGTACCAAAGATGTCAGCCAGTTCCTGTGTTTGCTACACCCATGTCCATAGCCCTTGCTGAAGGGGTAGCCACCACCACCTTGAAGTAGTTTGGACCAAAGTAACACCTGATTCAAGGCCAGAAGACCTATGACATGGCTTGGAAGAAAGAGATATGCGGGCCTAACAAGACTTCCTTCTCTGGAGAATGTGTAATAGGAAACTGAGAATTTGCAAGTTAAGATAGTATCTATGCCGTAAGGAAGATGAAATTATAAGGGATCCAAAATTATAAGGGAGCAGTAACCAAAAGGTAGAATAAAGAATAAAAAGGCTGGGCATGGTGGCTCACACCTGTAATCCCAACACTTTGGAAGGCCAAGGTGGGCAGATCACTTGAGGCCAGGAGTTCGAGACCAGTCTGGCCAACATGATGAAACCCCATCTCTACTAAAAATACAAAAAAATTTGTGGTGGTGTACACCTGTAATCCCAGCTACTGGGGAGGTTGAGGCATAAGAATCACTTGAACTCGGGAGACAGAGGTTGCAGTGAGCCAAGATTGTGCCACTGCACTCCCTCCAGCCTGGGTGACAGAGTGAGACCCTGTCTAAAAAAAAAAAAAAAAAAAAAAGGGATTGAGTTGGTAGTGAGAGAAGAGCAGGAAAAGGAATGCCATGGGGAATGCGGAAACGTGAGAGACATGGAGGCGCAGCTTTTTAGGTGCCTCAGTATCCGACAGTGTTTCAGCTCTGGGGTAAGTCTCAGTTCTTGTGTTTTTAAACAAGCCCCTCTTTCTTTGAAGTAAACTGAGTGATTCCTGGGTCCTTGCACTTTAAAGAGCTCAAGTAAGTTGCATAGTCTTCTCAGCCCTTTGATATGTGAGTGTAGGAGCCCAAAAGATGGAGTGTGATTTTTTTTTTTTTTTTTTTTTTTTTGAGAATGGGTCTTGTTCTGTCCCACAGGCTGGAATGCTGTGCATGAACACAGCTCTCTGCAGCCTCAACCTTGGGCTCAAGTTATCCTCCCACCTCAGCCTACAAAGTAGCTAGGACCACAGGCATGCACCATCATGCCCAGCTAATTAAAAAAAAAAAATCTGGGGCTGGGCGTGGTGGCTCACACCTGTAATCCCAGCACTTTGGGAGGCCGAGGCGGGTGGATCACAAGGTCAGGAGATCGAGACCATCTTGGCTAACACGGTGAAACCCCGTCTCTACTAAAAATACAAAAAATTAGCTGGGCGTGGTGGCAGGCGCCTGTAATCGCAGCTACTTGGGAGGCTGAGGCAGGAGAATGGCATGAACTAGGGAGGCGGCTTGCAGTGAGCCGAGATCGCGCCACTGCACTCCAGCCTGGGTGACAGAGTGAGACTCCGTCTAAAGCAAAAAAAATTGTAGAGATGGGGTTCTTGCCATGTTGCCTATGCTGGTCTCCAACTCCTGGGCTCAAACAATCTCCTGCCTCAGCCTCTTAAAGTGCTGGGATTTTAGGTGTGAGCCACTGTGCCCGCCTGGAGTATATTTTAAACTAAATGATCAGTCTTGAAATAAATACAAGTTAACCCCACTTGACCTCTATCTATGTAGGTTTATAAGTCTACTTGTAAATCACACCAGCACAATTTATAGGGAGTTGTTTTTAGAACCTTTAGTCCTTGCTTTAAATACCAACAGTTGTGTTATAGCATGTACTGCAGAACTGAAATGACATTCAGACTTTGGTCTAGGAAATCTTGTCAATCACTTCTTTCTTCTGCTTCCTTAGATTCTGTTTTCATGTTATCTTGATTTTGGATTTAGATCAGATAATTATAGGGTCTGCAAAGGCTTGCTTTAGTTTAGGATTTTTGTAGAGCCATAAATGGCTAATATTTATGGTGTACTTATTCAGTGTCAGGCTCTGTTCTTAGGAGTATTATATGTAATAACTTATTTAATACTAACAACAACCCTATGATGTAGATACTATTATTATTCCTACTTTACAGATATGAAAAAATGAGACAGAGAGTTTTAAAGTTTCCCAAGGTCTCACAGCTATTAATTGGTGAGCAAGGATTCAAATATAGTTAGAATCAACATTCTGAACCATGATTTTATATGGCCTTGTTCCCATGGAAACTAGAAGATCCTGACTAACCAGAGGTTATGTTTCTCAATCCTGTTGGCAGTTATATTGCAATGAAAATTAATTAACTCATTCAATAAATATGCTACATGGTGGGGATCAAGACAGATAGGCAGGATCTCTGCTTTCAAGAGGGCCTCTGGTTTTTCAGACTTTTGTCAGTTTGGTTAGAGTTAGTGTTTTCCCATCAGACTCTAATTTGCCCTTGGGTTAACATATAAGGTAGAATTTTTGCCTCTGAAAAGCTGAACATTGGAACTTTAGTGACTTTAGCAAGGTTTATTCTTGCTGGAGCAAGTATTTATATCATACTGATAGTGGTTAATTTTTTTTTTTTTTTTTGGCTGCAATTTTTCCTTATGACCTTGCTCCTACCCATCCTTCCCCAGATTGTCTATTTTTGGATTTTTAATTTTTAAAATATAATAATATGTACTTGTTTCTGTAATAGTTCTTTCAAGAGCCTTTCTAGATTTGTTTCTTTTTCTTTTCTTTTTTTTTGAGATGGAGTTTTGCTCTTCTTGCCCAGGCTGGAGTGCAATGGCATGATCTCGGCTCAGTGCAACCTCCACCTCCCGGGTTCAAGTGATTCTCCTGCCTCAACCTCTTGAGTAGCTGGGATTACAGGCGCTAGTAGAGACAGGGTTTCACGATGTTGGTCAGGCTGGTCTCGAACTCCTGACCTCAGGTGATCCACCCGCCTTAGCCTCCCAAAGTGCTGGGATTACAGGTGTGAGCCACTGTGCGGGGCCAGATTTGTTTGTTTGTTTTTCTTTGAGACAGAGTCTCACTCTGTTGTCCAGGCTGGAGTGCAGTGGTGTGATCTCGGCTCACTGCAACCTCTGCCTCCTGAGTTCAAATGATTCTCCTGTCTCAGCCTCCTGAGTAGGTGGGATTACAGGCGCCCACCATAGCGCCCAGCTAATTTTTTTGTATTTTTAGTAGAGATGGGGTTTTGCCATCTTGGCCAGGCTGGTCTCGAACTCCTGACCTTGTGATTCACCCACCTCGGCCTCCCAAAGTGCTGGGATTACAGGTGTGAGCCACTGCACCCAGCGTTGTTTCTTTTTTTTTTCTTTTTGAGACAGAGTCTTGCTCTGTCGCCAGGCTGGAGTGCAGTGGCGCAATCTCAGCTCACTGCAACCTCTGCCTCCCGGGTCAAGCAATTCCCCTGCCTCAGCCTCCCAAGTAGCTGGGATTACAGGCATGTGCCACCACACCCAGCTAATTTTTTGTATTTTAGTAGAGACGGGGTTTCACCATGTTGGTCAAGATGGTCTCGATCTCTTGACCTCGTGATCTGCCTGCCTCAGCCTCCCCAAGTGCTGGGATTACAGGCGTGAGCTGCTGCACCCGGCGCCGGCCTTGCTCCTTTTTATACAGCCTTATTGATCCAGCCTAACTCAATATAGTTTATTAAATTGCAATGGTATTGTATCAATAGTATCAGAATTTATTAAACTGCAATGGTATTATTGTATCAATAGTATCAGAATTAGTGGCATATAACAGTAAAACCTAGATAATAGTGGCTTAAATAAAACAGCAGCTTACACAAAATAATTTTGGAAATGAGCAATCCAGGATTGGCGTGGAGGCTTGACAAAGTTGTCAAGGAGCCAGCTCCCTCCCAGTCACTATTATGTTATTCCCAGGGTACAGCTATCCTCCTCATGGTCCAAGATGGCTGAAAGGGCTCCAGTCATCACATCATCATGCCTCAGGTAATAGGATGGAGAGAAGCGATAAGAAGGGTGCATCTCCTTCATTTTCATGATTTTTTTAAAAAATGTAAGCACTGCACAATATTTCTGCTTAGATCTCAATAGGCAGAATTTAGTCATGCAGCCACATCCATTGCAGGGGAGACTAGGAAAAGTAAGATTTTAGTTGAGTTCCAATAGGACTATCCAGAAATGGGGATTTGTGATTATGGAAAAATGAGAAAAGATATAGGAAGGTAAATCTGAAGTGTCTTCTACTGGGAGCTTACATATAGTTAGTATCTTATAAAAATTTGTTGATTCACTTTCATAAACTTGATGGTCATATTCTTAGTGGTATCATCCAGGTCATTAATGAAAAGTAATACATCTAAAAATTTTTCCTCTTCTTATTTTTTTTACTTTATGATAATAGAGCATATTATTGCATTAATTGCATCTACAATAAACCTACCTGGAAATAGCTTAGGCAAGATGGAAACAATATTGGAAGGATACAGGGAAAGCCTAGAAACAGAGGAGCCTAAGCAGAAGAAAAGGCAGAAATTCAACTACTGGTCAGCAAAACCTGGAACTGAGAATTCCAGTATAAGGATACTTCTGTCTTCTCTGCTTCCTCTTTCCACTGACTTTATTCTCTAATGCAGAATGAGTTTCTCCACTTGGCAAATGACTAATGACTTCTCCCAGATTTTATATCTAGGTGAGGCCTGAGATAATCTCTCTTCTCACATCTATAAACATTCTGGAGGAATGGGTTCATTGTCCCATCTTGGGTCAGGTGTCCCCCTCTTGACCAATTAGGTGTGGGCAATGGACAGCGGTCACACAGCTCTCGCTGCCATCATAATAAAAATGTGGGCATGAGAGCAGTAGTTCCTATAGGAAAGGTGGGTGCTGGCCACACACTAATATAGGTATACGTTAAAATTATATGAGATGATAAAATACAGGTCGATGGTCTGAATTAAATGAATGGTAAAGGAGAACAGGATCTATCCTAATGCATAAAAATGGTTTAGCTATGAATAAACATCATTTAATAGGGCTGCAATGTATACAACATTTACTATATGTCAAGAATTGTACTAAGTGCTTTTTGTATGTTGAGTCATTTATTTTATACAACCCCATGAGCTAGGGGACATCATCCCTTCTTATAGATGGAAAAACCAGAGCTCAGAGAGGTTAAGTAACTTGCCCAAGGTCAGATTGTAACTGAGCACTGTTTAATGTGCATAGAGGCCAATGGCCAATACCATGGCACTGGCTTTTGAGAAAATAAAAGCTTTATTGCAAGTCAACCGCAAGGAGACAGGAAGATATGCTCAACTCTGTCTCCCTGTGCAGGGCTTGTTTTCTTTTTCTTTTCTTTTCTTTTCGTCTCTCGCTCTCTCTCTTTCTCTCTTTCTTTCTGAGATGGAGTCTTGCTCTGTTGCCCAGGCTGGAGTGCAGTAGCATAATCTCGGCTCACTGCAACCTCCTTCTCCTGGGTTCAAATGATTCTCCTGCCTGAGCCTTCCAAGTAGCTGAGATTAAAGGTGCCCACTACCACGCCCAGCTAATTTTTGTATTTTTTTAGTAGAGACAGAGTTTCACCATGTTGGCCAGGCTGGTCTTGAACTCCTGTCCTCAAGTAATCTGCCCACATCGGCCTCCCAAAGTGCTGGGATTATAGGTGTGAGCCACAGCGCCTGGCCTGGGCCAGGTTTTATAAGCATAAAGTCATGAGATGTGATCTGATTGGATCTTGCAATGAGGTGATGCTGGGAGGTATGATTTGATTGGATCCTGCCATGGGGTGATGCCAAGCTTGATACGATTAGATCCTGGATCCTACAATGTGGTGTCCCCTTCTTAATTCAGTCCTCACTCCTCAGTCAGAGCACTTAGGTTCCCGCTGTAGTTGCAGACTCGGTTCATCTGGGCATGTTCAGGTTAGGTGACCTTCAAACTGGGGGGCCATTGGTAACTGAAAAACAACTCACAACTTTGTTACATAAAAGTTGAACCAGATTGGTGTGATGTGGTTACAAAAAAGCTAGTAAGTCTGAGAGTAATATACTGGCTCAATACTTCTCTATCCTAAGTTGGAAACTATGGTCAATTTTGATGAAGAAATTATTAGCTATTTCCCTACTTCAATTTTGCCATACCAAAGCTATATGAGCTTGATAAACCTTGTAATGTCTTACAAGGTTTTAATCTCTTCATCTGTAAGAAGATTGGATTGAATCAAATTACTCTCTCTCCTTGTTAATACAGATAATACTTTTTTTTCTGAAGGCAAGAGTATGATCTATTACATTAAAATGTTTTTAATGTATCCAATATATTTAAAAAAATAGAGACAGGGGTCTTGCTATGGTTGCCCAGCCTGGTCTTGAACTCCTGGCCTCAAGTGATCCTCCCACCTTGGCTTCCCAAAATGTTGAGGTGAAGGTATGAGCCATAATTGCTGGCTATATCCAATACGTTTTAGTGCTTCTTGAGACATATCTGTGTTAGGAACTGAGATGAAATTAAAGATATACAAGATAGAGTTTTTGCTTACAGTGTTATGGTGGGAACAAACAAACATAATTATTATTTTGTAGAATTAATAGTCCAGGAAAGAATAGTTTTCAGGAGTGGTATGACCACAGCTCAATCAAATCTGCAAGGGTTTTCTATCTGTCTGCCATCGCCAGTAGGTTGACTTCATTTTCAGGTTAGTTCCTCTTGCAAGATTGCTGCCAATGGCAATCTGGGTTACAGGTTGACTTGCTCATATCTGGCAGGAAAGAGAGAACTCCTTCCCCCAGATATGGACTGAAAATCCTTTCCTTCAGTCTGATTGGGCCAGTTTATCCTGGTCCTAATGGTTTTCAAGTGTATCAATTAGAATAGTCTAGGACTATTCTAATTCTAGCATATTCTAGTCTAGCATAACCTAGATGCTAGGTCATACTGCATTGAAAAATGCCCCCAAATCTCAGTGGCTTAAACTACAAAGGTGTATTTCTTATTAAAACCAGATGAAAATGGGAGGCAGGCTGCTCTACCTTGTCCTTTTTTTTGGAAGTTAAGCCGAGAGAGGCTTTACCGATACTTTCAAGATAATACTGGTCTTGAGTCTGGAGAAGAGTAAACACTGTAAGGACTTACGCTGGCCATGAACTGTTCTACCTGGAATTGACACATACCACTTCTGCCCACAACCCACTACAGACTGGTGGCTATAGCTAGTCAGTCACATGGTCCAGCCCAACTGCAAGGGGAGGAGGGTATCTGGGGGTGGGTGTGGAAAAATATAATCTTTTTGTATGTCTGGAAAGAGAGAGTAAGCATGATAAATCTCCTACCATATTAGGGAACCCATTTATTGGCTAATTGAGTTGCCTTTCTGTAGTTGGAGTTTTGGGTGGTTACCTAAAGAATTGGCAGATGAAAACAAAAATAAACAGCCCTATTAATAAGGAAGGACGGGAGTGAATGTTCAATTAGAAATCAATAGTGTGAACTATATGCTGCTTTATCCCAGTGGAGAAGACAGAAATTTCAGCCATGGAGGCAAGTCATAGGGAGGGATAGTCTGGCTAGTTTCATCAGTCTTTAAATCAATCACTTCATTTACTCTTGTAATGGGAAAGATTTGCTCTGGCTTTTTAATGAGTAGGTATAGAGTTTGTTTAAGGAGCTGGCTCAAAAGTGACTTAAAACACATTGAATTTGAAAATATAGATTCTTAGCTACTCAGGAGGCTGAGGCAAGAGTACAGCTTGAGGCCAGGAGTTCAAGACGAGCCTTGGCAACATTCTGCGACCTTGTCTCTAAAAAATAAAAATGAAAATATAGACTTTTTTTCCCTATATTTCATTTTTGTAGTTATTGTCAATGGTGTGTCAAGTTGGCTAGATTTATAGTTTTAGAACTGACGAACAACTAAAACTTACCTAGTCCAACCCTTTTATTTTACAAATGAGAAAACTGAGGCCCAGATGGGTAAAATGATTATCTCAAGGTCACCCCTTCTTGCTCTTGGCAATAACAATGCTGCCCTTTGGATGACTTCCTGGAAAATCGGATCCTGTAAGTGAAATGTAGCTAGAGCAACAATTATAAAACAACGAGAACAATTAACAATTATTCAGAATGCTTCCATGGCTGACAGTCAGTTGGTACACGTTGGTAGAGATAGAAAAATTTCTAAACTATTTGGTAAGTAGCTTATGCTAAGCCTTCTGAGTGCCTCAACCCCTTGCTGGAACTCCACAGATCTCCCCACCGTAATAACAGGATCCACCTCAAAGGTTTGATTTGAGAATTAAATGGTGGAGGTAAAGAGTTTTGCATGAGGCCTGGTGCTCAGCACTATTACACTTTGGCTATTATTTTTATTACAGTCATAATAAAATGGTAGTAAATTTCAAACCAGTTTCTACATGAATGTTCACAACTTAGGAAATGTGATAGCATTCACGTTCATTAACTTTGATCTAGCTAATCTCTCAATAAAATGGCCACTCATGTACTCACTTTAACTTTCATTTTGATCTTTTCCATAGTCTAAGGGTTGACTCCTTCTTGCCCCGGGACACCCGAGTCCCCATAGCTCTAGCTGATGGTTAAGAATTTGACCGAGGCTATATACAAGAAAACAATGCACTGACAAGGCCCTGTTACTTGTTGTATAACAGATCATAACGATTGTTCTGTCTAATCTTTTGTTGAACAGAACTTGTCTTTAACTTTTGGGATAAGCAAAGATGGGTCCAAAACCTAGTTTGGTGAGGGAGGGGTGGAGTAAGAGGTGGAGTACCTGTACTTACTTAAGCAACTATTACAAACTGGCAGTGATGAGCAGCAGAGGCAAGCAGTTGGGAGAAGAGAATGAGAGAGCGCAGCAACAGGGTGGGACCTGCAGCTTGTGGAAAAATGCTTTTGACACAGATACTTTCTGATGGCCAGTGATGTTTAGAACCTTTTGGGGGATTCCTTCTCTCTCAGAATTTAACCTGGCAAGAGAACGACTGAGTTCTAGGAATTTTCTTGTCTGGAGAGAGTAAAATAAATGTATTTTTTAAAAGCTGGGACTGTTATCCACACTGAGAAGAGGCAGGGTATAAAATTCCCTTTCATAAGTGAATTTCCTGGAAATTCATGATTGGCTTGGAACTTAATGTGTAAAGACTTGTTCTCAAATATCAGTTGTTTGACAGAGACCTCCAGTTTTGGGATGGCAGCTAAATCCTGAGCCTGCCTTGGAAAGGGTTTTGATAATAATGTTCCATCACAGGTGGAGAAGCACATTGATTCAACAAAGCAGACTTCAAAACCACTGAAGAATTAGTTTCTGAGTGTATTCAAGAGATACCAAAGTTATTTGTTATTTTAACGTATATTATACTGTTCTATACAAATGCACCAAATCCTGGGCAAAACATTCCTAGGACAGGTTTTTTTTTTTTTTTTTTTCAGTTGGAAGGAGGTAGGGAAAATAAGTGCTTTAATTCCTAGGATTTTGGAAGTAAAAATGGAACACCAGACAAAAATGGAATTTTTAGGCAAATGTAAAGCTTTGTACTTGGGTATCTCAAAGTATTATACAGTGTAAACTATCATGATTATTAACCAACTAGAAGTAGTTCTTTTTTTTAAATTTTATTTTTAATTTTAGACATGAGGGTCTTGCTATGTTGCCCAGGCTGAAGTGGCTACTGACAGGCACGATGTGGCACTGCAGCCTGGAACTCTTGGGCTTAAGTGATCCTTCCTGCTTCTTCTATCTTAAAAAAAAAAAGTTACGCTTGCTTGTTAAAATATTTTTAAAATGCTGTGTTTAAACTAAGAAGTAAATATCCACCCCACCTCTGACTTCTAAAAATTATCTAAAGTATGACTGGTAAGATTTTTACCTTTAATCCCACATAAGTCTAAAATTTGTGTTCATTTCCAACAACCAAAGTGTGTCACTTTTATACCAGAATTTTGTCCTGCTTATACGTTTAGTACAGAAATCTCATGGGAGAGAGCATCCATGCATTTACAAATTGTTATTGAATTATTTTATTGAATGATGACACCCAAACTGAGCTAGAACATAATTCTGGCTCTGCTAGTACATCTTCTGTGTGATCTTGGACAAGTCACTCTACTTTCCTTTCAATTTTCTTTTCTCACAGGGAGATAATCATAAAAACGACTGTAAAGTACAGCACTTCATAGAGTGCTTTTTGTTTAAAGAGCTGACAATAAATACGAGTCTCAAGGTCTAGGAAAGCCTCCCTCACAACCTGAGCTGCTTGAGGACAAGGGATTTTCTTTTGAATCAGCAGTACCTTATTTGTGTATCTGTGATAGAGTTCCTGGTACATAAGAAGGTCTCAATAAATATGTGAATTTATGAATATTAGGCAGATTGCAACCTTGACAGGCCACTGCCTCTTAAATCTCCTTTCTGTGATCTTTTAATATTTAACATCTAAAAGGCCGCCGCTACTTGCTTTGGGATAAGTATCCCCGGTATGTACTTTAAAATGCCCAAGCCTAGAGAAATGATTCTTGTCTTAAGGGCACCATTTCGCTCTCCCACCGTAAAGCGCCCCAGGCTTGGGATCTGGGTCCCAAGGCTACAGGGAAGAGTTTGGAACGGGAAGCTCATCTTCCGGCCCTCTGATTGGCCGGCTCGCACTCCACTCACGCGGCGCGCAGCTCTGATTGGCCTCGGCGGCACCCCTCGTCCCGCGACTACTTTGTGTGCTGGGGCGGCGCGCTCCGGTCCTCCCGCTCAGCTGGCGGTCTGGGCTGCTCTGGGGCAGCCCTTCGGTCCACTGCTCTGCATCGCGGGCGCCGGGAATTTTCCGAGTCCGAGCGGGTAGGACGCATCCTAGGGCAAAGCCTCTCCCCTCTCCCCGTGCTGTTCTCTTTCCCGTACTAAATAAACTTCCGCCTCAGAGGGGCTGTCGCAGCCGCGGGTCGGGAGAGGCCGGGCATCGAACTCAGGCCCTCGTGGGGGGGGTCTTTCTCTTCGAGTGAATGTGGAAACAGCTCTTACAAGATAAAGTAGGGCTTCGCTGAGTCTCCTGGGGGAGCGATGCCATTGTAGGATCGCGCTGGAAGCAGCAGTCAAGCGGCCAAATGCGGGCTGCAGGGGCTGAGCAGCAGCAGCGCGCACCCCTAAAAGTAGCAAGGAGCCAGCTTCAAAACCTCTAGTGCGGGTGCCCCCTAGGGCCGCCGACTGAGCTGGCACGGGCCGGTCCATTCCCGGCGCTGTAGGGAGCACAGCATTCTCTGGAGGCGAGTCTCCTCCCGGGATCCAGGATCCGCTCGCGCCCCGCTCAGCCTCCGGCCTTCAGGCGGTAGAGGGCGGCCTACGCCTGTGTGCGAGCCGGAGCCGGCGTGCGCAGCCGCTGCCCTGCTGGAACTGTGCCGTCCCGCTGTGGCCCGCGGCTCTGCTAGGCGGTGGATGCTGCTGCTACGCTCTCCACCGGCGCAGCGAGGAAGGGGGCGGGGAGAATCCCTGGCACATGCCAGGGTCGCCGTAGGTGGCAGCGGCCGGCGCATGCGCGCCCTCTCCCAGAAGCCAGGAACGCCGAGGGGCGCGCTCCCCCATTCGCGCGCGCACGCCGGCGCTGGCCGAGGCTTCCCCGCCTGCGCTCGTTGTCAGAGCCGCTCCGGCGCGTGCGCGCGTTATCTCCGGCCGACCCGAGCAGCCGGTTCCCTCCTCTCCAGGCCCCCTCCCCATCCCACCCCCGCCGCCTGGCCCCAGCCGACCCGTCCCTTCGTCTCCCCGCGGAATGGGGCCGGCACTGCTCAGGGTCGCGCGCCCTGGACCCAGCTCGCTCTCGGTCTCGCGCTGTCAGCGACTGCCCGGCTCGCGCCGCCTCGCGCTCTGCCTCAGTCAGTGGCGCCGAAGGCTCCGTTAAGCGGCGGCGGCGGTTCCTGTTTCCGTTTCTTCCTCTCCGTTCGGTCGGGAGTAGCATCCTCCACTCAGCCACCCTTCCCACTCCCCCATCGTGGGGCAGCTGCGGCTGAGGGCTGTGGCTTTGGCAGCTGCGACGGGGAGCGGCGGAGACCGCCTCTGCTCCCGCCTGGGGTAAGGGGGCGTTTTGGGAGCCGGGCCCCGCGCGCCTCGGGGTCTTGGGCTGGGCTGCGCGCGGGATCTGAGGAGGCTCCGCGGCTGTCCCTGCTCGTTCACCCGGGCCTGTTGCTGCAACTGCTGCCGGTTAACCAGCGGCTCTCGGAAAAGTGGGGAGGGAGCCCCCGGGACGCTCTGGCGGATGCCTTGGCGCAGCCCCGGGGGCGCGGGCAGAGGGTGAGGGGCGCCCGCCTCTCCAGCCGGGACGCGGAGCTGCGCCGCTGCTGCCCTCGGCGTCGCGCATCCTTGCCTAGGGCAGGGGCCAAAGCCTAGGGAAGGAGAAGGGTTGGGGGCGGGGGTGGGAGGTGTCCGTCGTTTCCCCTCCACACCTACCTTCCCTTCGTCAGCAGCTCGGTCCCTGGAGTCGCGGTTTGTGGGGAGGAAGATGCCCGTGCGTTATGGGCTCTTTCTGAGTGCTGCTCGGGCTAGAAAGCAGGGAGTGGACCCTCACAAAGATCCGCGAGGGACTGATGCAGGGCAGTTAAAGGCTTGAGTGCAGCTGTACTCCCTTTTGATGTGCAAATGACGAGCTGGCGGCTTTTGAGTATCAACTTATTTGGGAAGGTTAAATGAGTCCATATTTATCAGTTCTAGGAGGTTTGTCCTGCAGGATTGAGTGGGTTGTCGGGTGCAGCACCTGTTCTTTCTTCACAGTGGGGATTGCAATCTTCAGAGACGCAGTGTATTTCTTAAGTGGCAGTGTCATGCTTAGGGTTTGTCCCGGATGAGCTTTTATTTTAGCATTTTGCCATATAATATATAGATTGAGGCCTTGGTTAAAGGCACGGACAGGTGGTGTTTTTTTCCTTCCTATGTTTTAATTATTCACAGTTTATTTAAACCCACTCAGGAAGGTGGACCCAGAAAAGCCAAATTCTGTAGTACATAACCCCAAATTTCAAGGTTTTGCGGAACAAATTCAACACAAGTTTTGTGTCAGTTTAGAGTTAAACGCATCTCAAGTAACTGACTTAACTGGCTTGCCTCTATGAAAACTGTAGGCAGGTTTCATTATAGATTTTTTTTTTCTTGTTATTCCGGCGGTTAGGTGCATGTTTATTTTCTTGATTAAATTTACATTCTATGTTTTATGACTAATTCTTTAAATAGGTGCATCATATAGAAAGTATTTTAGGAGAGAAATTATTATTTAAGCACTACAGTATATCAGATATATGAGAAATAATGGAGTTGTAGTCTCTGCTCTTTAAAATAACTGTAAAAACATCTTAAAACCCTATGCCAAATAATAAGGCCCTGTACCTTGCTGTCCTTGTGAAATCTGGTATGTGTATAGAAAATCTTAATTACTTGATTTGTAAATACTACAGTAGTATTGAAAAGGTGGGAATTCAAGCATTTGTAATTGTGATTTCACAGGTTTAGTGTGTAAAAAATGCAGGGAGTTAGAGATGAATAGGCTATAAGACACGTACAAAGGTAGTTCCAAGACATGGATTTTCTTTTTGCTGCCTTATAAATTGAGAATTCTATTTGAATTCAAGAGCTGAACAGCTGGAATGAAACTTGCATAGATTGCAGAAACAGATGCAAAAATGTATCTTTGGTCAAGTTGTGAGTTAACTTGAAGAGTGTCTTGTGTAATAGGATAGTGATTCAAAATAATTTCCATAAAGTACGGCCTTATATAGGTTATATTTTGAGGATATTTTTGAATTTAAAAAGTCACCTGAAGTTGTTTTCCTACAAATCAGTTCTGTTTAAGATGTATGGAATCGAAAAAAACAAAACAAAACTAATTCTGATTACATCCTGCATTGTTTTGTTGCAAATTCTTACCAGTTATTTTTACGCAATTGGAGTGTCCTTAAAAGTGGTGAATCTTAAAATTTGCCAGTGGATTGGAAAAAACTGTTAACTTATTATTTTTAAAAATGCTGTTATATTAGTACATTGGTCTGGAGGGGGAGCTAGTGCCAAAGCAAAGTATAGCTTAATAGCTGTTTGAACTTTTAAAACACCCAAAACCAGATTTTTATGACCAAAAGAAACATAAATTTTTAATTAAAAGAGTAGGAAATTGATGTGGGCATATATATGTACATAGTTATTTGTGGAGTGAATATATTGTGTATTACAAATTAGTTTAAAAAAGTCTTTTCATGCGCTGCAATAATGGAAAGCTAAATGCTTAAAGATTTATTGGATTTCTCACTTAAAAATCTCTAAAATGTACCCCCAAACTTAGAGTATGTTATAGTATTTTCTTAACCTTCTTGTCCTGTTCATCAGAATCTAAGGCATGTATTCTTGACCCATTGTACATGTTGTGTGTTCTTAAATTTTGTTTTTATAATAGCTACAATCCTAAAATTTCAAAAACGAAGCTTCAAGTAGAATCTTATATGGGCGAAGGTATTAATTGTGTGGTAAGCTAGGTATTTATCAAAAGTAGATATAATTCCTTTTTTTTTTTTTTTTAAAGTAGAGATAATTCCAATAAAAAAATGGACCTTTTAGACATCTGGAGAACAATATCCCCAGGTCACTTAACCCTTATCTCCTGCAGTATAATGCAGTGCGTCCAGCTGATCTACCAAATTGAATGTGTGCCTTTGAATACGAAGCAGTTGTTTTGTGGCCTGTGGCATTTCATTTAGGTTTCTAAGCTGTAATAAATTAGTATGTTAATTTACTTCTTTCCATTCACATATTCTTTAAATCCAAGCCTAGAAACTGATAGTTATATGTATATTAAAATCATTGGAATATTGGTTTTTTTGCAGATAGTGTTTGGGCTGTTTATTATCCATAGCTCTTCATTATGTAAATAGAATCTCAATGCTGATAAAGTAAATAGATTCTTCCATTTCATTAATGGTTATTTTTGATTTATGATAAACTGCATTTAATAAATCTCTTGATTTAGTTAAATGGTGGATACATCATTTCATATTATAGCAAATTGATAAATATAAAAGAAAGTTTTACAATCATAAGAGTAAATATTTAAAAAAACTTGAATAAGTTACTTTACTAAACATAAAATTAAGATTTTTAAACAACTCTGAAACTAAAAGTATTACTATTATGGTACCTTTTTTTTTTTTTCCCCCAAAGAGATGTGATCTTGCTGTTTTGTCCAGGTTGGCCTTGAACTCCTGGGCTCAAGCAATCCTCCTACCTCAGTCTCTTGAGTAGCTGGGACTATAGGCATGTGCTACCACAGCCAGCTTTATTATAGTACTTTTGTACCCTGCATCAATGCTGCTTCTGTTGATACTTTTCAAAGGAGATATCAACTTCTGGTCTTCAACAGTAGTGTAGCATCCTCTTATTGATTCTCTGGCTCATATTTCACTACCGTATAGTATGGAGTTTCTTTCTTGGAGTTTGAATTGTTTTTACATTGCAGCTTGTTATAGTGAAACAATTAAACATATTTAAAAGTAAAAGATATTTACGACTGATTTTTAAAGAACCTGTAAAAAAATCTCCAACAGAAGAATATTATATGGGGATGTGTAGATTTAACATTTTATTTTCTTTAATTTTTTTTTTTTTTTTTTTGAGATTGGGGTTGGGGGTTGTCTCTCTATGTTGCCCAGGTTGGAGTGCAGTAGTGGCGTGATCACGGCTCACTGCAGCCTTGAACTCCCTGGTTCAAGCCATTCTCCCGCCTTAGCCTCTGGAGTATCTGGGATTATGGGTGCATGCCACCATGCGTGGCTAATTATTTTTTAATATTTGTAGAGATGAGACCTTGGTATGTTGCCCAGGTTTGTCTTGAACTCCTGGGGTCAAGTGGTCCTCACACCTTGGCCTCCTAAAATGCTGGGATTACAGGCGTGAGTCACTGTACCCGGCTCCTTTATTTTATTAAAAAGATTTTTGTTTGTTTGTTTGTTTCTAAGTTTAAAAGAGACAGGGTCTTGCCATGTTGCCCAGGCTGGTCTTGAACTCCTGACCTCAAGTGATCATCCCACCTTGGCCTCCCACAGGCGTGAGCTACCATGCTTGGTTGTAAGATTTTTAAAAAATGGATTAGTTTCAAATCTCAACTTCTCTTTCTTTCAACATTCTAATCTCCTGGCATTTTTTTCCTTTCCCCAGCTACCCCCCATCATCCAACAGTCTTCCATTTGGAATAATGGGAAATCAAACCAATAAAGTTAATCTTACCTCCCACCAGGCAAAGGTTTTTCTTAATCTCTACAATATTCTGAACATAAAACCCATATAAACTTTATATGATACTACACATTTTCCTTTTAACGGAGGAAGAGCAAATGGGACCTATGGAATTATGCCGTATTTGTCAATATAAGGGTTACTTTTGTACTCTTACTGAAAGCAGAGTTATAGGGCTAATTTCATTTAAATTTTCTTACCCATCTACTTTAAAAAAATACCTCTTTGTGGTAGTCTTTTTTTTGGTCAGAAAATGACAATGTGAAGGAGAAATACGTTTTGAATTTATAAATCTTCTTTTAATTAACAAATTATACCAATATAAGGGTAGTGTTAATGTGGTTCAAATTTGCCTTTGCTATTCTGCCTTTTCTTCTATAGTGATTGTATAGTTATACTATAACTTCTTCCTCGAAGCACTGGAATAAAAGAAAAACTTTTAAAGATCACTACGAAATGCTCACTGTATTTGTTGTATTTTATAACTTGGGTTTTTAAAATTTATTTTTCCATAAACTGAATAAATATGAAAACGAACTTGAAAGATCTTGTCACAGCCTTGATGACTGGTCAGTATAAAGTTCACATTATAAAATAATAAAACATTGATAATAATCTTAGATGAAAATGGAAAATTAAGCTAATGTTTATTTTAGAACCTGAGTAATGAGTTTATATCATGTAGCAATGAGGCACATGAAGACGGTTAGAATTAGTTTTTCTAATGAATAAACTTCATGATATAAACTTGAAAGTGCATAAATGCTATAACTTTCTGATTGTAAACTTGAACAAAAGTAAAATGAAAATGGGAGAGTCCTCTTAATTACCTTTAACGTATAACTAAAATGAACCTGTGTATCTGTCTAAGTCTTATTTGATCAAGACTTTCAATGGACAATGAATGAGTTTTAAGTTTTTATCAATGTTGTGACTGATTTTTCTATAATATCCCTTAAATGAGATATCAAATTCTAATAATATCTAGAACCAGATTAAATTTGGTTAGAGTATAAACAATATTTACAAACCATCAAAACTATAATAAAAGCATTGTAATGTTATTTAATGACTTAAGCCAACATTCCATAAGCTAATCTAAGCATTTTTACAATTAATACAATTGATAGTAATATCTTAATTAGTGGTAAAGTGGACAGATATAATTTATAGATTCTGTATTGTCTGGGACCTTGGGGCAGTCAGTGAAGAGAGGGAGATAGAGAGAGGAGCATACTGGTTGATGAGCTTGCCTTATTTGGAGATGAAGGAGATTTATTCAGTTTTTCTCTTTCCCTCTACTTACTTCTCCTTGTTTGTCATCCTCTTCTAGCAATGGTAAGAAATGCGGGAATTGACCATCTTTACAGTATACTTTTTTCCTTAGAGTTCATAGAACATTTCCAGGTAAAACATTAGCTTTTATGTTATAATAGGTTTATTATAATGATATCATTTCCTTTTGAGGTGGTAGGCAAGAGACTAGAAGAACTTCATTTGTATAGCATTTAATATTATTTATTAAAAATGATTTTATAGGCCGGGCGCGGTGGCTCATGCCTGTAATCCCAGCACTTTGGGAGGCCGAGGCAGGTGGATCACCTGAGGTCAGGAGTTGGAGACCAGCCTGACCAACATGGAGAAACCTCATCTTTACTAAAAATACAAAATTAGTCGGGCATGGTGGCACATGCCTGTAATCGTAGCTACTTGGGAGGCTGAGGCAGGAGAATCACTTGAACCCGGGAGGCTGAGGCAGGAGAATCACTTGAACCCAGGAGGCGGAGGTTGCAGTGAGCCGAGATCTTGCCATTGCACTCCAGCCTGGACAACAAGAGTGAAACTCTGTCTCAAAAAACAAAACAAAACAAAAAAACAAAAACAAATTCTAACCTTCATGTGCCTCATTACTGTAATGTAAAAAAAAAAACTATGTTCATTGAAGAGAACTAACATATTAAACTAAAAATGAAGCACAGTGTTCTCCACTCATGGGAGTACTGTTAGCAGGTTTAAGACAGTTACTGTGAGAAGTTCACAAGGTGAAAGTGTCTTTGATAATTAGGGCCTAATCAATTGGGATTTGACTTACTCAATTTCTCCAACACATGGAATTGTACTGGTACCTGAAGGAGAAAAATATATAATAGAAGTTGTATTAGTTTTTATGTCTTGAGCTCTCTGAATAACTACTTGATTCATTCAGTTGCCAAATGTCAAAAGATTGTAATTTTGAGAAAGTTGATTCTTTACAATTAGAACTAAGCCAGGGTAAACAATTTGCTTTCTTTTTCTAAGTTTTAGGTTTTTCTTTCTCTCTTAGGAAGTTTAGTGAAACTCTAGGGGTTAGGCAGGTTGTAACTGAAATTCTTGAGGCCAAAAGGTCCTGTCTTATGCTTGGTAAACCGACCCCCTCAACAGCGTGAGAAATGTAGATGTACTGATAACCCTGATTGCTTCGTGACATAATTACAGACATCCAGCCCTCTATCAACTAAAATTCCGTTTATTTTTAAGGTTCAAATATTAGAAGTATCTGCTTGATACATCTCATAGGTTGTCAAGTGTGCATACGATGAGAGATATAATGTTACTTTTAATTTGTAAGTAAACAAACACACAATATTATGTTCTCAATGCTGAGTAAGCTGAAAAGATGTATACCTACTGAGGATGCACCAAATAATAAGC
Source organism: Homo sapiens (assembly GCF_000001405.40). Lineage (NCBI taxonomy): Eukaryota > Metazoa > Chordata > Mammalia > Primates > Hominidae > Homo > Homo sapiens. Next base: position 65,420,100 of record NC_000014.9, read on the forward strand.
AACAGAAACCTGGTAATGTGCAATTAGGAATAGTTCCTCTTAATAATAATAAAAAAAAGATTAGTGTTTAGGTTTTAATGGCATAAAGATGTAATGAAAATAAAATTACCAAAGAAGTCTATTTTGGAGAAATTTTTGTCAGACTAGATAACAAAGAAAAGAACACATCCTTTTTTTATTTTTATTTTTTATTTTATTTTAGAGATGAGGTCTTGCTCTGTTGCCCAGGCTGGTGTTGAATTCCTAGGCTCAAGTGGTCCTCCTCCCTTGGCCTCCCAAAATGCTGGGATTACAGGTGTGAGCCACCAAACTTGGCCAGAACACATCCTCTATATGACTGTCTACAGAGGCTTAGAGTAGTACAGAAGTACCTGAAAGGAAATAATGATAAATAATGAAAATGTTTTAATAGGGATCATGTGTTCATTTCTACATGTATATCAGTATAGTACCTATCGTTTGCTGTTTCTGCTTGTAAATGCACGGTTGGAAAATAAGATACCCAACCTTTGGAAATTATTCAGGGAAGTGCATCTAAAGTTTAGAGAAAAGTTGGTTTCTTCATATTTTAATGACACTTTTCAGCACGTATAGTTCACCCTTGAACAGCACTGGGTTTGGGGCACAGACCCCCATCAAGATGAAAATCCACATGTAACTTTTATCTCCTCAAAAACTTAATTACTAATAAACTACTGTTGACTTCCAGCCTTACCGATGACATAGTCAACTAACACATTGTACCTTATATGTATTATATACTGTGTTCTCAAAGTAAGCTAGAGAAAAGAAAATGTTATTAAGAAAATCATAGGCCGGGCGCCGTGGCTCACGCCTGTAATCCCAGCACTTTGGGAGGCCAAGGTGGGCGGATCTTGAGGTCAAGAGATCGAGACCATCCTGGCCAACATGGTGAAACTCCATCTCTACTAAAAATACAAAAATTAGCTGGGCGTGGTTGCATGTGCCTGTAGTCTCAGCTATTCAGGAGGCTGAGGCAGGAGAATTGCTTGAACCTAGAAGGTGGAGGTTGCAGTGAGCCAAGGTTGTGTCACTGCCCTCCAGCCTGGCGACAGAGCGGGACTCCATCTCAGGAAAAAAAAAAAAAAAAAAAAAATCATAAGGAAGAGAGAATATATTTACTCTTCATTAAGTGGAAGTGGATCATCACAAAGGCCTTTATCCTCATTGTCTCCACATTGAGTAGGCTGAGAGGAGAAGGAAGCGGAGGAATTCGTCTTGTTGGTCTCAGCATGGTAGAGGTGGAAGGGGGAAGGGGAGGCGTGAGAGGCAGGCACACATGGTGTAACTTTATGGCAATACGTCATACTTCTGCCTTTTTTGCTTTTTCATTTCTCTGAAAACATTTCCATATGGTACCAATCCTTCTTCCACCGTTTGCTTTAGTTTCAGTGCCCATATCAGAGAAGGGTCCATGTCATGAAGGAGTCAAAAGCAGTCTTGAACAATCAGACAGTCTTCTGCCATATCGTCTGATGTCATTTTGTTTTCTTGCATTCCTTCTACATTACCTGGTACTGGATTGGAAGCACTTACCGAGTCATCTTTTTAAATTCCTCTTGTGTGATGTCTATTTCTTGAATTTCTCCAAGATTTGTATCTTGAAACCCTTTAACCCACCCCCCCCTTTTTTTTTTTTTGCCATATCCACAGTCTTTTTCGTGATTTCCTTGATTGGCCCTGTGGCAAATCCTGTGAAGTCATGCACAACATCTGGACACAGTCTTCTCCAGCAGGAATTTATTGTTTCAGGCTTGATGGCTTTCATGGCTTTTTCCATAACAACGACGGCTTCTTCAGTGGTGTAATCCTTCCAGACTTTCAGGATGGTTTCTTTATTGGCATTCTCTTTCATAGAGTTGACAGTACTTTCTGTAGTGTACTGTGTCCAGTGATCCTCGTGACCCCCTGATTTAGAAGCTGAATTAGAGACATTTTGTTTGGGGGCAAGTAGACTACTTCAGCACCTTTGGTGTTGAACTCATGGGGTTCCGGGTGGCCAGGGGTATTGTTCAATAATAAAAGAACTTACAGGCAAAATACTTCCTGACTTCAGGGACAAAGCATCAATGGAACCAATCCAGAAAAAGGGTTCTCATTGCCCAGGCTTTTTTTGTTCTATGACCAAAAGACTGGGAGCTGGTGTTTATCTTTTCCCTTCAAGGCTTGGGGGTTTGTAGCATTATAGATAAGGGCAGTTCTGATCATAAACCACACTGCATTTTCACCAAACAGTAGAGTTAGCCCATCCCTTCCTGCCTTTAATCCTGGTGCTTTTTCTCTTCCTTACTAATGAATGTTTTTTATGGCATTGTTTTCCAGAATAGGGCACTTTTGTCTATATTAAAAACTTGTTTAGGCGGATATTCTTTCTCCATATTTCTTTTTTTTTTAAGAGATAGGGTCTTGCTCAATTGCCCAGGCTGACATGCAAATGGCATGATCATAGCTCACCGCAGTCTCAAACTCCTGGACTTAGGCAGTCCTCCTGCCTCAGCCTCCCGAATAGCTGGGATGCAAGTGTGCACCACTATGCCTGGCTAATTTTTAAATATTTTTTATTTTTTTGTAGAGACAGGGTCTCACTGTGTTGCCCAGTCTGGTCTTAAACTCCTGGCCTTAGGTGATCCTCCCACCTGGGCCTTCCAGAGTGCTGGGGTTACAGGTGTGAGCCATTATGCCTTCCCCCAGCTAATTAAAAAAATGTTTTTTGTAGAGGCAGGGTCTCGCTGTATTGCCCAGGCCCAGGCTGATCTTGAACTCCTGGCCTCAAACGATCCTCCTGCCTCATCTTCCCAAAGTGCTGGGATTACAGGGATGAGCCACTGCACCTGGCCTCCTCAGTGATTTTCTTTCTTTCTTTCTTTTTTTTTTTTTTTTTTCGAGACTGAGTCTCGCTTTGTCACCCAGGCTGGAGTGCAGTGGCGCGATCTCGGCTCACTGCAACCTCCGCCTTCCGAGTTCAAGTGATTCTTCTGCCTCAGCCTCCTGAGTAGCTGGGACTACAGGTGTACACCACCACGCCTGGCTAATTTTTGTATTTTTTGTAGAGACGGGGTTTCACCATATCGGCCAGGCTGGTCTCGAACTCCTGACCTTGTGATCTGCCCACCTCGGCCTCCCAAAGTGAATGATTTTCTTTCTTTTTTTTTTTTTTTTGAGATGGAGTCTGGCTCTGTCGGCCAGGCTGGAGTGCAGTGGCGCAATCTCTGCTCACTGCCAGCTCCGCCTCCCAGGTTCACGCCATTCTCCTGCCTCAGCCCCCTGAATAGCTGGGACTACAGGCACCCATCACTACGCCAGGCTAATTTTTTGTATTTTTAGTAGAGACTGGGGTTTCACAGTGTTAGTCAGGATGGTCTTGATCTCCTGACCTCGTGATCCGCCTGCCTCGGCCTCCCAAAGTGCTGGGATTACAGGCGTGAGCCACCGCGCCCGGCCTAAGTGAATGATTTTCTTAATGTCATCTGGAAAGTCGTCTGCTGCCTCTTGGTTGGCAGAAGCTGCTTCTCCTGTTATCGTGACGTTTTTAAAGCCAAAACTCTTTCTAAAATTATCAAGCCATCCGTGGCTGGCATTATATTCTTCAGCTTTAGATCCTTCGCCTTCCATTTGTTTTAAGTTGTATAATGACTTTGCTTTTTCTTGAAACTTATTAAAGTTTATAGGGATGCCTTTCTTTATAGCAATCCTGTACCCCTATAAAAGCTACATTTTCAACATGAGATAAAAAACTATTTCACAAAACGTGCACAATTTTTGCATCTGCTGGTGTGCCTTCAGCAATGGCTTCATGAATTCTTTTTTTACAATGGCCCTTATGCTGGATTCATTTATTTTGAAGTAGCACGCAACTGCAGCTGCAGACCTCAATCTACAGTACGTATCAAGCAATTCACCTTTTTCTTGTAATGCCATGATTTTTCTCTGCTTCTTGGGAGCACTTCCGGCATCACTAGTGGCACTTAGGTGTCATTTGAGGTTTATAGTATCGTACTAAACATAATGAAACCGCGAGAGATCACTTTTTACTGGAATATACAATTTATTGGAAAGATGAACTGCTTGCTTGGAGATGATTAATGTCACATGGTACTTTAAGCAAATATTCACTCTTGAGCTCACCTCATTAACAACAGGAGGTGGCTACAAAATTATTTCAATAGTACAGGGTGTAGTACAGTTAAATTTATGTAGTTATGATTTAATACTGCATCTTTACTCTTTTGAGACAGGGTTTCTCTCAGTGTCAAATGCCACCATGTGTGGCTAAGTGTGTGGTATAAGTTGTGACAATTTTTAACTTTTTATAATAGATTTGTATATATTTGTAGTAGTAAATGATAAAATAGACTAGTATCTACATATATTTTAAGCACTCATGACATACCTCTTACTTTCTATTTTTCTTTTCTTTTCTTTTTTTTTTTTTTTTTTGATGAAGTCTCATTCTGTCACCCAGGCTGGAATGCAGTGGCACGATCTCGGCTCACTGCAACGTCCACCTCTGGTGTTCAGGTGATTCTCCTACCTCAGCCTCCCGTCTTTTTCTTTTTTTGACCCAGGGTCTCACTCTGTCACTCAGGCTGGAATGTCATGATTCAATCATAGCTCACTGCAACCTCTGCCTTCTGACTCAAGCGATTCTCCCATTTCAGCCTCCCAAGTAGCTGGGACTGCAGGTGCATGCTACCATGCCTGGCTCATTTTTGTGTTTTTTGTAGAGACAGGGTTTTGCCATGTTGCCCTTGTCCAGGGTGGTTTTGAACTCCAGTGCTCATGATCCTCCTGCCTTGACCTCCCAAAGTGCTGGGATTACAGGTGTGAGCCACTGCACATGGCCTACTTTTTTGATATTTCTAGGTTATATGGTTGTCTATGAATATTTTCAAATTGTCACAAACCTCCCCCAAATTTATCAACATATTTATTGAAAAACATTAGCATATGAGTGGACCCTCAAAATTCAAACCTGTGTTGTTCAAGTTTTAAGCCCTGAGAGCTCTAAGAGTTTAAAGCTAAAAACAATTAGAAAAAAAATGGAGTTTCTTTTTTTTTTTTTGAGACGGAGTTTCACTCTTGTTGCCCAGGCTGGAGTGCAATGGCACGAACTCGGCTCACCACAACCTCCACCTCCTGGGTTCAAGCGATTCTCCTGCCTCAGCCTCCCAAGTAGCTGGGATTAAAGGCATGCACCACCACACCCAGCTAATTTTTTTGTATTTTTAGTAGAGACAGGGTTTCTCCATGTTAGTCAGGCTAGTCTAGAACTCACGACCTTAGGTGATCCACCCGCCTCGCCCTCCCAAAGTGCTGGGATTACAGGTATGAGCCACCATGCCTGGCCGTTTTTTTTTTTTTTTTTTTTAAACATGAAATGTTCTTTTTCCCCCTGGTTTTATTGAGGTATAATTGGCAAATAAAAATTGTATATATTTAAGGTGTACAACTTGATGTTTTGGTATATGTGTAGATTGTGAAATGTTTACCACAATCATGCTAATTAACACATCCGTCACCTCACATAGTTATTTTTGTGTGTTTGTGTGGTGAGAACATTTAAAATCTCCTTTCTGGCTGGGAGCAGTGGCTCATGCCTGTAATCCCAACACTTTGGGAGGTTGAGGCAGGCGGATCATGAGGTCAGGAGTTTGAGACCAGCCTGGCCAACATAATGAAACCCCATCTCTATTAAGAATACAAAAAATTAGCTGGGTGTGGTGGCGGGCCCCTGTAATCCTAGGTATTTGGGAGTCTGAGGCAGGAGAATTGCTTGAACCTGAAAGACGGAGGTTGCAGTGAGCTGAGATCACGCCACTGCACTCCAGCCTGGGTGACAGTGCAAGACTCTGTCTCAAAAAAAAAAAAAATCTACTTTCTTAGCACATTTAGTGTGTACAATAAATATTATTAACTGTGGTCACCATGCTGTACGTTAGATCTCTCGAACTTACTCATCCTGAATAACCCTTTGGCCAACATCTCCCCATTTCCTCCTCACCCCAGCCCTTGGCAACCACCATTCTGTTCTCTGCTTCTATGAGTTCACCTTTTTTAGATTCCATATATAAGTAAGATCATGTAGTACGTGTATTTGTCTTTTTCTGCCAGTCCTATTTTACTTAGCCTAATGTCCTTCGGGTTCATCCATGTTATTTGCAGATAACAGTGTAAAGGGGAGGCAAACTTTACCTCCACCTTTTTAAAGTTTTTTTTTTTTTTTTGCTTGGCCTCACAAATTACCATAAGATAGATTATCAGGAGAAAAGCACACAAATTTATTCAATACAAGTTTTATGTGGCACAGGAGCCCTCATAAGGAAACAGACCCAAAGATACAGTTAGAATTGAATACTTACATACTGAATTGGACAAAGGATAATAACTTGTGAAAAATAAACTGGATTATATGGGGAGGCTTAAAGGATAGAAGTTATTTTAACAAAGTCTGTATGGAATTCTCTTTGTCTCCATATCCCGTCCTTGATGATAAAAATGTTGCTTTCCTTTTAGTTTAAGGAGGACATCATTCACATGGGAATTTCATCTGCTTTTAAGAAATAGAAGAAAGGTCAGAGCGCTCTTCTTACACCTGCTGTTTTTCAAGTGCCTTTGACTCAAAATAGTCAATATGTCAGAATGGCGTATTTAAACTCCAACAGGATTGTCTTACTTTTTAAAAGCTGAATATGAATCCTGTGTGTGTGAGCATGCACACACACATGCACACATAACACATTTTCTTTCTTTTTTTTTGAGACGGAGTCTCTCTTTGTCGCCCAGGCTGGAGTGCAGTGGTGTGATCTTGGCTCACTGTAAGCTCTGCCTCCCGGGTTCAGGCCATTCTCTTGCCTCAGCCTCCCTAGTAGCTGGGACTACAGGTGCCCGCTACCATGCCCGGCTAATTTTGTTTTTGTATTTTTAGTAGAAACAGGGTTTCACCATGTTAGCCAGGATGATCTCAATCTCCTGACCTCGTGATCCGCCCGCCTTGGCCTCCTGAAGTGCTGGGATTACAGGCGTGAACCACCGCGCCTGGCCTACATAACACATTTTCTTTACCCGTTTATCCATTGGTGGACGCTTACGTTGACTCCATATCTTAGCTATATGAATAATGCTTTCATGAACATTGGAGTGCAGATACCTCCTTGACATACTGATTTCATTTCCTTTGGATGTATACCCATAAGTGGAATTGGTGGAGCATATGGTAGTTCTATTTTTAATATTTTGAGGAACCTCCACACTGTTCTTTTATAATGGCTGTCTCAATTTACATTCCCACCAACAGTGTACAAGATTCCCTTTTCTCCACATCCTCATCTTTTGTCTTTATGTGAATAGCCATTCTAACAGGCGTGAGGTGATACAGAATTGTGGTTTTGATTTGCATTTTTGTGATGGTTCATCAGTATTTTTTCATATACCAATTGGCCATTTATATGTCTTCTTTTGAGAAATGTCTATTTAGGTCTGTAGCCCATTTTTTAATTGCATTATTTGTTTTCTTGCTATTGAGTTGAGTTCCTTATATACCGAATTCCTTCTTAGTAATTTTAAAAATAGCATTATTAAGGTATAATTTATATACCATAACATTCATAGTTCAAGTTCTAGTAAATTTATATAGTTGTGCAACAATTATCACAATCCAGTTTTAGAAAACTTTCATCTTCCAAAAAACCCATTCTTGTCCATTTGCAGTCACTCCCTGTGCCTATCCCCAGCTCCAGGCAACCACTGATCTGCTTTTTGTCTCCATGGTTTTGCCATTTCTTGATTTTTAATATTAATGGAATCATACAATAGTGTAGTCTTTTGTGTACTCCTCCTTTCATTTAGCATGATTCTGTTTAGTAATGGGAATGAATGGATAAAGTACAAAAGCTTTGAACTTGGAATCAGGAGACTTGGATACTAGTAGTGTGTGCCACCAAATATATAAACATGGTTAACCACTTGTCCCCTCTCGGCCTCTGCTTTTTCTTCCATAAAATGAATTATTTTGACTTTCTTATATCCCACTTTTCACAGCTGGGTAGACATTCACTGACCTTTTCTTAAAAGGTACATTAACTCTTCCTCTTAAATGTAGCCACTGTGTGTGTGTGTGTCTTTTTCTGGATCAAAAAAATGAGGCTTATGTCAGCTATGGTCTGAATGTCTCTTCAGAATTCTTACGTTGAGACCTAACCTTCACTTTGATGGTTTTAAGAGGTGGGGCCTTTGGGAGGTACCTACGTCATGAGCGCAGAGCTCTCAGGAATGGGATTAGTGTCTTTACTATTAAAGAGGCCTGAGGGAGCTTGAACCCCCACTTTCTGCCATCACCAGACACCAAACCTTGATCTTGCACTTCCTAGCCTCCAGAACTGTAAGCAATAAATTTCTGTCATTTATAAGTTACCCAGTCTAAGGTATTTTGTTATAGCACCCCAAACGGACTAAGACATGGTCTAATGGATGATTCAGCAATGAACAAATTTGGAATTGTCTGGAAGAATCAAGATGGGTGATTAAACATTTTCTTGGGCATTTCTTAGTTCACACATACAACTCTGAGGATGGGGATAATCTTAAATGCTGAGTTAATAAAGATTTTTGACGAGAACAAAGCCATAGTTGAATAATTCTGTGAGGTAGAGCTTCAAAAGTGATTGAAACTTGTTATGAAGAGAAGTACAAGACTATATGCTGTTTTAGTTTTTTGTTTTGGGAGTAGAAAGTGGGTTGGAACAATTTCAGTGAAGTTTGTGCCAAGCTGCACTCAAGGTAGTCAAGTGGGGTTAGATAGTTTTTCAAGAAGAACGAAGGAAAGTGCATGACTATCATTGGGAAGGTTGTCCTAGAGGCAAAGCTGACAGGTAACATTCAGGTTATAAACTAGGAAAACAATACATGTATGGGGGATTTAAAAAATAGTGTACATGTGTATATGTGTGTGTTTGTAACAGGAGTAGACAATTGACTGAGTAGGCTGGTGTCAGGTATATGCTAAAAGAGTAATGTTCATTTTCAGTATAGTATAAAAAAAGAGAATTGAATCACAGCTGCCTAAATTTAAAAATCAGTGTTGTAACTGCTTTCAAATAATCAATAATTTGACTTTTAGAAACCTTCAGGGCTTGTTATTTTACCTACAGTAGTAGGAAGTATGGCTATTAAATGATTGAACTTTATTTTTACCCAACATACTAGAGCATATGAGTGATAACCCACAGAGCAGACACTGGAGGAGGGGAATGTAGCTATAAATGTATTTTAATGATGGTGTCATTACAGCGGCGTAAGAAAATTTGTTTCATGTTTTAGAGTCACACTTTTTGTTCAAAAGTAGCATTTCCAATGTAGGTAAACCACTTTTTGATAACAAATATCTCCAAATCAAAACTATGTTTATTTTATGAAGATTTGTCACTCTGACAATATTATAAACATTATATTAAGACTTTAAAGCAGGCCAGGCATGGTGCCTCATGCCTGTAATCACAGCATTTTGGAGGCTGAGATGGGAGGATTGCTTGAGCCCAGGAATTTGAGATCAGCCTGGGCAACATGGTGATACCCCATCTTTACAAATAATTAAAAAATCAGCCGGGTGTGGTGGTGTGTGCCTGTAGGCCCAGCCATTTGTGAGGCTGAGTTGGGAGGATCACTTGAGCACGGGAGGTCAAGGCTGCCGGTAAGCTGAGATTGTACCACTGCGCTCCAGCCTGGATAGTAGAGTGAGACTGTCTCAAAAAAAAAAAAAAAAAAAAAAAAAAGACTTACAAGAGACTTTAAAGCAGCTACAAAAGTTGAATCCCAAAGCTTTTTATGAAATGTCAGTGTCAGCGTTATGGAAATAAATGTAGAACTCTCTGAGGTGACTGTTCTTATTGCAAGAATCTTTTTTTGTTTTTGTTTTTTTTTTTGAGACAGGGTATCACTCTGTTGCCCAGGCTGTAGTGCTGTAGTGCTTTCATGGCTTACTGCAGCCTCGACCCCTGGGGCAGAATCTATCCTCCCAGCTCAGCCTCCTGAGTAGCTGGGACTGTAGACACATACCACCACGCCCAGCTAATTTTTTTTTGTTTTTGATATTTTTTGTAGAGACAGGGTTTCTCTGTGTTGCCCAGGCTGGTCTCGAACTCTGAGCTCAAGCGACCTGCCCACCTCGGCCACCCAAAATGTTGGGATTACAGGGGTAAGCCATTGCACCAGCCAAGAATGTTCTTTTGAAAATGTGTTATGCCATATTTATTTTAAAAGTCCCACTGAATTTTTAATACATATAAAATACTGAAATATGAGTTGTGTAATTGGAAAAATGTCAATGTAAATGAAAAGAGACACTTTTTCTGTTCTGAAGCTTCAAAATATTAAAGATCATCGTTCATATTTTCCTGGGGAATTTTTATTTTTAGTCATAATAGTAAATGAGCAGCCGTCAGAAGATATAGCCATTTCTAGGTTTAGAATTCCTTTTCTTTATATAGTTCTCTTGAATACTTGTCTTTAAGAAAATAGACATTAAGGATTTCTTGTGTAATCAAATACTACTTTGATATTTGTACAGAGCATGAGAGCAAGACTAGAACCACATTAAAGCAGGAAGAATAATTAAAAGTTTTGTAACATAGCAAAGAATAGATGGGGTAATTTACAATGGAAAAGTAGACGTACAGAACATCATTAGATGGGATATAGAAAGCTCTCTTTAAAAAAGGGATATCAGATCAAATAGACTGAAGAATTTGTATCCTACAAGTTAAGTAAAAAATGAGATGAGCAATTAATGAGAAAATGTGCTCTAAAATACTTGGTTGCATTGATTGGCAATTCTTTTCCACTTCCTATAGGGGCTATTTCAGACCTTTTCTACTAATTTTTTTTTTTTTTTTTTTTTTGAGACAGAGTTTCACTCTTGCTGCCCAGGCTGGAGTGCAGTGGCGCGATCTCGGCTCACTGCAACCTCCTGCTCCCGGGTTCAAATGATTCTCCTGCCTCAGCCTCCGGAGTAGCTGGGATTACAGGCATGCGCCACTATACCCGGCTAATTTTTTTTTTTTTTTTTAAAGTAGAGACAAGGTTTCTCCATGTTGGTCAGGCTGGTCTCAAACTCCCAACCTCAGGTGATCCACCCTCCTCGGCCTCCCAAAGTGTGGGATTACAGGTGTGAGCCACTGCGCCGGCCTTTTTTTTTTTTTTTTTTTTCTCTCAAATGAGACAGGGTCATGCTCTGTTGCCCAGACTAAGGGGAGTGGCGCAATCCCAGCTCACTGCAGCCTCAACCTCCTGGGCTCAGGTGATCCTCCTGCCTTAGCCTCTGGAGTAGCTGGGACTACAGGCATGCGTCACCATACCCGGCTTTTTTTTGGTATTTTTTTTGTAGAGGCTGGGTTTTGCCACATTGCCTGGGCTGGTCTTGAACACCTGGCCTCAAGTGATTTGCCTGCCTCAGCCTCTTAAAGTGTTGGGATTACAGGCGTGAGCCACCACTCTACTTCTTCCTAGGGCCTGATTCCAGTGTACTGCTCTTAGACTTTGTAGGTTCACTTTTTTTTTTTTTTTAATGTAAGATCAAGACTATCCAACAGAAGCTTCTTCAGCTTTGCTTTTCTCTCTCTCTAAATTGTGTAAGTTCTGTCTCCCATTTGGTGTCAGGGATATGCAATATGCCCTTTAGGTTTTCATGGCTACCTCTTTTATCCCTTCTACTGTTAGAATGTATAGGATCATTAATTAACTCTTTTATCATTTTTATTTTAATCTTCCCTAGCAACAATTTAATGGCTTAAACAAAAACCTTTCCTTATTATTATTATTTTTAAATACTGTGCAACAGGCCAAAGGAAAAAAAACAATTTATGTCTGTTGTTTCAATTTGGTTACCTTATTTTTTACTAAAACTGTTCTTTCTGTTGTTACCAGTGACCTTCTGAATTGCCAAATGGGGATTCTTCAGTCTTGTTGCTTCAGATTTAACACTGTGAACCACTTTTCCTCCTCCCTTCTCCTTATAACTTTGCTGTCCTCTTGGCTCATTTACAAAGTCAACTTGTTTCTCAAGTATTTGCCTTACATGTTTTTCATTCTCTAGATTCTTTTTCTTGAAATGTTACCTATTCTTTTGGCTTTAGTGAGAATCTCTTCCAGGTGACCCCTATACTGTAAGTTCCTGAACGTCAGTTTCCAGCTGGAGATTGTCATCTAATTGTCATGCTGTCATGCTTAACCCACTCAAATTTGAATTTTCTTTTCTTTTAAAATGTATTTTTTCTACTTTCCTTTTTTTTTTTTTTAAATTATTGGCTTTTCCTTCCCATTATCCAAACTTGAATTGTGAATCATCTTTGTATTCCCCGTCAGATTCATTCGCTTGTCAAACTATCAGAGGCCTGTGAACCAGAGCAATTGCATCTTAAACAGGAGTTGGGTAAAATGAGGCTAAAACCTACTGGGCTGCATTCCCAGACAGTTAAGACATTCTAAGTCACAGGATGAGATAGGAGGTCGGCACAAAATACAGGTCATAAAGACCTTGCTAATAAAACAGGTTGCAGTTAAGGAGCCAGCCAAAACCCACCAAAACCAAAATGGCAATGAGAGTGACCTCTGGTCATCCTCACTACTACACTTCCATTAGCACCGCTCTATGACAGCTTACAAATGCCATGGCAATGTCAGGAAGTTACCCTGTATGGTCTAAAAATGGGAGACATAAATAATCCACCCCTTATTTACCGTATCATCAAGAAATAGCCATAAAAATAGGCAACCAACAGCCCCCGAGACTGCTCTGCCCATGGAGTAGCCATTCTTTTATGCCTTTACTTTAATAAACTTGCTTTCACTTTGCACTGTGGACTCGCCCTGAATTCTTTCTTGTGTGAAATCCAAAAACCCTCTCTTGGGATCTGGATTAGGACCCCTTTCCTGTAACATGTTTCTCTGTCCTGTAACCTATTTCTGGCAACCACAGAAGAGACTATAGTGCAGAAACCCTGACCCAACGGCTACCTTTGGGTAAGTGTTGGGATCCTGTAACAAAACTGCGAATTCTATCACTACAGTGTTTATCTCATTCATCTGCTTTTTTCTGTTTCATTTTTTTTTGATAACAGTTTAGGTTCTCATTACCACTAACATATAAATATATAATTATAATTCAGTAATTGCTATGATGAAGGGTGAGGTGGCAGAGGAAGTTCTAGTAGGATATGGTACATAGTGATGATTAGCTTAGCATCAAAAACAAGTAGGGGCATTCCAGGAAGACAAACTGAAGAAAGGCTTATTAGGAGTGTGCTATGTGTTTGTTGTCAACTTGTGAGACTTCTTCTTTAATCCTTACTGCAGTTGTGTGCTTTTCGTATTTGCATATGCTATTGCCTTTCTTCAGATATTGATTAAAATTTGTGAAAGAGCATGCAATGGCAGAATGACACAAAGTAACATATATCTTTATTACCTAGCTTTAAGTGAGTAGAGTGGTAAAATGTAAGGTAATGAAAAGTGAGTACTGCCTGCACTGAAGATTTAAAACCTGATATAATTTGCATTAAAAGCTGTCTTGAAGGTTTTTCACTATTTGTAATGTAAATCTTCACTAGGCAGCTGTTCTCAGTCTACTGTTGTTATATGTGGCTTTATCTTTTATTTCTACCTCTCTTCTGTCTCTTCTCTCTCTCTCTCTCTCTCTCTCTCTCTCTCGCTGTGTTGCCCAGGTTGGAACACAGTGGCTATTCACAGATGTGATCATAGAGCACTGCAACCTGAAACTCCTGGCCTCAAGCCGTCCTCCTGCTTCAGCCTCCTCAGTAGCTAGGGCTAAAAATGTGTGCCACCAGGCTCAGCTATTTCTACCTCTTTCAAATGTGTGTGATTGCCCTACAGTGGGGTTGGGTAATATCTTGATATTAGTAGCCACTAATACTGAAAATAACTGAAGGCCACAGCAAGTAAAGAGAGAATTTACTATTTTTGTTTCCTTAGAGAAGCCAAATATTTTGTGATTTTAAAATGGGAAGCATTAAAAACAACAATTCTAAAATGCCTTATACAGAAAGGTGATTTATTGGCTATGTAAATAGGAAGAATAGAGATGGAGAAGTCCAGGAACAACCAGATCCAGGAACTTAGATGCTGTCTTCAGAGTATTCTAGCTTCATTTTATTTTTTCTCCTGTTGGCCTCATTTTCTGCTTATGTTAGAAAGCTTCTTTCATGGCAAGGATGCATGGCCTCAGACAGCTGAGAACTTAGTTCCCTAGGATGGCCTCTGACAGGCTTATCTCTGGGCTAATCACTGTGGGGAATTGTCGTTGACATTAACATCAGAACCACACAAATCGGGGGTAGTGTCAGTTCCCCAGAGGATAGATGTTGTTAACCAGAGAAATAGGGAAAAGGAATTTGAAGTAGCAAAAACAATGTAAAGCCATTTCAGAGGCAGAAGAAAGAAAAGGCAATAGTAGACACAGTGAAAGAGAAATACTTACATAGGAGAGAGAAGCAGGGAAAGGGAAGGGAACTAGAATTTAAGAATTCAAAACTAAGAATTTACTGTGTGGTAAGCCTGTGTTAAGCGTTTTACATTTTATCTTTACAGCTCAGTGGAGGCAGCTGTATTATCTCCAGAGGATAACCATTTGTAGATCTGGTAGTGAAAAGCCCCCCCACCTTTTTTTTCTTTTATCCCAATTTGGCATATTTCCTTTATTTTTTATACAACTTTTTTCATTTTTAAATTATGCATTAATACATTAAAATCCACACTGCGATACACAGTTCTATGGATTTTGGCAAATGCATATAATATGTATCTACCCTCATAATCAAGACACAGAACTCCTGCTGCCCATTTGTAGTTAACCTCTCCCCCTAAGTTCATCGCCCTGGAAAACACTGATCTATTCTCTATGGCTACCATTTTACTTTTCCGAATGTCATACACAGTTGTCACTCCTTATCTGAGGGAAATTAGTTCCAAAACCCCTTCAGATACTAAAATTCACAGATGCTCAGGTCCCTTATGTAAAATGACCTAGTGTTTACATATACACACACATCCTCCTGGTACTCCAGTCATCGCTAAATATAATATACAATGTAAATACTATATACATCGTTGTTATGTTGTTTATATGTATTATTTTTGTTGTATTTTTTTTACTATAATATTTTCTATCCATATTGGTTGAATTCTCAGATATGGAACTAGTGGATATGGAGGGCCAACTGTAAGTGACATTGTAGTTATATAGACTTTTGGATCAGCCTCTTTTACTTAGAAAATTCATTGAGATTCATTTATGTTGCGTGTATCAATAGTTCGTTCCTTTACATTGCTGAGTAGTAATCTGTGGTATGAATGTACCATGGTTAGTTTATCCATTTGTCTGTTGAAAGACGTTTAGCTTATTGCTGGTTTTTGGCAATTATGAATAAAACTGCTATAGACATTCATGTATAGCTTTGTGTGTGATCATAAGTTTTCATTTCACTTGGGTAAATACCTAGGAGCAGATTGCTGGATGATATGGTAAGCATATGTGTAATTTTGTATGAAACTGCCAAATTGTTTTCCAAAGTGGTTGTACCATTTTGCATTTCCACCAACGATGTTTGAGAGTTCCAGTTGCTCTACATCCTTACTAGCACTTGGTAGTATCTGTTCCTTTTTCTTTCTTTTTTTTTTTTTTAATTTTAGCTCTTATAATAGGTGTATAGTTGTATATCATGTGGTTTTAGTTTGCATTTTCTTACAATTGACTTTTGGTGTATTTTTATTTTCGTGTGCTTTAAGATATCTTCCCTTTTTTTTTTTTTTTTTTCTTTAAAAGACAGAGTCTTGCCGTGTTACCCAGACTGGAGTGCAGTGGTGTGATCATCACTCACTGTAGCCTCAGACGACTCTGAACTCAAGCAGTTCTTCTACCTCAGTCTCCCGAGAAGCTGGGACCACAGGTGTGTGCCACCATGTCTGGCTAGTTTTTAATTTTTTTGTAGAGACAAGGTCTCACTGTGTTGCCCAGGCTGTAAAATATCTTTCTTGAGCTGGTCCTGATGGCACAAGTGTGTAATCCCAGCTACTCAGGAGGCTGAGGCAGGAGAATCGCTTGAGCCCAGAAGTTTGAGATCACCCTGGGCAACATAGCAAGACCCTGTCTCAAAACAACAACAACAAAAACTTTTCTTTAACATTCCGAGAATGCTTATTGGCTTTAAAAAACAATGATAGTGGCCAGGCACAGTGGCTCACACGTGTAATCCCAGCACTTTGGGAGGCTGAGGCAGGCAGATCACGAGGTCAGGAGATCGAGACCATCCTGGCTAACATGGTGAAACCCTGTCTCTACTAAAAATACAAAAAATTAGCCAGGTGTGGTGGTGGGCGCCTGTAGTCCAGCTACTGGGGAGGCTGAGGCAGGAGAATGGTGTGAACCTGGGAGGTGGAGCTGGCAGTGAGCCAAGATCGTGCCACTGCACTCCAGCCTGGGCGACAGAGCGAGACTCCCTCTCAAAAAAAAAAAAAAAAAAGTTTTTTTCCAAAATAGAATAGTAAATGGCCCTGACAAGGTCTTTGACAAGCATTGGGGTTGCACACTCAACTGTATCACACAATTCCAGGGGACATCATTCACATAAAATTTTTTTTTCTTTTTTCCTACTGGAGTTGTGCAGTGTAGCAGTCTGGGCTATATATTTACAGTTATTATCTAGGATTATCAGTGATTAGGTTCCATGGAAAATTTGAGTACTACCAAATGATGCATTTAAAAAGCATTTTTCAATGTTTCTCTGAAATGAAATTTTTGTCCAGGAGCTAGTTCTGAAGAAATGCCCTACAGGCAGTATGTCTAATGGATCAGACCTGGGAGACATAAAGGCCTATTTCAGGTACTCAACTCTGCCATTTACTGCATGAGTGACCTTGGGCATCTTGTCTAGCTTCTTTGAGTTCATTCTTTATCAGCAAAACAGGATTGATAATCTCTCCTTTTTATAGATGTGACAAGAATTATAAATAATGCATGTAAAATATCTGATGTAGAGCAGACCTCTTCAAGTTGCAACTGCTTTTACTTCTGTTTATTAGCACTTAGTACTGATTAGCCACAGCTTTTTATCAAACAAAAGCTTAGGGTATCAGCAAAGCAGAAAGAAAAGAATTTGAAAAACAATTGAAAGCATTTACTACCTAACATTTAAAAAAATACTGAAGTAGAATTAGGAAAGAAATAAGAATTTATTGGATTAAATGTTAGCTGTTTAGTATTGTTTTTATTTTGTATTTAATAGGGAGAGAATAGAGGGCTATACTATTATATTTTCTGTACTTGGGACCTCCAAAGGTCTTAATTTGGTCTTATCACCACTAACACCACCACTGCCATCTCCATGTCATGCTTGTGTTAAAGAAAGACTTTGAAATACGTCACCTAATGTTTAGGGTCGTAGAAATGCAATTTACTGTTTTGGGACTAGAGTACATGAATTCATATTACTTGACATCATTAGTTCTTCCCAGTAAAATGAGAATATTTGAGGTCCCAGAGTATTTTATAAGGTTTTAAAAACTTCATAATTTCTTAATGTTTTTTTGTTATTACCCATAGTGATTACAATAAAATCCTTAAAACAGCAAGGAAGGAGAACCAAGGAGATTAGATGTGCTTTATGGATGCAAGGAGAGAGGTTTAGCAAGCAATGGAGTAGGGAGTAAAGAAGAGGAGTTTAGCCTGAGTTTCTGGATCTAGGAAGTAATGTAGAAGTCTTAACTGTAGAAGAGTCTTTATAGTGATAGTGATTTTTTTTCTTTGATTTTAAATTATTTCTGCTTTGGTGTTTTCTGTTTGTTGGACATGTTGGTTTCATACCTCTGTATAGTAAAGAGGTTTTAAAACTTTGACCCAAACTATTTTGGCTCACACTTTTACTTCTCATATGGGCTTTTATAATAATATGGAGAGAGGGGATAAGAAGTTGTCTAAAGTAAAATCAAAAGTTGTTTGTCCATTTCCTCTCTCAAGTAAGAATATATCAAGAATATTTCAGTCTAGCCATTTTGTAGCTTGAGATTAGAGAAGGAAAGTTTACATTCACATGTTACCTTCATCTGCCTTTCTTGTCTTTGACCTGTTACAACAGAAATTAGGCAGTTTTTTTTTTCCCCTCACATATTCATTCTCTGCTTCTCTCAAGTTAATGAAACCTAGATAGAGGGCCCAATTGCCACTTGCTGAAAGAACAAATTTCTGAAGTTCTCTTGTAGCAAGTTACTACCTTGTGACTAAATTCTGGTCAGTTAGATGTCAGTAGAAGTATTTGGTATTTCCCAGAAGTCTATTTAAAGGAAGAGCTTTACCATTCTTTATCATTTTTTCCAGCTGCCAACTTAGATCATGAGGATAGGGGCTATACTTGTAAGGATGGTAGAATGGAGAGCTGGAAAGACCCTGTATATTTATGTCATGGTAGAGCAGCTCTGGAGTATTATCAGATTATTTTATGTGAGAGAGAAATAAACTTCTGTTTTGTTTATGCCATAGTTATTTTGGATTTTCTTATTATGCATTGCTGAACCCACGATCCTTCACACCTCCATCTAAGGCATCTTCCCTTCTGCTTCCTGTTCTGTGGTTGAACTCTTGGTGCTGTTTCATCTCTCCACTGCTAAGTCCCTGAATTCTCTTGCTCTCCACATTTTCTATAATGATTGTTCACAGGCACAGTGTTGCAGTTAGAAGCTGCTATGCATTGCTAGTTATGTAGCACCTGAAATTTTAATTTTTTAAAAAGAAACTTTAACAGGAATATGAAGGAATGTGTAAGCACAGTTACACATATTTTATTTCCTAATGAAAAATATAATTTCTAAAGAACGATGTGTCCATTAAGTCTCCCCTGCCCTCCAATTTTAGTTGATACAGATTGGTTTGGCTAATTGGCTGCCAGCAGTTCCTCTAGAGAATATGTCTAGATCACTAACAGACCCCTTTTTACTTGCCTCTTTTGGAAAACTCATCCTATCCCTACCCTAGTAACATGATCCAAATGGAAGCTTGTTACTGTCACAGTTATTGGTTCAAGGATGGATATGTAAGCAAAAATACCAGCTCTGTCCTGGGTTTTTAGAACTGCATCTAGCAGAAAGGAGATCCTCTCTACTTTTGAGGCTATAAGGATGTGGACAAACTGGTTTAGGAGGATCATAGTAATAATACTCAGAACAGAAGTAGAGATGGAGGGAAACAAGTCAGTCTTCCTCAGAGAATGGACATGTACCTCATATAGGCTAATTAGAATATTTTGTTTAGTAACTTGATAATTTCAAGTCAGACTCTGTTGGGCACTTGAACTGGAGGGTCATGTGAAGGACAGAAGTTTCTTTAAAGCCATACTCCTAAATGTAAATAAATATATTTAAAAAATTTTAAAGGGTGATAGAAACTATTTCCTTTCTTACTTTGAAGGGGGTTCCTAGCTGGTACATAATTCATACTGTCTCAGTTATTCAAACAAATTACTCATTTAATAAAGCATTTCATGGAGAGGAAAAGAAACTACAAGTTTTTTCTCTATGGATGTGGAGTACTTTTAAAGGAAAATAAATGCTCCCTTAAACACCAATAGCAACAATAAAATATGCACAAAAGCCTCCTAGTGTTGAGAAACCATCACGTAAGTGCTGAGCACTCTAGTTCTGCTCGTGGATCTCTTTACAAATAGAAAATTATCTTATCTCTTATGTTTGTTAAAGCATTATTTGCCATAGCTAAGATATAGAATCAACCTAAGTGTTCATCAACACATGAATGGATAAAGAAAATGTGTGTGTGTGTGTGTATATATATATATATATATATATATATATATATATATGTACACACACACAGTGGAATACTGTTCAGCTTTTCAGGAGAAGGAAGTCTTGATATTTATAAGAACATGGAAGAACTTGGAGGACATTATGCTAAGTGAAATAAGCCAGACACAGAAAGACAAATACTGCGTGGTCTCACTTATATGTAGAATCTAACAAAGTTAGACTCATAGAAGCAGAGAATATAATGGTGATTACCAGGAGCTGTCAGCTGGGGAGAAATGGGGAGATGTGGTTAAAGTGTACAAAGTTTCAGGTATTTAGAGGAATAAATTCTGGAGATCCAGTGTACAGCATGGTTGACTGTAGTTAATAATAAAGTGTTGTATACTTGAAAATTGCTTAGAAAGTAGTTTTTTTTTTTTTTAAATTGAAATGGGATCTCACTGTGTTGCCCAGGCTTATCTAGAATTCCTGGGCACAAGCAATCTTCCTGCCTCAGCCTACTTAGTAGCTGGGATTACAGACATATGCCACCATGCCCAGCTAGAGAGTAGATTTTAAGTGTCCTTACTATTAAAACAAAAAAAGCTTGGATATATGAGATAATAGGTATGTTAATTAGCTTGATTTAATCATTCCACAGCGTACACATATATGAAAACATCCAGTTGTACACAATACATATGTGTAACTTCTATTTGCCAATTAAAATGAAGTTTAAACATTGTATCCATCTGGAGTTCCTCTTGTGGGAAAATGACTTCTTTGGCCACCTAAGGTCTTTTTTTTTAAACTCTTAAATTTGAGACATCTATAGTTGGTATAATTGGTAAGTCACAAGTATTAGTGAGAATTTTATTTGGGTCCATGAAGAACCAATACAGGCAATAAAACACACCAAGAATTAGGGAAAAGCTAAAGCATAGTCCAATTATCTCAATTATTGTAAATGAGAAGTACCCTTCACCTAAATGAGGCTGAGTAGAAACTTCCTTACCTCTGCAACAATTTATAACTGTGGAATTAGAATTTAGATTCAAGCTAGCAAAACTAGAGCTACATTTTATACTCAAAACTATGTCTGCCACTTAAAAGAGGAAAAAAAAGAATGAATATAAGCTGGTTATATTGAAGTATATTTTACACAGATTTTTTTTAGTAGTTAATTTCTTATTTAGATAACTAGGAAGGGTAAGTGGAAAGATACATATGTTTTTAAAGAGGGGCAGGTAACTTTTAATTTTCTTTGTAACTTTCAGAATTTCTTTCCCTACTTGATATATGGAGACCTACTGTAGAGGATGTTTGTGGAGTTAGAAGAGATTAGGGTTGTTGAAATACAGATGTCAGTTTAATTGTAATTCATAGTATTGAACCTTAGAATAGTGACCATTTTCTGTTTTCACAAATTTTAGAAAAGTATACATATATGTTGATAATTATTAAAAAATTTGAACCAAGCTTTCGTTCACAGTGAGATTTGTTTAGTAGGTAAATTATTTTATGTTTAAAAATGAGTACAGGTCTGGGCATGGTAGTTTACACCTTTAATCCCAGCACTTTGGGAGGCCAAGGCAGGTTAATCACCTGAGGTTGGGAGTTCAAGACCAGCCTGGCCACCATGGTGAAACCCCATCTCTACTAAAAACACACACACAAAAAAAAAAATTAGCCGGGTGTGGTGGCACATGCCTGTAATCCCAGCTACTTGGGAGGCTGAAGCATAAGAATTGCCTGAATCCGGGAGGCAGAGGTTGCAGTAAGCTGAGATCGTGCCACTGTACTCCAGCCTGGTGACAGAGTGAGATTCCATCTCAAAAAAAAAAAAAAAAAAAAAAAAAAATCAGTTTGTATTTACTCAGATTTTTTTTTTTTAATTATACTTTAAGTTCTAGGGTACATGTGCACAACGCGCAGGTTTGTTACATATGTATACATGTGCCATGTTGGTGTGCTACACTCATTAACTTGTCATTTACATTAGGTATATCTCCTAATGCTATCCCTCCTCCTCCCACAACCCCACGACAGGCCCCGGTGTGTGATGTTCCCCACCCTGGGTCCAGTTGTTCTCATTGTTCAGTTCCCACCTATGTTTACTCAGATTTAATGGGATTTTATCTGGGTTTTCAAAGGGCTCCCAGATTTAATCTGGGTTTTCAGAGGGCTCCCTAGATAATTCTTAGATGCATCCAGATTGAGAAGCATGAATCCAGAGCAAAACAGAAACAGCTAAGGGTGGACTTTTTTTTTTTTTTTGAGGCTGAGTCTTGCTCTGTTGCCAGGCTGGAGTGCAGTGGCGCGATCTCGGCTCACTGCAGTCTCCACCTTCCGGGTTCAAGTGATTCTCCTGCCTCAGCCTCCTGAGTAGCTGGGATTACAAGCATGTGCCACCACACCCAGCCAATTTTTGTATTTTGTATTTTTAGTAGAGACATGTCGGCCAGGATGGTCTCAATCTCCTGACCTCATGATCCGCCTGCTTCAGCCTCCCAAAGTGCTGGGATTACAGGAGTGAGCCACCACGCCTGGCCAAGGGTGGACATTTGAGGGCACAAACATTTGAGGTACTGACCATCATAAATACATACATACATACATACATACATACAGTATAGGCCCGCTGTGGTGGCTCGCACCTGTAATCCCAACACTTGGGGAGGCCGAGGCAGGTGGATTACTTGAGCTTAGGAGTTTAAGACCAGCCTGGGCAGCATGGTGAAATTCTGTCTTTACCAAAAATACAAAAAATTAGCTGGGCATGGTGGTACTTGCCTGTGATCCCAGCTACTTGGGACGCTGAGATGAGAGGATTGCTTGAGCCCAGGAGGCAGAGTTTGCAGTGAGCCAAGTTGGGCCTGGGTGACAGAGTGAGACCCCATCTCATTAAAAAAAAAAAAAAAATTAAGAATACAGTATAGAGGGGCATCCTACAAGGAAACCTTACTCATGCACCATAAAAGTGGTCATCAGAAACAGGGAAATCTATAAAACTGTCACAGACAGGAGGAACTTAAAACTATGGGCTTTAGTTAATATATCAATATTCATTAAGTATAGAAAATGTACCATACTAATATAAGATGTTAATAATAGGGAAAACCGGATAGAGGAGTAGTATATGGAAACTTACTGTATTATCTTCAGAATGTTTCTGCAAACCTGAAACTGTTCTAAAAAATGAAGAGTTTTGGGGTGGGTGTGGTGGCTCACGCCTGTAATCCCAGCACTTTGGGAGGCTGAGATGGGTGGATCACGAGGTTAGGAGATCAAGACCATCCTGGCTAACGCGGTGAAACCCTGTCTCTACTAAAAATACAAAAAATTAGCCGGGCATGGTGGTGCTCACCTGTGGTCCCAGCTACTTGGGAGGCTGAGGCAGGAGAATGTTGTGAACCCTGGAGGTGGAGCTTGCAGTGAGCCGAGACTGCGCCACTGCACTCCAGCCTGGGCAACAGAGCGAGACTCCATCTCAAAAAAAAAAAAAGAGTTTTGAAAATCAAGGCTGGGTGCAGTGGCTCACACCTATGATCCCGCACTTTGGGAGGCTGAGGCAGGAGGATTACTTGAGGCCAGGAGTTTGAGACCAGCCTGGGCAACATAGCAAGATCCCATCTCTACAGAAAATTTAAAAATTAGCTGGGTGTGGTGGTGTGCGCTTGTGGTCCCAGCTACTTGGGAAACTAAAGCAAGAAGACTGCTTGAGCCCAGGAGGTTGAGGCTGCAGTGAGTCATGATTGTGCCACTGCTCTCCAGCCTAGGCAACAGAGCAGGACCTCTAATAAAAAAAAAAAAAAAGACACCCCAAAAAGTAGTTGATTTTCAAAAATCATGAGTAATATAAACTCCTTGAGTTCAGAGTCATTTGACTTAATATTGGTATGCTTAGGGTTTAGCAGAGTTAATACAAAATAAGCTTTAAAGAAGTGCTAAGTGACAATGTTACATTTATGTTATTTTGTAGAAATGGCTTTTGGAAAGATGAGAAGTAACTTGACAAGCTTTTTAATGTTTTCAATAAGTTTTTACTAAAAGTTTATAAAAAATTTTAATTTAGTAAAACAAATTGAAAATATTTGCATAAACTTTCTCTTATTGCTTGAGAGGCCACTTTGAAACTCTTAATGTTGCACATGGTTCTGAAAAGACATCAAGCTTAGTTTAGTTTATAAAAGCATTTCATTAACAGAGTGGGTGCTAAATAGTAAACATAGTTCTTTGACAAGTAGAGTTAAATGTAATATTTCTTTTAAAAAACTGAGTACATAAACCTATTTATCCAGTAGGAAATGCAAGTAGAAATCACGAGATACCATTACTTACCTATTAGAAAAGCAAAACAAAAACAAACCAACAAACCTAGACAATAGCAAGCTGACAGAGATACAGAGCAACTAGAACTCTCCTGCCCTGCAGATGGAAATACAAAAAAGTATACAGCTACTTCAGAGAACAATTTGGTGGTTTCTTATAAAGTTACCATATGAGCTGGCAGTCCCACTTCTAAGTATTTACCCAAGGAAATGAAACATGTTCCTGCAAAAACCAGTAATGCTCTGTTCATAATTGCCCAAAACTGGAAACAACCCAAATGGTAATGTACATATAGACAAATATTAATGTGTGAATGGACAAACTATGGTACATCATACAATGGATGATGTACCAATTATAAAAAGGAATGAACTGTTGATACGTGTGTTGTAGCAATTTGGAGGAATCTCGAAGACATTATACTTTTTTAAAAAAGCTAGTCTCCTGATTCCATTTACATGATATTTTCAAAAAAATAAAACTGTAGTGGTAGAGAATGTGTACTGGTTATCCAGTGCTATGGTTTGAATGTTTTTGTCCCCTCTGAAAATTCATGTTGAAACTTAATCACCAATGCAACAGTGTTGGGAGGGGGGCCCAATGGAAGGTGTATGTATTGGTTCATATGGGGGAGCCCTCACAAATGGATTAATGTTGTTATAAAAAGGGCTTGCGGCCGGGCATGGTGGCTCACGCCTGTAATCCCAGCACTTTGAGAGGCCGAGGCGGGTGGATCATGAGGTCAGGAGTTCAAGATCAACCAGGCCAAGATGGTGAAACCCTGTCTGTACTAAAAATACAAAAAAAATTAGATGGGCGTGGTGGTGAGCGCTTGTAATCCCAGCTACTCGGGAGGCTGAGGCAGAGAATTGCCTAAACCTGCGAGGCAGAGGATGCAGTGAGCCGAGATCACGCCACTGCACTACAGCCTGGGAGACAGAGCGAAACTCTGTCTCATAAATAAATAAAAGGATAAAAAGGGCTTGCTCTCTTCTGCTTTTCTGCCATGTGAGGATGTAACATTTGTCTCATTTTGTCCTCCACCTTTCACCATGAGTGTTTACAGCCAGAAAGATCCTCACCAGATGCTGGCGCCTTGATCTTGGACTTACCAGCCTCCAGAGCTGTGAGAAACAAATTTCTGTTGTTTATAAATTACCCTCTCTCAGGTATTCTGTTATGGCAGCACAAAATGGACCAGGGGTTATGGTGGGGGAGGGTGTGTGACTATGGAGAGACAGCATGAGGGAGTTTTTGGGGTGATAGAACTGTTCTGTATCCTGAGTATGGATATACATGTGTTGAAATTCATAGAACTGTATACTCCTACTTCCTCCCAAAAGTCTGTTTTACTGTATGCTAACTTAAGAAATAAAATGGAAGACATACAAAGAAACTGAACATGTGTCTACTTTATAAGGCATTTGGTCTAACTACTGGTCAAATAAACTTGTATAAATACTGTCTAATGTTTTCTCTATTAGATTTTTTTTACGTCTCAAGGATTTGTATGAAAAGTGACTGATGCACAGAAAACCTTTATTTTTTATTTTTTAAAAAGTAGAAACAGAGTCTCACTATGTTGCCCAGGCTGGTTTGAACTCCTAGGCTCAGGTGATCCCCCTGCCTTGGCCTCCCAAAGTGTTGGGATTACAGGTGTGAGCGACTGTGCCCAGCTAGAAAACCTTTCATATTAAAATAATTAGCACTATAATCATGTGCAAAGAATTGGGATGGTCACCTAGTACAGCTTCACATTTTAAAATAGGTAACAACTATCATTTATTGAAATAATGCTGTTCATTGGTTTTATAACCCAAGTGATACTATATCCTTAGACACTGTAATACTACGTATATATGTATATTTTGAATTTGATACGTCTTTTAAGCCTTTTAATCTACAGATCCCCCATCTCATCTGTCTCTTTTTCTTACAAGTTAGCTATTGAACCCTGGGCTGTTTGCCTTGTAGAGTTTCCCACAGTTTGCATTCTGCTGATTGCATACTAATAGTGCAGTTTAACACTTTCCTCTGTTCTCTGTATGCCCTGTAGATTTTCAGCTGGATTCAGAGGCTTGATCCTAATTAGGTGTGATCCCTTTGGCAAGGCAATAGGAAGTGTGTCATCAGAAGGCACTTGGCTGTTTGGATGACTCTCTTTGTGACGTTAGCAGCCATTGATACTCACTACTTAGATGGATTAATTCATTGGAGGTTGCAAAATAGTGATAGTGATATTCTAAATTATTTCTTTTTAATTTATTACTTAGCATACTTCCATAGAATATTTTCTTCATCACTGTTTGGTTATTAAATAGTATAATTCACAAGGAAAGCCAGGATAAATACTTGATTCTTTATTTTTATTTACCAGTTTTCAAGATACTGAAATTGTTACATCTAAACCTGTGAAGATGTTTTAGGGCTTTTTTTTTTTTTTTAACATGTTTAGATTTTCATTCATTGCAATTAATATGCTTAATGAAGCTCAAATTGTTGTTACATCTTTGACCAGTGGGAGCCTGCCCCTCACCCTCTCTCTCTTTTTTTTTTTGTAAAGATAGGTTCTTTCTCTGTTTCCCTTTCCTTTCCTTACTTTTCAGGCAGAGTTTTGCTATGTTGCCCAAGCTGGACTTGAACTCCTGTGCTCAAGCAATCCTCCAGCCTCAGCTTCCTGAGTAACTGGGACTACAGGCACGTACCACCACACCCGACTCTGCTATTGTTTCTTTAAATAAACATTCTGCCCCTTTGTCTGTCTCTTCTCTCTCTTCAGCTCTTATAATCTGAAAATTTTCTCTATGCTATCCTATAAATGTTGTAACCTTTCTTTATTTTCATGTTTTTCCCTTCTGGGTGGTGAAATCTGGTCTCTACTAAAAATACAAAAAATTAGCAGGGCATGGTGGTGCATGCCTGTAATCCTAGCTGCTTAGGAGGCTGAGGCAGAAGTCGCTTGCTCCTGGGAGGCAGAGGCTGTAGTGAGCTGGATGTCCCACACTGCACTACAGCCTAGGTGACAGTGAATGAGACTCTCTCAAAAAAAAAAAAAAAACCCAAAAGAAAGTAAATTTTGTTTGAGTTTGTTACTAAACTTGGTGAATATAAGCTGCATTTTTTAGTTTCCAGTAAATCAAGGCGCAGTGTAATCATTGTACATTTTATGTTGAAGAGTTATAGGAAAATACCTTTATTTTATAATAATGAAGGAAAAGGACTTTTTGGATTGGAAAGGAATGTTTTGACAAAAGATTAAATTAAAAGATTAAAACAATTTTTTCTTCTGAAAATTTTTTTTCTTCAACCAGACAAGATACCATTTTTTCAAATACATACATTTTTTTCAAATGGTATCTTGTCTGGTTGAATTACTAGAATGTTTTTGGCGTGTTTAGTAGCAAGTGGTAAGTTCAATTGAAATACAAGCTGAAAAATTCTAATGGCCCCTGGAAGATGGCAGTATAGGCTTTTCATCTCAGAATTTTAGATCTGGAGGAGACCTTTAAAATTTATTCCAGTTCCTTCATTATAGGAGAATATCTAGACATCTAGGGATAATGATATGTTATTTCTGAGATCACATAGTAAATTTCTGTTTAGAGCTGGGACTAGTACTAAACCTCTTCGTTTCTGTTTCGGGATTAGTTTCTCAATGCCAGAATGTGTTTCTTGAAAGGCACGATAACCAGCTCCTGGGCTCCTCATATCCTACCTAAATTAGTGCAACTAAGGCAGTGTGACATATTTATATTGGTATTTTTATAAAGGCACAGAAACAGACATGATTTATTCAGTATCACAGGGATAGTGTTAGGTCATAAGACCCCTGACCTGTTGATTCTATCTCTTTATCTTACCTAGTAAGAGATAGCTTAGAGATAGTAGCCAAAATATCCAATGGTTATGAACTATAGATTGGGAGCTGGAAGTGGAGCTGGTACTAGAAACCATAAAAACGCCAGATGATGTTTGTGGTATGGTGAAGAGTGCTGGGATGATGCAGGCAGGGGGTGATGAAAGCTTTGGTCATGAGTAAGTGGGTCTAGAACCTATAGAATGGGGGGGCGGAATAAAGGAGGCAATGGAGCCACCATCAAACTCATGCTTATCAGGAGGATCGTTTGTTCTGTTCTCATTCCCTATAGCATATTGCTACTTTCCAGCTAAGATTTAGAATAATCATAGACAATAATAAAATAAAATACATCTGATATCTGCACAATATTTTAAGCACAGTACTCATAAATATTGTACTGTTTGATCCTTGCAGTATCCTTGTGAGATAAGTAGAAGGGATATTGGTGAGTAGAAACTATTAAATATAATATGTGTTAAGGTAGTGTGCTAGAAATCACTAAGGGATATAAAGGTGAATAACCACAGGCTCTGTTCTCATGGTGTGCCCAATCTTTTGGGGATGGGGTGGGAAAAATAAACAGTTACAATGTATAGGAAGTTGAAAAGGATTTAGAAATTCAAGCTGTGTCCCATGGGAATTTAGAAAGAGTGATGGTATTGTAACAGGAATTTTGGTATTTTGCCTTCTTAATTCAGACTAACTGAAAGGATAATGACTGTAAAAGCATCTTGACTGTAATAGATACTGATACGATTTTCCTTTATAATTTTCAGATTATTTTTTATTTTAGGTGATTTTACACAGCTATTTATATGAATGAATTTATGAATTAAGGATGACAGAAATCACTTAAATTGTTTTAGTGATTTTTGGCATATTAGTCTGGTTTGAGAAGGAGGGAGAAAACAAGGGAATTGATTTTGTAATGTCAAACAGAACTTACAAATTTAGGACAGATTTACCTAGACCATTATGAATAAATAAATAGATCCTTTTAATTGGTAAGAAACTAGACCAAATTTAATATAGTTGATTTAGTACTAGTTTATGTTGATGATGTAGACAACTTCACCAAAGGAAGGGGAGTAGTGAATAAATTAGTTATAACTTATTTTACTGTAAAGTAATGTTAATTGTTAGAATAATTATAGGAAATATTTGCTTACCAATAAATATGACTTTGACAGTCTTACAATGATGAATTCGTTTTTGTTGAAATAGCAGACAAAACAGACTTTTTCGTTTTGTTCACTTATTCCTAGAATCCATTTTAGTCTCTAGTTTTTGTTAGTATGTATCACCTACCTTAACTATTTTTCTTTTTGCCAAAACAGAAAGAATGCGGCTTCCGTTGATATACTGGAGTCACTTAGAATATCAATATCAACACTACAGAGAAAGGAGAAGGAAAGGAAGCAATATACCATTGTCAGTGTGCTTTTCTCTTCTGAGGCTTTCATCCTTCTTGTGTTTTCTCTCTTAACATTGGCCCATAGCTAGAAGACATTGAGGTCCTGCCTTACTGCATTTTTATCTTAGCCATGAGCAGCATACCCCATACTATATTTAGGTTGATAAATTTTCAATAGTAAAATTCTTCATAGTGAGCAGCCTCTTCTAGGCTGTCGCCACCCCTGCCTTACCCTATTTCACTGTGGAAAGCTCACTTTCTTGGTTGAAGCATCTCCCTGTTTGAAGTCCAGCTTTGGGGAAACCTAGAATGGCCTTAGGACCATCAGTGTTACAAGACTCAGTAGTGCCTGAGTCATACTTAGCTTTTAAAACATGTTTATAGCTTTCACTTTTTATGGGTAAATAGCCCTTTTATTATCAACACAGTACTTTTCTCTTTTTCTTAAAAATGACCAATTTCACCACTGATAGAGTTAATTTTTGTCATCTGTTAAACATGTTTTCCCATGACTTTGGGTTCTTCTTCATTTCATATGTGATTTTGTGTGCATATGTATGCATGTGTGTGTGGTTTCCTTTTTTAGAACAAGATGTATTTCTTTGAAGATGAGACTCAATGGGCCATTTGCTGTTTTTCTTTCCTCATCTAGGGTACCTTCAGTTTAGCTCACAGTTGTCTTTCTTCCTAATGGTGTGGGTAAAAATGACTGACTCTGTTCAATATTACAGATTGAAAATAAAACCTGTGATTCCTAGCCTCTTTATTTTATACTTCTTTATTTTAAAGTCTAACATTTTTCTTTCTTTATGCTTTCTTTTTTCTATCATGGAGATAACTTAAGATGTTTATTTAGTTCTATAGGTATTCTGTTTCTCCTGAAAACTTATACTTATCGTTTTACTTCTCTTCCTTTATTATGTTCATGTTCAGTTAGTCTACAGCAGATCTTGTAACGTTCGACTGAATTCTAGTTCCACTAACGATAAGCAAGTATAGCATTTCTTCTTAAGTGAATAATTTCTTCCATATATTTGATGTGGATATGATATTATATGCTGCACTCTTGGTTGTATCTTTTCAGGTATATTTCTTTTTCTCAGAGAAATCTTTCAGTTTGTATCTTTTCTAAAATGGGGTTTTTCTTACGTTGGGTTTTTATTATTGCTGATTACTGGATATTGTTTATTCTTTGGATGCTGTTGATATTCACCTATCATGAAAGTAAACTTTCATGGTTAATCATTTTTTTCTATTACGTAATGAAGCAGGATATTTCCCTGACTCCTTTGTGGGACTCGCAACAGGGGTGCCTTGTTTACCCAGCCTACCACCCTTCCACCCTATTTTTTTTTTTTTTGAGAGGGAGTCTTCCCTCTGTCGGCCAGGCTAGAGTGCAGTGGCGCTCACTGCAAGCTCCGCCTCCCAGGTTCACGCCATTCTCCTGCCTCAGCCTCCCTAGTAGCTGGGACTACAGGCGCCTGCCACCGCACCCCGCTAATTTTTTGTATTTTTGTTAGAGACGAGGTTTTGCCGTGTTAGCCAGGATGGTCTTGATCTCCTGACCTCGTGATCCGCCCGCCTCAGCCTCCCAAAGTGCTGGGATTACAGGCATGAGCCACTGCGCCTTGCCCCAGCCCACCACTCTTAACTCCTTGTGGAAGGGAGTGCACAAGTGAACGGGTGTGGGAATTGGAGTGAATGAGTACTGAAACCAGCCGGCTGCTTTGGCGCCAGAGGGCTCAACCTCCACTCACTCAGACCCACTGCGTTCTGCCCCTCGCAGGAGGGAGTGCGCATATGAGTGGGTGCCGGAACGGCCGGATGCTTTAGCCACAGCAGGAGTGAACTCTCTGCAGGCCCCACAGCAGTGTCCAGGAGCGGGTGCCTGCGACTATTGAAGCTCCAGAGGGTGTGTTACAGTGCTCTTTTAGCTCCGCTGTCCGTGGACAGCTTAAGTGCTAACAACTCAGTGGACCCTTTGCCTTCTTTTTGTGAAGTGGCAGCCCTCTGCCAGTGAGGCCAAAGGGCCACTGTGAAAGCCTTTTGTATCCACACTTGTGGCTCCTGAGCTCTTGTCTGGCGCCCAGGAAAAATGAGGTTACATGAATGAATTGAAAGATGGTAAATGCAGGGGATTTTATTGGAAATGAAAGGGACTCTCAGTGGAAATGGAAGCTGAAAAGGGGACAGGGTGGGTAGGTAATCTTCCCCTGGGAAGTTCAGCCATCTCTGGCAAGATTCTTCTCTGTAGTAATGCCATCAAGCTGTCCTTCTGAAGTCAAGCCACCTCTCTCCAATATCTAGCCATCGTCTTGTCTACCAGCTGAGTCTGGGGTTTTTATAGGCACAGGATGGGATGGGGCAGGACCGTGGGTGATTTAGGAAAAGGCAACATTTGAGCCAGAAAACGGAGATATAAGCTCTCACTTTGGGCCATGGTTACAGGCTTTTTGGCTTGAGGGTGAGGTTATGCTGGGGACCCACCATTTTCTGCCTAGAATTTCTCTGTCCCCCGTTCCTGTCAATAATATGCATTTCTTAAATATCTTTAGTTTCTCCTATGGTAATATTTTGTTTTCATATGAGTTCCTTCTCATTCTTAGATCCTATTTATGCTTCTTTGCTTTAGGATAACTTATTGACATATAAGTGGTATTTATTGAATACATCTAATTTTTAGAAAATTTCAGCATTCAGTGCTGTCACAAAGTTAATTAAGTTCATAGTCCCCCTTTAAAATACAGTGTTTCCAGGTAAGATGGACTAATAGGGATGGTCTTTCCACCTAAGACAACTAAAGAATGGGACGAAATAATGAAACCACAGTTCTCAAGACATTTGCCGTCAAGCAGCAAAAGACATTGATCCCCAAGGGATGGGAAACAAATTAGGCGAGATCATGCGGTTGCTCTAGCTCACACCTAGAGAGGGTTTGTAGGGATGGAACAAAGCAGTGGAACCCAGGAGGAGCCTAGAGATTTCTCTGTATTGAAGAGGTAGAGCTAGCTGGGAGATTGGGGGGCCAAGGCAGCTAGAGTTCACAAGGTAGAGTATGAGAAAGGAGAAAGCTGCAAGAGACAGAAATTCACAGATCTGTAGAAATTGCTTTCAATAATTCAATTGACTACTGATCAATACATGCCTGTAAGGAAACTATGGGAAGCTGCGGAAGAACCACCAAAAAGGAATTGAGGGAATAATATAATAATTAGAGCTCACACATGGTTAGGAGTAGGGCCTGAATCCATCAGACAAAAAAACTTCATAATTCAACAGGTATGTCAGGTAGAGGACTTCCAACGTTCTAGTTTTTATTTCTAGATGTTCAACTTGGGTCTTTTTTGTCTGTGTCTTAATATACTTAACCTTTCTTCTGGCTTTTAGTACATATGGAACAGATATATAATAACTTTTAATGTCCTAGTCTCCTAATTCTATCAACCCTGTCATTTCTGGGTTGGTTTTGATTGATTGATAGCTTTCCTTCTGGCTCTGTTTTCTTGCCTTAGTTTTTTTAACCTGCTAGTTAATTAATTGATGCATATCAGGCATGTAAAATAAGACACTGTAAATTGTGCCCTGTTGGGTGCTGGACATTTTTATATTCCTATATTCTTTTTTTTTTTTTTAAGAGATGGGGTCTTGCTCTGTTACCTGGGCAGTAGTGCAGTAGCATGGTCATAGGTCATGGCAGTATTAAACTCTTGGGCTCAAGTGATCCTCCTGTTGCAACTTCTTGAGTAGTTGGGACTACAGGTGTGTACCACCAGCCCTAGTGCCTGCAGATATTTTTGAACTTTTTCCTGGTCTGTATTGAAGTTATTTGAAAGTGTTTTTTAACTTTTAGGTATTGCTTTTAATCTTTGTTAAGTGTAACCACTTAATTTAATTTTCCCCACTACTGAGGCAAAACCCTTCTGAATATTTTATGCTTCATGAATTATGAGACTTTTCCATTCTGGCTGTTGGTTACAGATGTTAAATTGAGGATCAGATTGTCCTTTCATGGCTTGTTTTTAAGCTCTATTGGGATCATTATAGAGTCATCTTTATTCTAGGGCAAATTTAGCCCTCCTGAGGTCTGTACCTATGGCCTAGAGTGTAAAGAGATGTCTCTGCTGTGGCTGGATGGAACTCAGATGTCTCCAAGCTCAGTGTCAGCCCAGAGTTGTTCATATTATAGCTCCTGGAGGATGTTTTTTGTCTGACTTTATGGAACTTCACCCTAAGCATGTGTAGATTAGTATTTAGTTGATGACTCAAGTGGACCCCAATGTACATATCTGTAGCTTTTTTCTGCTTAAGTTTCTCCTTTCTGGTATATCATTCTAGTAATTTTTGCCACCTCCACTGTTCCAAACTCTGTTCTTTTCAAGTTAGCAAGACTGCTGTATTCTGCTTTGAATTTCCCTCTTGGCAATGGTGTCTAGAACATGTCTCTAGGCAGAAAGCCAGGGTGGTCATAGGCCTTATCTAGTTTGTTTTCTTGTTTCAGGGAACACAGATCTACACTAATTGTTGTTCACTATCTGGAAACTGTCATGTATTTTGTCTGGTTTTGCAGTTGCTTACCATCTGAGGGTAAATCTGTTACCAGTTATTCCATAATGGCTGGAAGCATACATTTCACACTATTGGATTATTGAGGAGTTTGGCAAAGACTTTTGGGTGAAGTTACAGGAAAGAATTACAATAAACCTTTGCTGACTTTAGACTTGATGGCTGTTTAATAATTGTATGTTTATGGGCTTTGGGAGTAGTTGACTATGTCTTCTTCAAATAGATGTATGAGATAATGTAAATAATAAAGCATTATACAGGCTGGGCATGGTGGCTCATGTTTGCAATCCCGGCACTTTGGGAGGCTGAGGCACGAGGATTACTTGAGCCCAGGAGTTTGATACCAGCCTGGGCAACATAGCGAGACCCAGTCTCTACAATAAAGTAAAACAAAATAAATTTTAAAATCTTAAAAAAAAAGAAAATAGTTGTGTTACCTTTGTGGTGGGAGGAGTTTAAGTTGGTGATATTGCTTTTATATTAGTTGTAATTGCCTAAAATTGTTTTCAGTAGACTTTGATGTCATTGGAGAAAAACTGCTTCTCACAATTAATAATGTCAATCAGAGAAAAATCTCATGTTGTTGACATAAGAGTAAAGCAAGTGGCAGAAACACACATTTCTATAGAATATATTGTGTCTTTGTACTGTTCTTGGGTTTTTGTACTTGGTGACTTGCGCATACTACACACTCAGTGAACATTTGATGTGCGAATCTTTATTAAGGCCATTTCACTTTTCAGTTAATCATATTGATTACTGTGTGCCAAACATGATACTGGATGAGGGAGAGGCAGCAACAAATGAAGTAGGAGAAGGGCCCCTGATCAAAAGACTGCATGAGATGGTGCATGTATAAGGCAGCAAAATACTCTACTGAAGATTAATGGAGTATAGAATGATTATGTCAGCTCTCAGGCAGGGAGGTATAGAGGGGCTGGATTTTGAGAAAGTTGATGGATATGCATTGATTGATAAAGGAGAAAAAAATCCCTGTTTTTTAAAAAAAGGAATGTTGTATTGCAGGGTGACAACTGAGAATAAACAAATTGTTCTATGGAAAGAAAGCAAAATTAAATTGGTGTTAGTGGAAGTTTGTGTAGAAGATAGTAAGAAACTAGGTTATGTAGCTAACCGAGGTGTCATACAAAATCGAGGGGAAATACAAAAGATTTTGAGCTTTGGTCTGAAAAGAGGTACACTTCTGAATGCCTTTTATGTTAAAAGATAGACAAAGTTAAAGAATTTTATATTCACAAAGCAAGTTATATGAGCGCTAACTTATTGTAAGTTGAACTATGAAGCAAATTAAACCACTGAGTGTTACTGAGTTTGGGTATAATTTGCAAAATGAAAACCCATTTTTTGTTGACATTTGGAAAGTGCTTACAGAATAAGTCAGTGTACAAAATAAGTGAATTTGCATGTTATGACTGGCTACATAAAGAAAAGTTAAAGGTATTTAAAAAATTATATAATAATGCTAACTGAAGCTTGAGTAGGGCTGAATTTCATATATTTTTATTTTGTTTCAGGTTGCTGCTTTTGCTCAGAGGACATCCATGACCCTAATGGTCTTTTTGTTCAAGATAAAGTGATTTTTTGCCTTTGTTGATTAACTGGACAAATTCAGGTTAGTGTATTTTGTGGACAGCACTTCCCTGTTCTAATTATATGTTAATATTTTGAGAAATAGATAATTTTGTGGTTAAAGCTACATGTTATGTACCAGTAAAGCAGAAAGGCCAAGTCAGTCTAAACTCTGTTGAATTGTGTATTAGTTAAGAAACATTTTCTTACTGCCTACTATATACAATATTCACTGCATAAATTGAAAAAAATTTACTTCCTTTTAAATAGTTTTGTACTTTAAATTATGGGGCTGGATAAAACAAGTTGTGGTTGAATGCGGTACACTGAACTTTTGGCATCGTTGTGTGGCATATTTGGTGCTAAAAATAAGCAACTCATCTTAAACATTTCTGACATTTTTAGTAGCTGGCTTTTAAAGGTATTCTTGTCCAGATTTCAGTCCTACATTAACATTTTTATTTATTTTTAGTGTTCATTCTATTAATTTTGACAAATATATATCACCACAATTAAAACATTCTCTAAACCTTCCAAATTTGCTCGTGTTGCCTATTTGTAGTTAACCTCTCCTTATACCTCAATCCCTAGCAATCACTGATCTGCTTTCTATCCCTGTAATTTGCCTTTTCCAATGTTATTTAATTGGAATCATCTAAGATGTAGTTTTTAAATCCTGGCTTTCACTTAGAATAATATATTTGAGGTTTATTCATGTTGCTGTGTGCATCAGTAGTTGTGTATCAGTAGTTTGTCCTTTTTTATTGCTGAGTAGTGTTCCATTTTATGGATATACCATAATTAGTTTATTCATATACCTGTTTATGGATATTTAGGCTGTTTTTAGTTTTTGATGATCATAAAACTGCTGCAATCATACATTAAAAAAATGTGACTCTATGTTCTTTAAAAAATTTGGTGGGGCATGGTGGCTCAAACCTGTAATCCCAGCACTTTGGGAGGCTGAGGCGGGCGGATCATGAGGTCAAGAGATCAAGACCATCCTGGCCAACATGATGAAACCTCATCTCTACTAAAAATACAAAAATTAGTTGGGTGTGGTGGTTCACGTCTGTAGTCCCAGCTATTTGGGAGGCCGAGGTAGGAGAATCGCTTGAACCCGGGAGGCAGAGGTTGCAGTGAGCCGAGATCACACCATTGCACTCTAGTCTGGTGACAGAGTGAGACTCTGTCTCAAAAAAAAAAAAAAAATTTTTTTTTGCATTGATGCATGTTAGGTGTACATACTTATATTCAGGGTACATGTGATAATTTGATACCTTTATGTAATAAAATCAGGGTAATTGGAATATCCGTTAACTTAAATATTCATTTTTTCTTTATATTAAGAAAATTTGAATTATTCTCTTCCCTAGCTATTTTGAAATGTACAGTCAACTAAGTAAGGTTAACTATAATCACCCTATTGATCTATTGAACACCAGGTCTTATTTCTTCTAAGTGTATGTTTGTACCCATTAGTCAACCTTTCTTCATCCCCTGACCCCATGTATTTTTTACTAATAGAAATTACTTTTTGTTGTTGCTACTGTTAAAGCGCTGTGATGATTTAACTATTGCCTTTTAGGCCATGGTTGCATTTCTTTTTTAAAATGTTATTAAAACATAATGAGAACACAATTTAACAGACATTGTGGCTAGGGGAAGAAACTTGCAATTTATGGTCATTTTGAGTATAGAAAGAGAAATGATGTAAAATTATTAGAAAGGGGATCTATTGGAACTTGTGGTGTTCCCTGATTTTGGAGATACTAGGTAGCCTTCTTGAATATAGTGGTAGTGTAGCAAGACGAGCTGCAGACAAAACCTCTCAGACACCGAGTTATAGAAGGAAGGGCTTTATTCAGCTGGGAGTATCGGCAAGCTACTGCCTTAAAATCTCAGCTCCCTGAGTGCACAATTTCTGTCCCTTTTAAGGGCTCACAACACTAAAGATTTCACATGAAAGGGTTGTGATTGATTGGAGCAAGCAGGGGGTACGTGACAGGGGCTGCATGCACTGGTGGTCAGAGTGAAACAGAACAGAGCAGGGAGTTTCACAATACAGTGCCTGAAATCTATGTGTAACATCGGGTTCTAAGTCATGAGTTGATTTTTAACTACTAGGTTTAGGCCAGGCAGGCCCAGGCCTGGTTTTGGGCCTGGTGCCGGGCTGCCTGTCTTTGATTTCACTTCCTTGTTTTTTTTCTTAAAACAGGTACTGAGGCCGGGCGCGGTGGCTCACGCCTGTAATCCCAGCACTTTGGGAGGCCGAGGCGGGCGGATCACGAGGTCAGGAGATCGAGACCATCCCGGCTAAAACGGTGAAACCCCGTCTCTACTAAAAATACAAAAAATTAGCCGGGCGTAGTGGCGGGCGCCTGTAGTCCCAGCTACTTAGGAGGCTGAGGCAGGAGAATGGCGTGAACCCAGGAGGCAGAGCTTGCAGTGAGCCGAGATCCTGCCACTGCACTCCAGCCTGGGCGACAGAGCGAGACTCCGTCTCAAAAAAAAAAAAAACAAAAAAAACAGGTACTGAGTGTAAAACAATATAAAACAACATGAGAGGGTCTCTCTTCCCTCAGTAGACCAGAAATATACAGGTAGATTAATAACGTCAAGCCTCATATAGGTAGCTTCAAAAGTCATCTAGAAAAGTCAAGTAAATTAGAATTCTATATTAAAAACATACTTAAAGAGGGTAAAGGTTGGGCATGGAAAAGTCAGTTTAAACTTTCTTGAATGAATATGTAGGATGAAAGTGATAGAAACTGTCTTTCTGCCTTGGGGAAATTAATGACCTCAAAAAGTAGCTTGAAACCCTATTTGAATATTTATAAGGAAACTGTAGTTCATTATTTGTTATAGAAATAAAAAGGTCTTGAGAAAGTATTATGCTCTGACTCAGAAAATGTAGGATGGTTTAGACTCTAGCTTCTAAGCCTGGACATTAAAAGACTTACTGCAACTTTAAATTGTTTTCTTGTTTCTGAACATTTTTAGATGAATTATGTAATTTTCATAGTATCTCTGTAGATACGTGGCCTGCTGTATTGTGTTCTCAGAAAACATTTCTTTAAAACCTTTTTTTCCTTTCCTTTCTTTTCTTTTCTTTCTTTTTTTTTTTTTTTTGAGACAAGAATCTCTCTGCCACTCAGGCTGGAGTGCAGTGGCTCAATTTCCGCTCACTGCAACCTTCACTTCCTGGGTTCAAACAGTTCTCATGCCTCAGACTCCCAAATAGCTGGGATTACAGATGTGTGTCACCATGCCCAGCTAATTTTTGTATTTTTAGAAGAGATGGGGTTTCACCATGTTGGCTAGGCTGGTCTCAAACTTCTTGGCTCAAGCGGTCTGCCCACCTCAGCCTCCTGAAGTGCTGGGATTATAGATGTGAGGCACTGTGCCCGGTCAGAGAACATTTCTTAAATAGACAAAACATTTTAGGCAGAGTCAGAGCATTTTAGAGCTATTTCTGAAAGAGAATAGTTATCTGTTC
Source organism: Homo sapiens (assembly GCF_000001405.40). Lineage (NCBI taxonomy): Eukaryota > Metazoa > Chordata > Mammalia > Primates > Hominidae > Homo > Homo sapiens. The sequence goes on from NC_000014.9 coordinate 65,459,175, forward strand.
AACGGGCAAATACAACACAGAGTCAAAGATAATGCTGTGCTCAGAAGTCATGATTTCTTCAGGATTTTAGGGTATTTAGATTTTAAACCACAATTCTAAGGTCAATATTTATGTAAAGTATTTATGAAAATAAAAGCCATATTTAAATTTAAATTTAATATGCTTTAATTCACATAAAATATTTTGAGGTTGTTACAAAATAAAAAAATTTAGATTTTTCTAGCTATATATTCAATATCAGCATATTTTTTGCATATTTGAAAATTGAGATTCTGTCTTGTACCGTTTAAATGGTAGCCTGTTTAACTTAAAATTAACTGCAAAAGAAATAAACAAAAACTGAGTTTTTGTAAATAATATTAAATTGAGTAATTTAACTTAATCCCACCCATTAGGTTAAGCAATGATCCCAGGATAAAGAGAGAGAGAGAATGATGAGTAAAATGAACCCTACACTGCAATGTCTCCAGATAGCTGTATGAGTAAAAGCTTACCATCTCAGCTCTTGGGTCTTTATTTTCTTATTTTAAAAAAAGGCGTTAAGGTCCACATTAAAGTCAGGTATAATTGGTAAAGTTTAAAACTGCTAGTCTCTTTTATTTCACGAACACTGCCAGGCCTTGGAAATTATTGATAAAACTTGATTCACTGTGAGAAACAGTCAAAAAATAATAAAAAAAATAGCATTTTATTTTAAAGTTAAAGAATAATAAAATAAAAATAAAAACTTGCTTGAGATACTTTTCTAGAAATGGAACATTTTACAATGAAAATAGGATCCAAACATATAAGTATTTACTTTTGGATATTTGATAGATAGGCTTGTTATAAGATTGTGACTCAGCTGAAGTGGTTTTAGTTTATACAGATTTTTGAGAGAAGAAAGTACACCTTTTTGCTCTATATGTTTTCTCTGGAAACATCTCATTGTATTGTACCAATTTTGTCTTGATTCTCTAAGAATCTTTTTAGTCTTTTAGGACAAAGGAAATAGGTATTGAGAGACATTTCTCTTCAATCCATGGATCTCTTCTGTTTCTGCACATTCGCTGAGCAGAGTACTGATAGCTTTTGTTGGGGGCTATCTTTTTCAAAGAAATCTGTTTAGCAAACAGCCTAGGAAGATAGAAATAGTGCTTCCATTAGGACAGATGGCACATTTCTTTGCTGTCCAGGATAATTAAGATAATCTCTCTAGGGAAAAAGGTTGGGCATATTTGCTTGTAGCTCCTTTTAAAGATTGGAGTTTCATTAAGCTCAGGTTTTCTTGTCCTGTAATGCAACCCACAGTATGTGCACTTGGTTTTCCTTTCATTGGCCTTTAGGAATTAGAGCTTGAGGAATCAGTAAAAAATATGGTACTCTGTCTATGCTATTGTTGTGAGTAGTAAACTGTTCTTTGTTTCTGATCTAGGAGTGTCATAACTTCTGCCAGGATTATCTGATGCTAGCTTACCAGCTACACTACTAACACATCCTATTGATAAAACAAAGCTGAGTTCATTGCTTATTGTGGTAAGGGAGAACACCTAAAAAAATCTTTGGTAGGGTCTTAGAGAGGTCAAAATTTGAGAATTTGAAGTTTGTTTTAAGTTGGATCTTTCAGTGGTGGCGATGAGGCTTGATTAGGATTGGGTAGGTATCATGATAAAACAGTTTAGGTTTGGTGGAAACAGTAAGATTTTGAAAACTGCCGAAGAGTTGATGGGTCTTTCCAGAAGGTCTGTAATGAACAATCACATTATATTTCTGCTGTCTCCTAGAATAGCAGTTATGCTAATTAAGACAGTGGACTGGTAAAGTCATGTTAATGTACCTAGAAAGCTGTGTGTGTGTGTATTAGTTTTCTAGGGCTGCTATAACAAAGCACTGTAAACTGGGTGGCTTAATATAGCAGAAATTTATTCTTTCAGTTTTGGAGGTTAGCAGTCTGAAATCAAGGTGTTGGCAGGGCCACACTCTCTCCGAAGGCTCTAGGTAAGAATCCTTTCCTTCTTCTTTTAGCTTATGGTGGATGCCAGAAATCCTTGGTATTTCTTGACTTTTGGTAGCATAACTCCAATCTCTACCTCAGTATTCACATGACATCTTCCCTCTGTGTGTGTTTGTGTTCAAATGTCCTTCTTATAAGGATTCCAGTCATGTATTAGGGTCCATCCTAATCCAGAATGACATTATATCAACTTGATTATATCTGCATAGACCCTATTTCTAGCCGTTACACATTTTGGGAGGACACTTATTTAACTCAGTATAGGGGACATGTAGTTTCAGTCTTCAGTGCCCAAACTGTATGTAGGTACAGTGTTTGCTCTCAGTGTCCATGAAACTATGGCAGACTGATGTTAGCTTGCATGTAGGGTAAAATCTTAGGTTCTTCAGAGTTCTTGACAACAGCATGGTATAGTAGAAAGAAAACCAGTCTGGAAGTCAGAGTACCTTAGTTCTGCTCTGTTAATAACTAGCTTAAGAAAGTTACTGTCTTCTTTAGCTATTAGTTTGTTACTGATACACCAGGAGTTCAGTCTAGGTCCTGCTGCTTGCTGCATAGAAAGCCAATCACTGAGACAATGAGTATTGCCAAGGAAGAAGGCTTTAATCAGGGGCGGCAGCTGAGAAGATGGGAGCTTGGTCTCAATTCCATCTCCCTGACTGACTAAAACCAGGGTTTATATAGCAGGGAAGACATAGATTTTAACAATGTGTAAGAAAACAGGAACTTGGGAGGAGGGGCGAGGAAGCAATAATGGTGAATGAGGGGTCTGGCATCTGGTAGGGTGATCTGGTTTCAGTTCTTTGATACTTTTTGTGCCAAAAGAACAGTCTGTGGGACTATTGGGTTTGTTTCAATTTCCTCATAGATAAAATTTGAGGCCTGAGGAAGAGAAGAGTAAACCAAATGATCTTTAAGACATTTCTAGTTCTCACATTCTGAAGTTTTATAATGTTGAGTGGCTGCTACATACTGTATTAATATTAGTCTTGTTGGAGTCACAAAAAGGGAATAGAAAATGCTTTAAGTGCTAATCAGATAGGCTCTAACTTGTGAATGTAGCTTGCGTAAATTAATTTGTTTATTTGGGTGAAGCTAATTAATGAAGACATTAGGTAAACATGATGTTTGCCCTGATCTCTCTGACTTACCATTTTGTTTTTCAACTTGAATAGTGTATTTGGAAGAAGAGCATTCTTCAGGTCACTTAAAGTTAGAAAAATGCTGCACTCTCAGGCTGAGTTCATAAAATGAAATAACCTTTCCTGAAGTGAATATGAGAATGTGGTTCCCCTTCCCCCTTCATTGCCCACGTTTGTCTGTCATGTCATTCTTGTGGTCAAGAGATTTTAGAAAAATTCTTACTAGAGAATGGTAATAGTACTGTGAGGTGGAGCATGGTGTTAGAATTCTAGGTGTAAGTGAATCATGTGCTATTGAATTTTCTTTGCGTTTTAAATAGGTCACTGTAGTATCGTATTTGAATTCTTTGTTTGAATCATGTTGAAAGTATGTAATAATTACTGCACAGAGATATTGTGGGCACTGAAAAATTCTTTGGTACTACCAAAACCCCCTGTGGTCATGTATGTGCTTGTTCTTTGAAGTTACAAATGAACAATGACTACATATTGATGATAAGTATAAATACAGGTTGAACCAATGTTTTTAGATCTGGACAAAAGTTACTGAAGTAGGAGAAAGGACGGATTTTTATTAATTCCATATGGAAGAAATTCAAAACCATATACCAGGGGGAGATAGGATTGTCTCACCACTTAACTTAAGGATCTTCCTGTATGTAGCCCTTCCATCACACACAAATTGTACTAAGTGTTTTCATAGTGGATATTTGGGCAATTCAGAGACTCTCACTACATGTTGTAACAATGGTAATGTATTTAATTAATTTTAGAAGATACATTAGAATATAGAATTAGCAGTAACACTCCAGCAATACCTGAAATAAAATGTGTTAAAACAGACAGAATATAGAAATTAAATAGACATAATTACAATAATAAAAAGATATACCTCTATCATATTTCTATTCACATTTCTATTCTAGTCAATTAAAAGAGTAGGAGAATTTTTTATCTTTCTTTATTAATTTTTTTGAGACAGGGCCTCACTCTATTGCCCAGGCTGGAGTGCACTGGCGCAGTCACGGCTCACTGCAGCCTTGACCTCCTTGGCTCAGGTGATTCTCCCACATCAGCCTCCTGAGTTGCTGCGATTGCAGGTGCACACCACCATGCCTGGCTAATTTTTTGCATTTTTTGTAGAGATGGAGTTTTGCCATGTTGCCCAGGCTGATCTTGAACTCCTGTGCTCAAGCAGTTCCCCACCTCAGCCTCCCAAAGTGCTGGGATTACAGGAGTCAGCCACCGTGCCTGGCTAATATATTTTCTTAGTGTTAAAGAAAAGAATGTTAAGGAGTTACTCAGAAAGTAACTTGAACTTTTGGTGTGGGCTGTTTTGATGATTGTTGGGAAGATTTTCTTTTTTTCTTCATTCCTGGGGCCATGGTGGCTGATCATCCAAGCTTGGATTAAACTCTGTTCCTTGTACTTTTCCTTCTCATTTTAGGTTTTGGAGTCAGTATACTTATATTACCAAGAAAATAAGGTTCCTCCAACTTGTAAGAAATATTTTCTAGTTTCAGAGAATTATGAATTGGTAAAGATTGAAAAAGATGGTATGGATGTGTTTGAATTATTCACTTTTATGGTGTATAGTCTTCACTTTCCATGTTGTGTTTTGTTGGACTCAAAGATGCTTGAGAAGTTAGAGAGATTCTCCCTGGCTCCCCCAGCCACCCCTGCAGCCCCACTGGGGAAAAAAGGAAACAAAGGAGGAAAACCGTGTTGAACACATATTTTTTCTTAAGCACCTATACTGGATTAATGTATTACTGTGAAAGTTGTTTAATTGGAGTTTTTTTAAAATAGATTTTTATTTCTTAGGGCAGTTTTAGGTTTACAGAGAAATTGTAATTTCTTACAGAGAGTTCCCAAATATCTCCCCCTTTTATCTTACAATCTGTAGTAATTGCTTATTATTTCCAGGAGTTTGTTGGTCAGTACTTTGGGTTTTTTTTTTTTTTTTTTTTACATAGATGATCATGTCATCTGCAAATAGAGAGTTTTATTTCTTTCTTCTCAATTTGTGTACCTTTTATGTCCTTTTCTTGTTTTACTGCATTAGCTAGGATGTCCAGTATGATGTTGAATAGGAGTGGTAAGAAGGGAAGTCCTTGCCTTGTTCCTGATCCTACGGGGAAAGGATCTGGTTTCTTACCATTAGGTATGGTGTTTGCTGTAAGTTTTTTGTAAATTTTATTTATCAAGTGGAGGAAATCCTCCTCTATTTCTAGTTTGCTGAGAACATGTAATTATTAACTGATGTAGAATTTTATCAAATACTTTTATTGCATCTATTGATATGATCTGATTGTATGATTTTTTTTTTCTGTTTCCTGGATTACATTAATTGACTTTTAGATGTTGAACCTACCTTGCATACTTGGAATATACTCTACTTGGTCGTGGTGTATAATGTGATTTGCTGAGATTTTTGAGAACATTTGCCTCTGTGTTCATGAAAGATATTGTTCTGTAATTTTCCTTTCTTGTAAGGCTGTTGCCTGGGCTTATGATCGGGGTAATGTTGGCCTCTGAGAATGAGTTAGAAGTGCTCACTCTGCTTCTACAGATTGTAGAATATTGGTATCATCTGTTCCTTAAATATTTGATAGAATTCACGAATGAATTATCTTGAGTGTGGTGCTTTCTGTTTTGGAAGATTATTAATTATTTATTCAGGTTTTAAAAATTGATTTAGGCTTATTCAGATTATTTGTTTCTTCTTGTGTGAATTTTGGTAGATTGTGTCTTTTAAGGGATTGGTCCATTTCACCTAAGTTATCAAATTTAAGGGCATAGAACCAGCTTTGAGTCTTGTTGATTTTCTTTGTTTTCCTGTTTTCAATTTTGCTCTGATTTTTGTTGTTTTCTTCTGCTTCCTTTGGATTTAATTTGTTCATTTTCTGGTTTCCTAAATTAAAAGCTTAGATGATTAATTTTACCTTTCTTCTTTTTTAACATATACATTCAATGCTAAAAATTAATCTCTTAGTCCTGCTTTGCTGCATCCCACATTTATTTACTTACTTACTTACTTATTTATGAAATGGGGTCTCATTATGTTGCCCAGGCTGGTCTAGAGCTCCTAGCCTCAAGTGATCCTCCTGCCTTAGCCTCCCAAAGTGCTGGGATTACATGTATGAGCCACTGTGCCCGGCCATAAATTTTGGTGTTTTATTTTCATGTACACTTAGTTTAAAATATTTTATAATTTCTCAAGACTATTTTTTTGATCTACGAGTTATTTGTAAGTGAGCTGTTTAAACATCTCCAAATATTTTGAGATTTTCCAGCTATGTTTTTGTTTAACTAGTTTAATTCCATTGTGGTGTGTCTATTTGTATGGTGTCTATTCTTTAAAATTTGTTAAGGTATATTTTGTAGTCTCTCTTTGTGAAATGTTCCCTGTGGATTTGAGAAGAGTGTGTATACTGCTGTTGCTGGATGAAGTGTTCTATAAATGTCAGTTAGATCTAGTTGATTGATGGTGTCATCAGTTCTATGATACCTTCCTGATTTTCTGCTTCTGTCAATTACCGATAGAGGGTTGTTGAAGCTCCAACTATGATATTGAATTCATGTGTTTCTCCTTGTAGTTCTATCAGTTTTTATTATACCTTATGTATTTTGACACTCTGTAGTTAGGTACATACATATAAAGATGATTATGTCTTCTTGGTGAATAATAACAGATTGACCATCTGTTATTAGGTAATGCCCCTCTATCACTGATAATTTTTCTTGGCCTTAAGCTTGCTCTTTCTGAAATTTTTATAGCCATTCCAGGTTTCTTTTGATTAGGTTTAGCATAGCCTATCTTTCTCCATCCCTTTACTTTTAATCTGTCTTCATCTTTATATTTAGAGTGGGATTTTTGTAGACATCATATAGTAGGGTCTTGTCGTTTGATTTGCTCTCGACAGCATGTGTCTTTTAACTGGTGTATTTAGACCACAGATGTTTAAAGTAATTATTGATATAGTTGGATTAATGTCTACTGTATTTATAACTGTTTTCTACTCATTGTCCTTGTTCTTTCTTTTTTCGTCTTTCACTTTGTCTCTGCCTTCTTCATTGTAATTCAGCATTTTATATAATTCCATTTTGTCTCCTGTTTTAAAATATAAATTATACTTAATTTAAAATTATCTTTTAGGCTGAGGATGGTTGCTCATGCCTGTAATCCCAGCACTTTGGGAGGCCAAGGCGGGTGGATCACCTGAGGTCAGGAGTTCGAGACTAGCCTGGCCAACATGGTGAAACCCTGTCTCTACTAAAAATACAAAAGTTAGCCAGGTGTGCTGGCGCACGCCTGTAATCCCAGCTACTCAGGGGGCTGAGGCAGGAGAATTTCTTGAACCCAGGAGGTGGAGGTTGCAGTGAGCCAAGATCGCACTACTGCACCCTAGTCTGGGCGACAGAGCAAGACTGTCTCAAAAAAAAAAAGAATAAAATGAAATTATTTTTTAGTTGTTGCCCCACAGTTTGCAATAATTACACAGTTAAACTGATCCAAGTTCACTTTTTAAATAACACTTTACCACTTCATGGGTAGTGCAAATACCTTACAACTTAGTATTGTCAGTTCCTTTTTCCCATTCCTTATAACATTACTTTTATTTGTTTTACTTTTCCATAATTTACAGTCACTAAATATATTGTTGCTATTATTATTTTGAACAAGTTGTTATCTGTTAGATGAATTAAGGATCAGAAAAACAAAAGATTTAGTTTTACCTTTATTTTTTTCCTCTACACTCTTCCTTTCTTTTTGTAATCCATATTTCTGATCTATATAATTTTCCTTCTTTCTGAATAACTTCTGTTAACATTTCTTGCAAGTCATGTTTATTGGGTTTCATTTCTCCCAGTTTTTATTTCAGAAAGTCTTTATTTCTTCACTTTTGGAGGATACTTTTGCTGGGATTCTATAGGCATTCTAGTTTGGTATTTTATTTTATTTTTTTTAACAGCCCAGAGGTCTTATTTTATTTTATTTTTTTGAGATGGAGTCTCATTCTGTTACTCAGGCTGGAGTGCAGTGGCACGATCTTGGCTCACTGCAACCACTGCCTCCCGGGTTCAAGCGATTCTCCTGCCTCAGCCTCCTAAGTAGCTGGGACTACAGGTGCGCACCACCACACCTGGCTAATTTTTTGTATTTCTTTTCTTTTTTATTTTTGAGACAGAGTCTCACACTGTCGCCCGGGCTGGAGTGCAGTGGTGTGATCTTGGCTCACTGCAACCTCCACCTCCTGGGTTCAAGCGATCCTCCTGCCTCAGCCTCCTGAGTAGCTGGAATTAGAGGCGCCCATCACCACGCCCAGCTAATTTTTTGTATTTTTAGTAGAGAGGGTTTCACTATGTTGGCCAGGCTGGTCTCGAACTCCTGACCTCATGGTCTGCCCGCCTCAGCCTCCCAAAGTGCTGGGATTACAGGTGTGAGCCACCGTGCCCAGCCAGTCTAGAGGTCTTTTATTTTTTTTAACACCTGTTATGCTATGAATTCACAGGGAATAGGTTCCAGCAGCTCAGGCTCCTTCCCACTGGTTCTCACAAAGTGTGCTTCTCTGGATGGAGCAGGCTGGTGCTTCAGTAGAACCCGGGTACCTTTCTCTTTGGCTTCTTTCTTTTTCCGATCATTTTCCTTTACGTGTTTCAGGAAGCTATTTTGGCTCTTAGAGTGCTGAATGTGCTCAATACGCACATTAATTCTCTTGGCAAGAATCTTGCCCTTAACTTGTTTGTTGACAAGTTGTTTACAATACCAACAGCATGCTGAGTAACGTGTTTGTTTACAACTTGCTTACAGTGCCAACAGCATGTTGGGTAACACTGCAGACTCTTCCAGTTTTGCCATGATAACACTCGCGGAGCATTCCTTTTTGAATAGTACCCATTCCCTTGATGTCTACAATATCACCTTTCTTATAGATTCGCATACATGTGGCCAAAGGAACAACTCCATGTTTACTAAAAGGCCTAGAGAACATATATCGGGTGCCTCTCTTCTTTCCCTTTGTGTTCGTCCTTTTGGCGAATTACTGGAAGATGGTGGTTCCGGCCGAAAGGTTGGATTTTTTTTTTTTTTTTTTTAACACTAAATATTTCACTTCACTCTTTTTGCTTGCATGGTTTCTGAAGAGAAAGTTTGATCTAATTCTTTATTTCTCTGTGGATAAGATGTTTTCTGTGTGTGTTGATTTTTTTCTTTACCTCTTGCTTCTTTCGAGATATCTTATTGGTCTTAAAGTTAATAAGGAAAAAACTAAAGTTTTGCTTTTGATTTAGTTTTCTCTTTGTCTTATTTTCTGCAGCTTCACTATCATTTGCCTATGTAAATATTTTGGTATTTATCTTGCTTGGTGTTCTCTGAACTTCCAGGTTTGGTGTTTCTTACTAAAGACATTCTTTCCTGTTACAGTGTTATTGATTTGTACACTCCCCTTCCTCGCCTCCCCTCTTCACTGTTTTTTCCTTCTCTTTACTCTTCCTTTCTTTCCACAGGATCTCACTCTGTCACCCTGGCTGGAGTGCAGTAGTGGCGTGATCATAACTCGCTGCAGTCTTGAACTCCTAGGCTCAAGTGATTCTCCCTCCTCAGCTTCTCAAGTAGCCAGGACTACAGGTGTGTGCCACCATGCCTGGCGATTAAAAAAAAAATCGTAGAAACAGGGTCTCCAATGTTGCCCAGGCCGGTCTTAGAAAAAAGGACTTAGCTGGGCATGGTGGTGGCATGCACCTGTAGTCCTACCTGCTTGGGAAGCTGTGGCAGGAAGATTGTTTGTGCCTAGGAGTTCAAGGCTACAGTGCGCTGTGAATCACCACTGTACTCCAGACTGGGTAACAGTGAGACCCTGTCTCAAAACATATATATAAAAAAAAATTCCTGGTGATAATTTGATAATTCCTGGTAAAAATTTCTGCCACATCCGAGTCTGTTTCCGAGGCTTGCTTTGTTTCTTCAGATTGTATTTTTTGCCTTTATAGTGCCTCATAATTTTTTTTCATAGCCAGACAGAATGTATCAGGTAAAAGGAACTGAGGTAAATAGGCCTTTAGTGTGAGGTTTTATGTTTATCTGTTTAGAAGTCAGGCTGTGTTTAGTGTTTGTTCTGGCTGTGGTATCGGAGGCAAATGTTACGGGATCTTTAAGGTGTTGCTTTTCTGTCTAGAAACCTCTGTGGCCAGTGGCGCCTTTGCCCGAGTTCTTGTCCTGTGTCCAGGAAGAATTATGTATGCAGACAAGTGGAGGGTGAGCAAGACAAAGAGAAGCTTTACTGAGTGTTAGAACAGCTCAGAGGAGAGCTGCAGAGGGCAGCCCCTCTCTATAGGCAGGTTGTCTCATCCAGTGTTCAGCTCTCAGCAGAGAGGAGGCCCTGGAGTGAGTGGCTCCTCTCTGCAGGCAGGTCCCCATTGACTTCCCAGCTCTCAGCAGAGACGATAGCTCCTCTCTGCAGCTAGTCATCTGGCTGTCTCTCTGGCCTCTGCCCTGCTCTGGCTGATCTCGGGGCTTTTATGGACCTCAGTGGGGAGGAAGTGTGTCAATTGGTACATCGGTGGCCATGGGTGGGCTGGAAAAGGCACCACAAGCCCCCACTGCAGTCTGCGGGACTGGCAGCCCGGTCCCCAACGTTCAGGCCCTCCCTGGCCTGAAGGTGGGGTCTATCTGGGGACGTGCCCCCTTCCACCCAGGAGCCTGTCTGCTTCCTGCCACTTTCCATGGCTCCCAGGCTGCTTGTGCCAAGGGGCACCTGCCTGCCAGCATGGAGCAGCTCTCCACCTCAGCTTCCTCAGAGGGGGCCTAGGCGGCAGGGCCTGAGCATGCGCATATCCTGTTGGGCTGTGATGATATCCAGGCTTGGCTCCAACCCCACTCTGAGAACCTGCCACATTGGAGCCGGTGCGGGAAGTGGCAGCGGGAACAGGCATTTCCGAGCCTGCAAAGGCAAGGGGGGCCTTCCTGAGCCCCCAAGAGCACACGGAGGCCTGGGTCCACAACCCTGACTTGGGTAGCTGCAGCTGTATGGGGTTGGGGGACAGGGCTCCTGCCTGTTTCCAGTCCCCAAGAGCACATGGAGGCCTGGGTCTACCACCCAGGCTTGGGTGGCTTGGGCTGCTGCCTGCTCCTGGCTCCCACTGGCACTGTGGAGCATGCAGCCCTGGCTCCGCCCCCTTTCAGCCTGAGACAGGGGCTCCAGATCCTTGCTGGACCTGGGCTGGGATCCGGGGCAGGGGTGACATCGCCGGGAGCTACCCCAGTTGCCCTGGCGCTTCAGTGGCCCAGGCAGAGCAGATAACTGTCCGGCCTGGCTGTTGGGAGTGGCAGGCTCAGCAGTCGCCTGATGTGGGGTGGACCCTGGGGATGTAGCCCCGGGCAGCCCTGCACAGAGCCTCCTCCTGAGGCCCAGGAACCTGGCACCCTCAGTGGGGTGGGCGCAGTGGCTGTGTCACTGGCTGGTCCCTGAAGTGGGCACCGCTCCCACTTCCTGCCTCAGGCCCCTGAAGCTCAGCCTCAGCTCTGCATCGGTCTGCTCTCTGCTTGACTGTGCTGCACAGAGGGCGGCGGGCTGTTGAGGGAGGGGGTCTGTCCGCCTCTCCCTGTGCCGTCCATGTACCAGAAAGCCACCGCCATCACTATTAGAGGCTAAAATTTCTTCTACTGTCCTTGCTTTTATCTGCCCTGTTGTCTTTGGGTTTTTGTAAAGAATCCTTAAATGGGGTCTGAGGCTTGCAGGTTTTTAAGTTGTAATCCTGTGTTGTACAAGAGCTGTACTGATGTGGTGGTAAGGGTAGAGGGATGAGGGGGAAAGTTCTATAGTCCTGTAATTAGATCTCAGGACTATAGAACTTTCCCCCTCATCCCTCTGCCCTCTACCAACTGTGAGCCTGAGTTGAGTAACTGTCTCTTTTTCTCGGTCAAAGGATAGATGGGGCTGGAGTTGGGTATTTCCCTTCCCTCCGGTTGGTTAGGCACTGTAAAACCGTAGTAGGTTAGGCAATCTAAAAGCCAGTTGGTTAGGTTCTGGTAAAATAGTTTCCTTTTCTGGAATACCTTTTAAGAGAAATAAAGTTCCTGGCGTATTTCAAAATGGTTTTTCTTCTTCCCCTGCTGCAAGCAGGAGGGGTTTTTTTTCAGATCTTTACCATGAGAACCTGGTAGGGCTCCTGGAGGTAAAACTCAGGAAAGTATGGGGACCCCTGTAAGACTGGTCCCCTTACAGTTTTTAACTCTCAAGCTAGTCCACAATTACTGTTTCAAGTGTTCCTACTGATGCTGGCTTCAGTTGAGAGCTTGTATTCCTGGACTTCTGCTTCCTGCACACTGTGATTCTCTATCTGCCTGTCTTGTCTCTCCAGGTTTTAGAGCAGCAGTTTGCCCTCTGACCTCAATTCTCTGATGGCTCTAAGAAGAGTTGGATTATCAGTTTTTTTTTTTTTACCCCCAGCTTTTTTTCTTGTCGTGAGGTTGGGAGTGATGAATTACAAGCTCTTTACAACTGTACTTAAGGTTATTTTTTGACCATTTTTGATGCTTTTGTAACTAGTCAAAAGACTTATTACAGTATCCTTTATCTCATTTGGCAGTATTGTTCATTAAGAATTTTATCTCTTTCTGACATCAGGTCTGCACATTTTGGGGATAATATATTCTAATTTGCAAGAAAGATTAAAAAACTTCTCCAGAGGGAAGTTGATCATAGGACTGATTCTTATTATTGATGAATTGACTGCCTTGTCTTGTTTTGTGTTGCTATGTAGGAATACCTGAGGCTAGGTAATTTATAAAGAGTTTGATTTACCGCACAGTTCTGCAGGCTGTACAAGAAGTATGGCACCAGGATCGGCTTGTAGTGAGGGCCTTAGGCTACTTCCACTGATAGCAGAAGGCAAAGAGGTGCCAGCTTGTGCACAAAATGAGAGAGGAGAAAAGGGTGGGAGGAGGGGCCCTGGCTCTTTTTAACAACCAGCTCTTGGGGGAACAAATAGAGTGAGACCTCAAGCATGCCTGAGGAAGAGCATTAATTTATTCTTGAGGGTTCTGACCCCTCCCCACCATGCCCAACAACATCTCCCATTAGGCCCCACCCCCAACATTGAGATCAAATTTCAACAGGAGGGACAATCATCTAAGTGATAGCATAGACTCAGGCTATTTACTATTCTGTTTTCAAGTATAGATTGAGGGCAACAGCAGCCTTTGTTTTCTATGTTGATGGCCAAAGGTTTATTTTTATATTCTTATACTGTAAAAAAAAAAACAACTTTATTTTTATAGCCTTTTTGGGTGTAGGGTCATGTCAGGCTTTACTAATTGCACTTCTGATAAGTATACTGATGATGCTGAGGATGGTTATTAAAGCCCTATGCTGATACTTTGGATTTATGGAACCAATTAATTTGATGACTCATTTACATTGAATTTCTTAATTAGTAGATTGCCCACTAATTATTTTTATGAGCACAGAATAAGGTAATGTTTATTCTTATTTTTTTTGTGATATGGTAAAAAACTTAGTTCATATAATGAATTTAGTGCTCAAATATCTTAGTAGAAATTGAAGTAGAAAAAGACATTGTTGTAAATTAAATGTAAGATATAATTTTATTTTCTTTAGAAAACTTTACATTGAAAAGATCACATTATAGATAATTTAGACAACTTATTTATAACTTTTATTTATTATTATTATTGAATGTAAAAGAATTACATGCAGTCCCATGATCTTAACATAACTGTGGTTACCATGTTGGTATATGTGCCTTTTAGTCCTTTTTCATACACAATTTTTTTTACAAAGTTATAATAATAATTTCTTTTCAAATTTGTGCCTTATTTCAGTTAACAGTGTAAATGTTTCCCATTTCTAACAATGTTTTCTCATTGAGTGAGGTACTGTTAGGTTGGTCAGACTGATAGTTTATTGTACGTATTGCTGTAATATCTTTGTACATTTAGCTTTTCCATGTTTGTACCATATCTTTGGGTTTTCAGAAGTCTGTCTCTCTCTCTGTTTCTCTTTTTGTCTGTCTTTTCTATCTCTCACCTTCATTTGGGGAGCATTTTGTGTTCTCTTTCACAGGACTAATTAAGTTTTATTGGATCTTGAAAAACGGGATTAGAAATTTTTTCTTACTTATATAATTAGAAAACAATGCTTTTGGACTTACATTGCCACGGCAGTTTACACAGTTTTATTCCCAAAAATTGTAGTTTTGTGACTAGGTGATAAAAATGATCTCCTATATGTGCCAAACTTGGTATTCTAGACACTCATACTTAGGATGTAAATTGACTGTAGTCCAATAATTTAATATGTTGTGTTTAATTCTTGTAATATTTTACTCACAAATTGAACTTTTCCTTACCAATTTAATGTTTGTAGGCTTAATTTGGCATCTTTGTCAGGATTATTAGACTTCTCTGCATTCTTCTGACTTCTCCCTAAACTAATGTTTAGAACTGAATTGGGTCCAGCAATTTAAGTGGAAAATCAGTATGACTAGAGACTTCTAGAAACTTCTGGTGTCACTGAGATGGTGAATTTGATGATTCTGACCCTACTTGCTCATCTGTAAAAGCTATTAGAGGATTGTTTTAAGCATTTCTATTCTATACAGGTATATGTACACCATGTAATACCACTCAGCCATAAAGAAGAATGAAATAACATTTTTGCAGCAATTTGGGTGGAGCTGTAGGCCATTATTCTAAGTGAAGTAACTCAGGAATACAAAACTGAATACCATATGTTCTCACAAGCGGGAGCTAAGTCATGGGTACGCAAAGGCATACAGAATAGTAAAATAGACTTTGGAGACTGAGACGCGGGGAGAATAGGAAGAAGATAAGGGATAAAAAACGATATATTGGGTACAATGTATGCTACTTTGGTGATGGGTGTAGTAAAATCTCAGACTTCACCACTATACATTTCATCCATGTAACCCAAAACCACTTGTACTCCAAAAGCTATTGAAATAAAAAAGATATTTAAAAAAAAAGAGGCCAGGCAGGTTGGTTCACGCCTGTAATCCCAGCACTTTGGGAGGCTGAGGCGGGCGGATCACTTGAGGTCAGGAGTTCGGGACCAGCCTGACCAACATGGTGAAAACCTGTCTCTACTGAAAAAAAAAAAAAAAAGCCAGGCGTGCTGGCTCCCACCTGTAATCCCAGCTACTCATGGGGCTGGGCGAATCGCTTGAACCTGGGAGGCAGAGGTTGCAGTGAGCCGAGATTGTGCCACTGCACTCTAAGAGCAAAACTCTGTCTCAAAAATAAATAAATAAATAAAAAATTAAAAAAGATCTTCTGTTGTACCTAATCTTCTAGCCTTATTATTTCTTAGAGATTTTATAAATCCATGTGGCTTTTTTACTCTTGTCATCTTCAAGTTATTTGCCAAGATTGAAAAATAACCATCTTTCTCCTAATACCTTGGTGAGCCTGAGAGAAGAAAATACTACACAGTTCATTTTATTGTAAAAGTAGTGAAATTTCTCAACTGATATTCATCCTTCATTTTTGTGGATTTGTTCAGGGAAGATAAGATTTATTGTTTATTTTTATTTTGCTGTATTGCCAGGCTGGTCTGGAACTTCTGAGCTCAAGCAGTCCTCCTGCCTCGGCCTTCCAAAGTGTTGGGATTATAGGTGTGAGCCACCGCACCTGGCTGGAAGACAGGATTTTTTTGGGAAAGTAAATATCACTTGAGAATATCTACTAGTATGGAATCTAAAGTTATGCATACAAGGATGATCTCATATTTCTTTGTATCTTGTTCCCAGTCTTTCCCCCAATCTTGTCTCGCTTTTTCCTCAACAAGCGTAGTTAACAACTACTATGAATTTGGAATACAAAATGATAACGACCCTGCCTTTAGGAAACTGACAATTTAGAAGGTCAACTAGAAATATAAGTTAATAATTACAGTACAGGAAGTCCCCTGATTTCCTCTATAATAACATGTCTCCCAAAATGTGATTGAAAATAAAAATTCCACATGTCATAGGCGTAGGAGGTATTTGGGTGTTTGTATGGAGAGTCATTTCACAGAGCTAAAATTTATTATTATAAAATACTCAATTCTAGTTCCTGGGCATGTTATCTCCTTTGGAATTAGAAATCTTAGTTGCTGCATAACATTAAAAGTGTCAGGATGATGCCTGTAATCCCAGCACTTTTGAAGGTAGAGGCAGAGCATTGCTTGAGGCCAGGATTTTGAGACCAGCCTGGGCAACATAGTGAGACCCTGTCTCTACCAAAAAATTTAAAAAAATTAGCCAAGCATGGTGGTGTGTGCATGTAGTCCTAGGTACTTAGGAGGCTGAGGCAGAGGATCGCTTGAGCTCAGGTATTTGAGGCTGCAGTGAGGCTGCAGTGAGGCTGAGCTCTACCATATAGAGCTCAGGCTCTATATGGTAGAGCCACTGCAATCCAGCCTCCGCAACAGAGTGAGACCTTGTCTTGGGGGGCAAAAAGTGTAAGGATGGGATTTCTAGGCATATTTGGGGCTGAGGAAATCAGTCTTGGGCCCAACCTCCTTGTAGGGGGTGAGGTGGCAACCTCTGGAATTTGAGGCCTGCTACTGGGATTGTAGGTATAGGAAGTTGAGAGGGAAAGGGTCTTTCTCACCCTGCTGTGGTAGTAAGAGCTTGGTGCTTAATGGGTGCCTTTTAGTTGTTTGATCACCTAGGATTTCTGCTTAGAACCCAGCAATACTTGTAGGCCTGCACAGTCCCAAGAGAGAAATCAGAGACTTGGTGATAAGTCAAGGGTAAGAGATGAGATAAGAGAGCACCTACACTATAGGATATTAGAACTACAACTCCAATTACTCCTTCACTCTCATCTTTTTCCCTCTCCCAGCTGCCAAGTATATGTGACTAGTGGTTTGTCCAGAGCAGGACTGGAGGATGGGGTAGGAAGAATTATTATTTTTTCATCATAGATCAGGATAGTGTCATGTCCCCCTAAACTTCAGGGAGGCCTGGCTTCATACCTCTTCTTCCAATTTCCTAGCATTGTGCAATGACAAAGCTTCATGCAGTAACTCAAAATCATTGTTAATAAGGTGATATCTAAAAGATTGAATTTGATGTTCTGAAGTTAGTGTGAGGATGTCAGTCTGTTAATGTGTGAAATGTTTTGAGCTGTGTGAAACTCAATTTTGCTTAGTGTGTTAAGTACAACTGAAGTAGGTGTAAAAGTCAGTAGTAGCACACAGAAAGGAGTAATGAATTGTGTCTAGAGGGTCAGGAAAGGTCTCACAAAGGAGAGGATCCTTGAATTCTTTGTTCAAGTGGTAGAGTTAAAGAAGTAGATTTTTTTTTTTTTTTTTTTTTTTTTTTTTTTTTTGGCGACAGGGTTTTGCTGTAGGTCTCCCAGGCTGGAGTACAGTGGCGCTATCATAGCTCACTGCAATCTCTAAACTTCTGGGCTCAAGCATAGAAATAGATCTGATAGTGGAAGTCTCTGCCCAGTAATACTGAGATCTTGGAACCTTACTCATTTCAGAAATGGCTCTGGTCTGAATACATTATATGGGACTAAGCTCTTCTAAATATCTTTATCCCTTAATTCTTTATGCATAAACTTCAGCAACTTCTAAGCTACCATTAGGAAATTTTCACTGTAAATTATATACTGGATGATTGAATTTTTAGAATTAGATTTATTCCAAATGTAAGTCAACCTAAATGTAAAGTTTTTCTCTACTTAAATATAAGCTTTTTTGGCACTCTTGAAGATTCTGAGTATTTCTGTGGACAGTTATGGCCATCAGGGTGTTTGTTTGAATTCTGGAATTGCCCTAGAGAGCACATAAGCTGTGGAGTAAAGCAGGTGTGTGGTCTGACTCCTGACTTGGTCACTTAAGATCTGTGCAACCTTGAATAGTAACTTCGATGCTAATTTTCCACATCTGTAAAATATGGATAAAAAATGCAGAGTCTTTAGCACAGTTCCTGGCATGAAGTAATGGCTCAATAAATGTTAATTATTACTATTGTTAACTAAATAAGAGTTCCCTAGGTCTCTGACTTCAAACATATAGTTGTTGGAGACTATGAATACCTTGGGGCCACCTTGAGCTAAGACTAGATGCTCAGGAGCACCTTTTTGATTAGTCATTTATTCATTGAGCATATATTTTTGCATTGTTTAAACTTTAGCAAAATACCTAAGTCAGTCAATTCTATTTTTATACAGATATTTCTATATAGAGGAGATTTCCTATAGGATGACCTGTTCTGGGTGTGTCTATCTGACCTGCAGCTAATCAAGTGACTACAGCTTTGCTAATTTTTTTTTTGAAAAACCCTAATATTGTTAAACAGTAGTACAGAGGAAATAAGCTGTTGGTCAGCTTCTAAATTCTGGCACGGGTTAGATTTGCCTAAGAGCAAATCATATAGCAAGAGTTGATGAGAGAACTTTTCTCATATCTTCTAGCCTGGGTAAGTTTGTCTCATTTGGTGTCAAGTCAGAGGAATCTGAACTATAGAACCAAATTGTAGGGAAAGATGACTAAGGGTTTGTGATGTCTTTTTTTTTTTTTACCCCCCTCAAAGGAGTTCTAGGTGTAAAAAGCATCATGGTTTAAACGTTACGAGGCATCAGTGAAGGCAGCAGAAAAGTCAGAAACTAATATAGCCAAGTCTAGATTGTATCTGTTATAAACTCTTTAATCAGAAGATTCTAGCTTCTAGAACCAGGTCTGTAAAATGTTGAGAGCCCTCTAAGTAAACTCCATTATAGTCATTTAATTGATTTTTCTTTGTCTTTCTTCTTGGACATACTCTTCTTTAAAGAGAGCGTTCCCCCCTCTACCCCAGATAGTATCTATCTTTGAGGTTTTGAGAACAATAGTATTCTTGTTCTTTAGGTTCTGAGTTGCTGACTTGAGGGAATTTGATACACAGGAGTCCCCAAGGCCCCCCAGTGGATACCTGAAACCATGGATAGTACTGAACCCTATATATACAGGTCAGGCATCCCAAATCTGAAATCCAAAACGTTCCAAAATCTGAAACCGACGTGACACTCTGAAGAAATGCTCACTGGAGCATTTTGGATTTGTGGATTTGAGATGCTCAACTGGTAAGTATAACACAAATATCCCCAATAGGAAAAACTCCCTATTCCCATTAGTTTTTACTTGATATTCTGAATTCTTAAGTGTGATTTTTTTTTCTAATTTGGGGATAGCTCCTATTTTTGTGAGAGAAATTAATGGGAAATTTTGAGATGGTAACTAGAAATTGTCTTTGCAGTGTTAAATTTTTAGTTGGGAGGCTACTAGGCTGGGTGGCTCTAGCTGTTTAAGTTCCTGTCTAAGCAAACCAAAGCCCAACTTAGAAAGTAAAAGGAAACTAGATATTTTGCCAACTAGAAACCACCTAAGTAATCTCTAACTAGTGTCTTTCCACTCTGACCAATGAGATATGTTTTCTTTGTCTTCCGTGTTCAGCCTATAAAGCTTACAGCCCACACTGCTGTGAATGAAGCTCTTCAAACCTTTTATGGTTCAGAGTGCTGCCTAATTGATGAATCATTCTTTGCACAGATAAACTCTTTTGTCTGTTTTTGCTTTAAACAACAAAGGAACATAAATTCTGTTAATTGATTGTATGAATATAACAGTGAAAATTCCCTGTTAGGCTTTGGTTATCAGTATTTTAGGAATACTTTTTAAAACATCCCCTTTAGCTTTTAATGTGTTTTGGTTAGACAAGATGATGTATGTGTCAGTATAATGCCAGGCTCACAAAAGTTGCTAACTAAATGTTAGTTCCTTCAATACATACATTCATTCCCTGGGACATGGTTCCAAAAGTAGATTATCATAAGAATTCTGTGAGAAGCTTTGAAAAAACTACAGATGTCTATGGCATATATTAATACATGGCGTCTATATCCATACATGTATGTAAATGTATGCAAACAATTTAATCTACTTTTTCCTTAACATTAACTCCTTCAGATAGAATGGTTGGCCCAAATGATTTAATTATTTTTTAGGTTGTTGATTCATAGAAACAAATCCCCTGCAGAAAGGTTGTACCAATTTACACGGTTACCTTTCTTCACATTTTCTCTAACACTGGGTATTCTTGAGCTTTTAGTATTTCTCAGTTGGTGGAAAGGATCTCTTAGTTTGTTGGGATCTCTTTGATTATGAGTGAGATTCAGCATTTTCCATAATTTACTGATGTCTGCATTTCTTCCTCCCTCCTTCCCTTTCTTCTTTCCTTTCTCCTTCTCCTACTTCCACTTTCTCCCGTCCTGTCCTCCCTTTCCCCTGCTCTCCCTCTTTCTTCCCCTTCTATCCCCCTCCCCTCCTGTTTTTCCTTCTTTGCTTGTTTTTGATCTCTGTTCTTCCACATATGAAGATTCTATTTTGACCAGCAATAAGTTGAATTATGGGGCTAGAAGATAAGGACTAAAAACAAGAATTGGTGTCCAGAAAGGTGGGGTAATTTTGATTACTATGCCTGTTGCAAACATGAGCAAGATGTTAAATGTATCATAGATCTGCAAGGTTTTTTTAATTCATATTTTTTATCTATTGTCTCATTAATGTTATCTTTGAGAAATGGTTCTTTTCAGTTTGAGAATGGGGGAATTGGATTTAAAATTTTCTTACATGAAGAAACCAAATATTTTGCTGCTATCCTTTGGAAACTTCTTACTATGATTGGTTCTGGGTGGCATTGGAATCAGTTTGAAATGATGCCATTAATGACCACATGTTTGGATTTCTTGACTATGGGTAAATGTGATTAGAACAGAAATCCCTTAATAATAGGGATTCTTTATCTTTGTGTCCCTAGTGCCTCATAGTATCTGGCCCTAATTAGGAGCTTTAGAAGTGCTTATTGACTGATTGCTTTTTTATCTGAATCGGCCCTTTCTATCCCATCATTATGATAACATCCATCTTGGTAGTAGTAAAACTGTTGCAAACTGCAGAAATGAACTGTGATTTTTTTTTTTTTTTTTTTTTTTTTTAAAGACAGGGTCTCACTCTGTCACCCAGGCTGGAGTGCAGTGGCATGAACATCTTAATAGCTCACTGCAGCCTCAACCTCCCCAGGCTTAGGTGATCCTCCCACCTCAGCCACCAGAGTAGCTGGAACTACAGGTACACTCCATCATGCCCAGCTAATTTTTGTATTTTTTGTAGAGACAGGTTTCATCATGTTGCCCAGGCTGGTTTCAATCTCCTGGGCTCAAGGGATCTGCCTACCTTGGCCTCCCAAAGTATTGGGATTACAGGTGTCAGCCACGGTGCCTGGCACAAATAACTTTTTCAGACACCACTTTTGATTCTTCTGGGTATGTATCCAGAAGTGGAATCACTGGTATCATACTGTAATTCTATTTTTTTTTTTTAAATGGAGTCTCACTCACTCAGGCTGGAGCGTAGTGGTACTATCTCGGCTCACTGCAACCACTGCCTTCTGGGTTCAAATGATTCTCCTACCTCAGCCTTCCAAGTAGCTGGGACTACAGGCGTGTACCACCACACTGGCTAATTTTTTTTTGTATTTTTAGTAGAGATGGGGTTTCACCATGTTGGCTAGGCTGGTCTCGAACTGCTAACCTCAAGTGATCTGCCTGCCTTGGCCTCCCAAAGTGCTAGAATTATAGGCATGACCATCGTTTTCAGCCTCTTTAATTCTTTTTTCAATTTTTTGAGGAGACATCATACTGTTTTCCACAGTGGCTACACCATTTTACATTTCCATCAGCACTGCACAGGGTTCTAATTTCAGCACATTCTTACCAACACTTATTTTCTGCTGGTTTTTTTTTATAATCATCATCATCTTAATGGGTGTGAAGTGGTATCTCATTGTGGTTTTGATTTGCATTTTTGAAATGATAAGTGATGTTGAGCATCTTTTCTTATGCTTACTGTTCATTTGCATATTTTCTTTGGAGAAATACCTATTTAAGTCCTTTGCCCACTGTTGAGTCAGATTTTTTGTTGTTGAGTTTTAGGGATACTTTTTAAAGATGCTAATCACGTGAACTCCTTTTTAAGTGATTTATAATTCCGTAACATATACTTTTTTTTTTCTGATCGATTTCCTTATAGTTTGTATTCTAGTGGGTTAATGGAGTGTGATTTTTTTTTAAAACAGCTTTGCTGAGGTGTGATTGGCATAAAAAATACTGCACACATCTGAAATGAACAATTTGATTAGTTTTGACATATGTATACATCTGTGAATCCATACTCATTACCTCCACAGATTTCTTCTTGCCCCCTTGTAATCTTTTCCCCCACTACTACCCATCCTTCCTTGTCTCCAGGAAAATCCTGAATTGCTTTTGGTCACTATAAATTTAGTGCCTTTTCTAAAGTTTTTTTTTAAAATGGAACTTCTAGTATATACTTTTGGGCAGGGGCTGTCCATTCCTGTGTTTATTTATCCTTTGTATATTTTCTTTGGTAAAATATCTGTTCAAATATTTTGGCCATTATTTAAATTGGGTTGTTTGTTTTCTTATTATTGAGTTTTGAGAGCGGTTTATATTCTTGATCAAAGTTGTTTATAAGATACGTGCTTCGCAGATGTATTTTTCCTGGACTGTTGCTTGTCTTTTCTTTCTCTTAATAGTGTCTTTTGAAGAGCACACATTTTAAATTATGATGAAATTTGTTTGTTCTCATATGGATTGTGTTTATCTATCAGTTTGTTCTCATATGGATTCTATTTTTGTTTATGTATCTAAGATATATTTGCCTAATCCAAGGGCATAGAAGTTCTCTCCTGGAAGTTTTATGGTTTTGTATTTAGACCTATGATGCATTTTGAGTTAATTTTTTTATATGGGATAAAAATTGGATAGAAATTCTTTTTTGGGGGGTAGAGACATGCAGTTATTTCAGCATCATTTACTGAAGTGGTTTGTGTCCTTTTGATTTTTGTCAAAAATCATTTGACTGTATACGCGTGGGTTTATTTCTGACTCTTATTTTGTTCCACTGACCTCTTTGTCTTTCTTTTTTTTTTGTCTCTCATACCAGCTCAGTTTTAATTTTAAAGTGACAAATGTACAGGTGGAATAAAATTTTAAGCAACACCCTCCAAATTCCTCTTACATGACAAGAAGAAGCTGAATGTAATTTTGCTCTATAACCAACTAAACAGTAGCTCAGGATAGACATAAAGCCAACTTTTCCAATTAAGCCTTTGTGAAAATCAATTTCTAAATGGATCACAACTCCAGGATATTGTTTCTGTGCTGTGATTTCTTTGTCTTTCTTGATGCCACTACCATGCTGACTATTATGGCTTTATAAGTCATGAAATCGGGTCACGTTAACCCATACAACTGCTTGTTCCTTTTCAGAGCAATTTTGGCTATTGTGCTGGTTACCAATCTGTTGCCTCTCAGCTCCAAATGCATCCTTTTTGCCTGCTCTGTGAAAATAGATCAGGCCCTTTAAATATTTTTCTTTTGTCAGCTGACAATGTTAAGTTTTGCCAGTACAGAGTGCTGGAGAAACACTGCAGAGAAGTTTTGCTTGTTCGTTTCTGTGTACTTGCTTAGTGGACTGTAGCAACACACTCAGCTTCTCCAGTGTCAACCCACATTGGCTTTCCCACTCTACAGTTTCTGTAGGATGCATGTTTTCACCATTATCAGGCTTCTGCAGTGCTCAGAGGGCAGCAATACCCAGCAACCAGTGACCCGAGGCCAGCAACTTCTTTTACTTCCCCCTCAGTTGGATTTGTAACAGAGTATCTTTGGTGGGACACTTCTGTGTGAAGAGATTTTACTAGCACCCTAAAGAATGGATTTCTGGCAAGTTCCACAAGGTAGACTTCCAGTAAGTTCTGCTGGTGCAGCACTACAGCAACTTCCGTGCTATTCAGTGAGAGGACTGTGTTCTCTCCAACAAGGTCTGGATCTCAGCCCTGGGATGGTTTAGGGTCGGAGGAAGCTCTTGCCTTGGTGTTCTGTGTCAGCCTAGGGAGCATTGGCTACTCTTAAGAGTTCTCTTTATTTCTCATTAGTTAATTAGCTGTTTCTCCAACCCCATGTTAAATAGTTAGTGATCCTTTTTATTAAGCTTTCACTTTTCAAATTACTGTGTGGCTTTTCTCTCCGGAATGGCTTTACATTTCCATATGAATTTAAGAAACAGTATGTAAATATTTGATTGGAATTGCATCGAATCTATAGATGAATTTGAGGGACAGTTGACATCTTAACGATATCAAGTCTTCTGACTCATGAATAAAATGTCTCCATTTATTTGGATGTTTAATTTCTTTCAGCAGTATTTTATTGTTTTCAATGTACTGATCTTACCCATATTTTATTAGGTTGATCTTTAAGTATTTTATATTTTTTGATGCTTTTATAAATATTTAAATAACATATCAATTTTTTTTTTTTGAGACAGAGTTATTGGCCAAGTGTGGTCAGTAACTGTCACCCAGGCTGGAGTGTGGTGGCATGATATCAGCTCACTGCAACCTTCACCTTCTGGTTTCAAGTGATTCTTCTGACTCAGCCTCCTGAGTAGCTGAGATTGCTCAGCTACCACACCCAGCTAATTTTTGTATTTTTAATAGGGATGGGATTTCACCATCTTGGCCAGGCTGGTCTCGAACTCCTGACCTCAAGTATCTGCCCTCCTCGGCCTCCCAAAGTGCTGGGATTAAAGGCGTGAGCCACCACACCCGGCCAATAACATACAATTTTTAATTGTTCATTACTAATGTATAAGAATGCAATTGATTTTTGTATAGTGGCATTGTATCCTGAAAACCTGCTGTACTCATTCTGGTAGCTTTTTTTGTAGATTACATTGGCTTTTCTGCATAGACAAAGCATGTCTTTTGTGAATAAAGAGAGCTTTATTTCTTCCATTCTAATAAAAAGACAATCCTTTTATTTCTTTTTCTTGCCTGATTTCACTGGCTAAAACCTCTGATATAATGTTGAATAGAAAAAGAGCAGACATCTTAGTCTTGTTTCTAATCTTAGGGGGAAAGCATCTATTCTCTCACAATTAAGTATGATGTTGTAGATTTTTCAGGATGCACTTTACTGGGCTGAGGAAGTTTTTTTCCATTCCTAGTTTGGGTAAAGTGTAAAAGAAAATTAGGAATGGATTTTGAATTTTGTCAGTTTTTTTTAATGTGTTGAAATGATCCCATGTTTGTTTTTTTTAAAGTTTTTTATTAGCCAGACATGGTGGCACACACCTGTAGTCCCAGTTACTCGGGAGGCTGAGGTGCAAAGATTGCTTGAACTTGGGTGGTAGAGGCTTCAGGGAGCCAAGATCATGCCACTGCACTCCAGCCTGGGTGACAGGGTGAGGCCCTGTCTCAAAAAAATAAAAAAATTTGTTAATATGGTGGATTACATTGCTTGATTTTTAAAGGTTAATCCAACTGTATGTTTCTGAAATAAGCCCACTTGGTTATGATGTATATTTGGCTTCTTGATGTTGCCCCACAGTTCACTGATGCTCTTTATATTCTTTTTGTGTTCTTTTCTCTTTTTGTGTTGTATTTTTGGATCGTCTTTATTGGTATTTTTCCAAGTTCATGGATTTTTTTCTTCTACGGTGTCTAATCTGTTAATTCTATGTAGTTTTTTATGTTAGATATTATAGTTTTCATCTTTAGAGTTTTGATTTAGATCTTTTTTATATCTTCCATGTCTCTTAATGTTTTGGCTATATGAAATGCATTTAGAATAACTTTTAGACTAGGCGTGGTGGCTCATGCCTGTAATTCCAGCACTTTGGGAGTCTGAGGTGGGAGAATTGCTTGAGCCCAGGTATTCAGGACTACCCTGGCCAACATAGTAATACTTCGTCTCTATTAAAAAAAATAATAATAATTTTTAATGTCCTTGTTTGCTAACATCTGGGTTGGTTTCAGTCAATTGATTGCTTTATTCATGTTTTCATGCCTCTTTGCATATCTGGTAATCTTCAGCTGACAGACATTGTGAATTTTACCTTTTTTGAGTGTTAGATATTCTTTTATTATTAGAAATACTGTTGAATTTTGTTCCGGATATGTAGTTATTTAGAGATAATTTGAGGCTTGCTTTTATGATTTTTTTAAGAGGCCTGGAGCAATGCTCAATCCAGGGCTAGTTATTCCTCACTACTGAGGCAAGACCTTCTTAAGCACTCCACTCAATGTCCTCTGTGAATTAAGAGCTTTACCAGTTTGGCTGGTAGTAACAGGCAATATTCCTAAGTCTGCATGATTATCCATCACTATTCTCTCAAATTCTTTCAGATGTTTTTTTCCCCAGCCTCCAGTAGTTGTCTCACACTTTGAGCTAATCAGTACTGTGCTGAATATTTGAGAGGCCCTGCTGCAGATTTCTGGGTTTTGTTCTCTGCGTAGCCACCCTGCTACTTTCCCGGGGCTAGCTACCTTTGTCTTCATGGACTCTAAGCTCTTCTGTTTCATCAACTCAAGTTAGTTTATCCACGCACCTAGCTCCCCTTGGATTTCTTTCTCTTCCCTGGGCCTTAGCCTGAAAAGTCTCCAAAGGTTGTAAGCTGGGACAATTGAAGGGTATTGCTTGTTTCCTGTCTCTCTAGAATCGCTGTTCTTTGTTGCTTAATGTCCAGTTTCTTGAAAAATGTTGTTTTCTATATTATGTCCGTTTTTCTTTTAAGTGAGAGGACAAACCTGGTTGTTACTGCATCCTGACCTCCATATATAGCATATTTTTAACCCCATTATTTTCCATTTTTTAAAACTTTTTTTCCCATTATTTTCTGTAGTAAAAATAATTCTGGTTTGAAAATTACAATTTCTTTATGTTTTAGCACTAGCTAATGCAAGTATCTATTATATACAAATTGTATTGGCAATTTTCTTTCTAAAAAATCCCCCCAATTATTCTGCATATATAATAATACCTACGTTTTAAAAGGTATTTTTTTCCAATATTATTTTCAGTTGGTTAAAATAAACTACAGTACATACTAGTGGAGTCTGATTGAACTGATGTGAAGAATACAGAAAAATACTTAGAAATGTTTAGAGAACGCATTGTGATGAAATCTGTTAGGAGTACAATTGTTTTAACTGTAAAGCTTGGCATTACTGGATGGGAGACAGCTATAGAATACTTAAGCCTTATTGGTGAACATATAGGAAGAGGTGGAAATAAGAGATGAATTACATGAAGAAGTCTTTAAGTCATGGAGGCTTACTGAAATATTGAAAAAAGCAAATAAGTAGACCTAACAAGATAGAGGGGGCTCAGAAGAATGCATTTGTTTCTTATAGATGGTAGCTGGAGCTAGGGCAGTGTAGCTTATGGCTTTGCTTGAATAGAAAGAGTTGATTTGGGATAATTGGATTTAAATCCTCTATTTACCACTTGCTAACTGGGTAAGTTTTTTAAACTAAATTTCTGATTTTGCATGTGTAAAATGAGGATAAGCATATTTATCCCGAGGGTTGTAGTGAGCCTTAAATAGAATCAATTACATAGAAGTATATAGCAGTATGTTTGTGTGCTTAATAAGTGTTTGTCTTTATTATTTTAAAGAAATGACCAGAGAAAGCTTTACTTTTCTATTGCATATTTCCCTAGTGATTATATGGACATAGAAGCAGTGCTTACAGTTACCTTGGAACCCATCAAGGAAAAATGAAGCAAATTCCTGCCCTGTTGCCCTTCTGGAACATTACATAGTTTAGATGAAAATCAGCCAGAGCACAGTTAGACTCTATTAGCATAAGATTATGTTAGAAAATAGTGGGCATGATAAGGCCCTGAAGGAGAGTTCTAACTTGGAGAAGGATGGTGGAATTTTTTTATAGGGCTTTGACAGTAGGGGTCAGGCAAAGTTCAGTTTGAGGAGTAGTTAGTCAAGGATAGCTCTCAGAGGAGGGGAGAATTGATCATGTACATTAGCAATTATTGGGCAATTTGAATTTTATTAAGAATGTTGGGGCTGGGCATGGTGGCTCACGCCTGTAATCCCAGCACTTTGGGAGGCCAGGCAGGCAGATCACTTGAGATCAGGAGTTCGAGATCAGCCTGGCCAACATGGTGAGACCCCGTCTCTACTAAAAATACAAAAATTAGCCAGGTGAGGTGGTGGGTGCCTGTAATCCAAGCTACTCGGGAGGCTGAGGCAGGAGAATCACTTGAACCCGGGAGGCAGAGGTTGCAGTGAGCAGAGATTGTGCCACTGCACACTCCAGCATGAGCAGCAGAGTGAGACTCCGTCTCAAAAAAAAAAAAAAAAAAAAACTCAGTTTTTAGTGTCTTCACAGTAGATTTTTTTGTCATTGGCTCTTGCGGCCTTTCTTCTTGTCTCCCCCAGTTCCAGCCCCCCAAAATAGAAGGGCCCATTATCTTGCTCATGATTTTAGATTCCCAGCTCTTGATTTTGGAAGGCGCTGTCTTTGTGAAATTTCAGAGATCAAGGAGTTAGTGTTTTGTGGTGTGGGAAATTTCTCTCAGTCTTTGCTCCTTGCATTCTTTGTGCAGTTTTTTCTTTGTTTATTTCAGAGACAGGGTCTTGCTCTGTTGCCCAGGCTGGAGTACAGTGGTGTGATCATAACTCACTGCAGCCTTGAATTTCTGAGCTCAAGTGATCTTCCTGTCTAAGCCTCCTGAGTAGCTAGGACTACAAGTGTGTGCCACCACGTCTGGCTAAAAATTTTTTTTAGACATGGGTCTTGCTATGTTGCCCAGACTGGTCTGAAACTCCTGGCCTCAAGCAGTCCTCCCACCTCTGCCTCCCAAAGTGCTGAGATTAGGGGCGTGAGCTACCTCACCCAGCCTGCAGTGTGTCTTGGATCCTGTTATGTAGGTGCTCTGTAGTAGAGGAAACAGTAATATATGATAATGAAAAGCTTCAAAGTAGACATATGGCTGAAAGGGAGATTTGAATAGGGTTTTGCAGCAGCTATTTTAGTTGATGACACATCTTCAACTTAAATTGCAATTGCCTTTTTTCATTTCGCTTCATCCTTCTGTGATGATCCTAGTAGAAGTCAAATGAGATCATTTTTGATAGTTGGTTTGCAGGCTTCGGTGTATGCACCCAACCTTTCAAAGACTGCCTGTGCTTTTCAGGGAGCTCAGTTTTGTGACTGAAAGGATCAGCTATTCTCTTCTACCTTTTTAATGCACTACTGGTTTCTAGCAGCTGCTGCTTAACGCTGTTCATTCTTGAGTTTGGTGAATTGTTTTCTGTGCTCCATGTGATTTCTTTGTCTTTATGAGGTACATTTTGACTACAGGTGAGCCAATTTCCTGTGAATATAATCTATGCTTTGAAATTAAATTATCTTTATCCTCTTTAAATATGTAAATCTTCTTAGTATCTGCTAGTTTGCCTCTTGCTTTGTGGCTCCTTGTGTTCCTCTTGTAATGCTTGCTTAGCTTTTAATTTAAATACCAGACTGTGTTGGTTAGCATCCATAGAAGACATAGGCCTATTCAGGAAAGTGTGAATATTTGGCCACCATATTTAGGATTATTGGGGCATTTCTTTCCAATTTTTCAGAGTACAGAAAAAGAGGTGAGTTTCCTATTCCTTCCTAATCAAGTTCACCATCGACCTTGTACTTTTTGAACCAACTTGAATAGAAAAAAAACAACCTGAAGAATAATATGTTTACTATTTCTACATGGATATACTGACTATAACTATGGAAAATATATTTGATTAGTTACATGAGGCTCTCATGGTAAATGTGTCAGATATAGTCAATATTTTAGTATTGTCATGTAGTATTAAGTATTTTTCCATCAATGATTAGAAAGTTATGATTTTTTGTTGTTCAGCAAATTATCATGAAAAATTCAATAATGTTGCTTTTTCTTTTTGATAGCCAGAGGAAGTTAGAGAACAGATTTATCTAACACTAAACGGTCACTGGCAAGAACCTTTTCTTTGTAACATGTTACTTTGTTCCCTAACCTCATTCTCCTCCACCTGTAACAATGGTGAATATGAAGCAAGTGTTCAGTATCCTAGCTTTCTCTAATTTTCTGGGACGTATCTCTTTTAGTCTCCGTATATTAAATCTTAGGGAACCTGAAAGGCTTCTTTATTAGCCTTTTTTATTTCTCCCTAAAAGTATTGATGTTTTTATAGGAATCTCTGCTATCCAGGGATAAAACATAACATGCAATTAAAAAAATTTCAGCCATTGAGAATGTTTTTATAAATGGACAGATCAGTTACTTAAAAAGTTCTATAGATTTGTGATTAAAAAAATAGTTCCCTATTTGAATAATTGTCCAGGAAATTAGCTGTTGATCATATTTAAAATATAACATAAAAATGAGTCTTAAAATATGTATAGCTTCATTTGTGTTGATTGATGTTGTAACTTTTTTTGAGTAAAATGCATCATTAGAAAATGTATTTGGAATTACATTAAAAAGGATTCTATGTTTTGTTTATTGGTATCACACACGTGTCATGTGGGTCATAGACTTGTTTCATAGTAAAACAGATGGCATGGCAAGGGAGAAGAAACTTACATGCAAGTTTTTGCACAAATATCAAAGAAATTCAGTGTACTTTCTTTTCAAAAAAACATTAAAAACTCCAAAACCCAAGGAAGAAAAAGCTTCTTGCATTTATATAACAATTCTTAATCTATTAGTTGCAGGGCAAAAATAATAAAATATTAATTATATAGTCAAAAATAGCTTTTAACTATGAAGAAGTCTTCCTATCAAATTCTTCTGTTCATTAAACCTACTTTTGGTTATTATTTAAATGTAATTGGGCAGTTCCAAGAAAAGCTTCAGAACAGCTGTAATTACAGCTGCAGATTTAGTCAAAATAGGGGCTGTAAGAGGCTGTTTACTCTCCTTTTGCATCTCTTTCACCCCCACCCCAAATAACCCAAATTTAGTTGTAAAAGTTTTTGGTAAGCTCAGGATTTCTGAAACTGGAGTCTATGTATTTAACTGCATGCAGATGTGATGATTACATGTGACTTTTAAGGTTCCCATAACCTTTTAGTTCTTGTATTGCTCTATGCACAGTTAAGTGATTTTTGTCAGCTGTGTCTGTATTGAATTTTACAGATACACATATATTTTAAACACAGTTTAGTGATTTTTATCAAGGCCCAGGCATCTGCTCAAACTACTGAGAAGGGTAATAGTTTTCAATCTAAATTTGAGCTAATGTTGACATTATTACAAGTTGACTGGAAACATTTACAAAAGCCTGTATCTGTGTTAAAAAAATATATTTCTTCAAATTTTACTCTACTAGGAAATTGCCTTTGACTTCATCTGAAAACAAATTTGGCAAATGTCTTAATTTTTAGAGAAAGACCTACTATGATAAATCAAAAACTAAATACACATCTATGTCACATCCCTCCCTCCTCCCAGAGCTTTGATCTGGGGAGTTGATGGCATTCTAAGGTCTGGTTTTTAGTTAATCAGTCAGAGATTATATATAAGGGTTATGGAAGACTGTGGCAAAAAGCAAGGTTTAGAGCCTTTTTCCCTTTCCGAGTTAATTACCATTTCTTTTGCAGATGGCAGTTATGCTGAATATTGATCATAAGATACAATAACATATCTTGGATTCTCACCACAGTTTTACAGTGTTACCTACTCAGAATCTGGTTCAAAATTGTAGTGACTTGTTGAATTGCACATAGGGAAATTTGAAGAGCCTTCTGCTAAAGCCAACAATTTAACACTTTTAGTTAGAAGACCAAGTGAAACTTGCCTGTATTTGCATTGGACCATATTAAAACTGGTAAGGGTATAAAATTATATAGGACATGGTTCTTACCTCAAAGTACAGTGGGTAGACAAGGTGCAAATATATGCATTAAAATAATACATCAATGATTAGGGTAAATAAACTTACTTTTAAATCCCCAGACTCAACAACTCTTTAAATCTTGAATTCTAAAGATCGAGACCAACTTTCTTACAGATGAGGAAACATATTCAGAGAAGTGCAGTGAATTGTCATTAATCAAAGGGGGTTTATAGGTCATTCTAAATATGAGCTCAGTAATGACAATAGGTAGCAAGTTAACTTTGCTTTTTAAATCTTGAATGTCAGCTAATGTTGACTGATTGCTTGTTTCAAGTATTTTTACAGAGAAACTTCTGGTCCTTTTCTCATGTGAGTCCAGTGGGAATATCAGCAGCATGGGGACAATAGGTTATTTTCAGACTGGATAAAATTGAACAGAAGCCATTTCAGAGAATACTGGAGAACTGAAAAGAATAATAAAACACATTCATTAAGGCAAAATAAGGGAACTATATTTATAAAATCACATAATTTTTAAAGCACGAATTGATTTATAGGTATGAGGAAAGGTAGCAGGTAAAATGTGATATGGAATATAATTTTGATGATTAAGTATAACTTAATAATTATGTGAGGAAAAAGGAATTAACAGAAAATCTTTTAGGAAGGTAAATAGAACTTTGAGACTTTAGTAAGATAGGAAAAGTGAAATGTGAAAAACAAGTTAATTTTATATAGGGAGGCTATAGATTTAACTCATTGTTAAAAACTTGTCATCATCACAATCTTTTTGTGCCTTCTTCCTTACCCCACTGGTTCTCTCTTAAGAGAAGCTCTGGTGTCATGTGTTGTGATGTAATATAGTGCTGTAAAGTTCTGATTTTGTCACTTACAGCCAGCCTGGTCTTGGAATAAAATTTTGCTTATGAAGACATTAAAAAAATGAATAATTTTGAATTAGTTACTTGGACTTGTGAGCTTCAGTTACTTAGCAAAAAATGAGATTATGTCTTCAATGTGCCTAATTATACAATTGTTGGGACAATCAAGTGAAATCACATGAAAGTGTTTTAAAAACCAAAGGTAAGTAATATTTTTTTCATATTAAAACTGTAGATTCAATCCAACATGACAGATATTTATAAGCATGTTAAATCAAGTTTAGCCGAAAGCTGCCTTCTTACTTCAGTTTAGCCTAAAGGTTTTTGAGCTATAACAAGTGGAGGCATATTGTGAGCTATAACAAGTGGAGGCAGAAACAGACTGTAGCCACACTTGTGCCAGTCACTAAGTTTTGGCCAATCAAATGTAGTCAACTGTTCAAACTGTGTTCAAATAAGGCAAACACCAACCTGTAACCAGTCCAGCTGTTTTTGTACGTCACTTCCTTTTTCTGTATGTCACTTCCTTTTTCTGTACATCACTTTCCTTTTTCTGTCCTTAAATCTTCCACCATGTGGCTGTGCTGGAGTCTCAGCGCCTACTCTGGCTTAGGAGCGTGCCTGATTTGCAGATTGTTCATTGTTCAGTTAAACTCCTTTAAATTTAATTCTGCTGAAGTTTTTCTTTTATCAAGTACCTAATATGTCAGACGCAGTGTTGTAGACTTTAGATTTCAGGAGAAGGAAGAGAAAGGAAATAAAACATAATGTAAATGTCTATAATATATGACAGAATATGAAAAGGGTAATAAGAGATTCAGCTTACCTATATTTTGGCTTAGGCAAAGAGTTACCCACCTGAATCTGCTCTAAGTCCATGAGGCTTGTTTACCACAAGTGGCAAAGTAGGAATTTTGACCATTTCGTGTCTCTGTCTCTCCCTCCCCACCTGCTTCCCTTCTCTCCTCCCCTTTATCTCCCCACTCCCTCTCTGTCTCCCCATCTCTCTCCCTGCCATAAGGTGAAAGTTTAAACTTGGGCTCTCCAATAGTTGCAGATAGGAGCTTGTTGATTTTTTTGTGTACAAGCGTGAATCAGTGGCCAAGTCAAAGTGCCATAAGGAATGTACAATTTTTAGACTTTGGTGAGTATTGCCAATGATATAGCGTCTAGATTTTAATATCTGCATTGTATACCTTTCCAGGGCATAGAGGATTAAAGGGGGACTTTAGAAACAACTATTTCAGTCATCTGTGAAGATACTTTTTACAGAATCCCAGACTTAGCTTGACGGCTTTTTATAGTGAGGAATCTTTCTATCATGTAATGCAGACCACTTTATTATGGGCTCCAGTATTTGGAGTTCTTAGTCCCAAATGACCACCTTCTCCCTCTGTTATTCTGTATTCTTTTCATTTTGTTAGATATATTTTGGCTTGACTGAAGAGAGAACCTGTTGATGGGGAAGCTAGGAATAGAAAGAGAAGGGATAGGTTCAGGAAGCTTGACAAAAAAGGAAATAATGGTAGTAATAATGGTTAATAATTCTTAGCACTGAAGTCTCAGGTACTGTGCTAAATGCTTTTCTTATATTATAACCTATAGAATTGATGTTTTAATATTAAATATTAATTAAATGAAAGATTAGTTTGATAGTAAATAATAGTATTTACCCTCTGTTACAGAAAAGAAACTGAGCTACAATAATTTGCCCAGCAAAAGGTAGAGTTCTTGCTGGGCTATTGATTCTAGAGACCAAACCTTTAACATTGCCATGTATTGTCTCTTAGGGATAACCTTGGAGGCCTCTTTGGGAAAAATTTTCTCCTTTTTTTTTTCTAAGTATGATAGTGTTTGGAAATAAAAGATTAACATTTCAAGGCTGGTAATTTGGGTGGAAGTGGGGAGGAGGTGAATAAAATTTATTCAATATTTTAAGGTTAGATGAAGAGATAAGGAAAGGAAGGAACCTGGAAGCAGATGAGTGAATGTAATATGCTTTGTTAGTCAGGGAGAAAGGAAATTTTGGTTTAGCTGTTGTAATGACTACATTTTATAATACTATATAAACATGCAAGTTTGATCTTTGTATAGTTTAGTAAAAGCTATGGTCATTAGTTTATAGTCCAGTGCTGTCCAATAGAAATGTAGAGTGAACCACACATGTAATTTTTTAACTTTTTGTTAGCTACATTTAAAAAGCAAAAAGAAGCAGTTAAAATTGGTTTCAGTTATTTAACGTAATGTATTCAAAATATTTCAACAACTAATCAATATAAAAATATCAATTAGAGTTTTACATTCTTTTATTCATATTAAGTCTTTGAAATCCATGTGTATTTTACACTTATAGCACATCTCAGTTCAAACTAACCACATTTCATATGGCTACATTTGGCTACTGAATACCTTACCAGACAGTGCATTTACATACTATTAGAAGAGAAAAGGTTTATTGTAGTTGCTATGTTCATAAAAAGTTTCTGATTGAATTACAAGTAGATGGCTTATTCTCCCTCTGTATGTAACAAACAAGGAGTGAAGAGGAATCTGGGGCTGCAAAGCATCGCTCTCCAGTTGTATCCAGAGAATCTACTCAGGAGGGGCAACGTATTTTTTTATTTTTTATTTTTTAAATTTTACTTTAAGTTCTGGGATACATGTGCAGAATGTGCAGGTTCGTTGCATAAGTATACATGTGCCATGGTGGTTTGCTGCACCTATCAACCCATCATCTAGGTTTTAAGCCCCGCATGCATTAGGTATTTGTCTGAGGAATGAAACTATAAACATATTAAATCCTATAAAAAGAAAAAAAAGTAAGGTTCTGAAGGGTTCCAGAATTCAGGAGACGGAAGAGAAAGGATATTTTTTATACTTAAGGAAGTGGGGAGGAAGGTTTACCAAATGTTTAGGTTTCTGCTGATTGAGGCTTTGTTGTATAGTTAGAAGGACTTCCAAGAGACTCCAGAATTTCTGCTATCGTAGTTCTGGGCTCTGGTTTTACCTAAAAACTCAATGCTTTTTCTCTAGATAGAGCTCTGGAGGAGAGGCACACAGTTCTTACTTAGTGTGAAACATGGTGTTTGTTGGTTTAGGGACTTTGTACCTCTTTCTGGAACCTTTCAGAACCTTTTTTTTTCTTTTTATAGGATTTAATATGTTTATAGTTTCATTCCTCAGGCAGGAATTACTGAAGTTTGCTTTTCCCTTAAAAAAAAAAAAAACCCAGTAAATTAAATAATCACATTTAAAAAACTATAGCAAATCTTTTCTAACTATGAAAGTTAAAAAAAGTCATGTATTCTTTGTGAAAAGTTAGGTAATTGAGATACCTGTTTTTACATATTAAATGAACAGGTCTCAAGCAGAGTTTTCACTTTGGCTGCTGCTTCTTGCACTGGGGTTCCTTGGGCAGGAGCACTCTGGTGAATCATCACCTCTGGTTTGGATGTAGTAGTACTGGATATTTTGTTTCTTTTAAGGAGAGTGTGAACAAATGGGAGTTATGTGTTCCTCCGGGGTATGGTCCATTTGTATATTGCTCTTTATCTGTGTATCATATTTTATTTGGCTAAGAGCCTAATTATAATATATTTAATTTTTAAAAATCTTAGCTATTTGTAGGGTTTAAAAAACTAAACAACAGCAATAGGATTTGTATTGCTAATTGAGAGATACCAGGTTAAAATACAAGTTTTCTATATAATTTAGCAGAATAAAACACACTTATCATTTTTCCATTTTCTGAATTTGTAATATGCTAATGTTATCAGTATATAATATTTTTTGCTATGACTAATTGTGTTATATTTGTTGTGAATGTAGTCTTGGTTCAAGTAGGGGTAAGGAGGTATTTTGGAAACCAGTGCTTACCATTTTGGGGATAGGTGGTGGGAATAGACAAGCTAGAAATACACTTGGAAGGAAGAAAACCATTTAGTAGGAACTTGAGATGAGGGGAGAAACAGACATTTTTAGGAAAGTGTAGTGTTTTAAAAAATAAATTTAGACACAAAAAATTAATCATTAGGAACATAATCAGATTTTAGAAAAATTTAAGTAGAAAAAAATCACGTTAAATAGATAACTTTGAAGTAAATACTAATTATGTTTATATTTTGAGGGGAGGAAATAAGTCTCTTAGTTGGCCCCCTTGAGGCTGCCTAGATGTGGAGAACCATAAGACTGAGTTTGTACCATCTTTGAGTTAAAAAGCTAACCCTGAGTGATTTTGGAATAGATTCCTTTAACATATTTTCAGTCATATTCCTTTTAGAATTATTATTACATAGATTTCCTAATTTGTAATTCTCAAGTGCTGTGAAACATTAAACATTTTTAGCAACCTCAACCCATCATAGTCCTATGACTGCCCTTCTTTCACTTTTAGTCATATAGGAACATTTATAAGAGTATCTGATATGGTTAGACTTTGTCTCCTCACCCAAATCTCATCTTGAATTGTAATCCCCATAATCCCCACGTGTCAAGGGAGAGACCTGGTGGGAGGTGACTGGATCATGGGGGTCGTTCCCCCATGCTGTTCTCATGTTAGTGAGTTCTCATGAGATCTGATGGTTTTATACGTGTCTGACAGTTCCTCCTTCACCCACTCGCTCTCTCTTGCCTGCCGCCATGTAAGACATGCCTCTTCCCCTTCTGCCATGATTGTAAGTTTCCTGAGGCCTCCCCAGCCATGCAGAACTGTGAGTCAATTAAACCTCTTTTCTTTATAAATTACCCAATTTTGGGCAGTTCTTCATAGCAGTGTGAGAATGGACTCTGGCCATGATTTTCTTGGTATGACTCAGGAAAATTCTTCTATGGGGTATGGCTGTGGAGTGGTTTTGTGCTTGCTGTTGTTGCCGTGGTGCTTCAGAAAGTTAGCCTAGATTAAAGAGTTCAGGTTTTGGAGTCACATGGGTTGTCTTGAATTCTGTCTCTGACCCTTAACTACCCCTGTGACATTGGGCAAGTTACTAGACCTCAGTTTCCTCAACTGCAAATTGGAAATAATAGCAACCACCTCCTAGGGTTGTGATGAAGTTTAAGGATAAATGCTGCTCTTTTTATTGAGCATTTATTTATTCCAGCCAGACACTGTGTTACATACTTCATATGCAGTATATAATTTAATTTGTATGTGTATATTAGAGTATGTAAAAGTTCATTTCCAACGGTAATATATGTCCAGTAACCGGTTGCTATTACTTTTTCTATATGTTGATTCCTTAATCAGAAGTTGATGTTCCTAAGATGAAAGATGGGAATGGGCATTTTGATCAGATCTGAAGGACTTGTTTGGAAGTTGACAGTGGTTTGAAGGTGAAATATTTACTAGAGTGTGGTTCAAGGATAATCTGCATGGTAATTACCTTGGAAGCTTGTTAAAATGTAGAGTTTTGTGTTTGTCATCTGAAACTCTGAGTCTGAATCAGGATCTCTGGCCGTGGAGCCCAGACCCTGCAGTTTTATAAGCTTAATCATAATTCTTATTCTCTATGAAGTTTTTGAATCATCTTTTTAATTTATTCTTCCCGATGATTAAAAAATGATTCTAATGATTTTTAAATATTTTTATTTGATGTAATGAGCTTTCCATTTTATTGGTAATGGAGGTGGTAAATTTTTTCCATTTAAATGTTTACATATATGTGATTTTTGTATGTTATAAGAGTTTAATGGGTGGTGACATTCATTCAGCTAATGTTTAGTAAATATTAAAATATTAAAATTTATAAAATACAATTTACTTATTTGGAGTATTTTAAAATGAATATATCATTTTATTCAGTTATTCAAACAAAATGATTGTTGAGACTATGAGTAAAATAGTCTCAATTTACTATAAAATATGTCATATTTTACTCAGTTTATAGTCTCCGAATAGGGTGGGAAAGGAGAGCAGATTGAGAATGTGCTGTTATGAAGCTAGGTGGAGAGGGGAAGGGAGCGATTTTCTGCTGCTAACTAGAAGAAAAGCATAACTACAAATAATTTATATAACTAATAAGATTTCAAAGCAGATAGAAATTTTCAGGGAGTTTTGGTCAGAGTCATTTTATTAGTCATATTATTTAATGAAAGAATAATCAGGAATGCTCAGCCTCTGTGTTTTCTACTATTGCTTTGCTCCCTAAGAACGCTCTTTTAGATTTTATCTGTCTATTCTTTTGAGTTTTATCTTTGCCTTCCTGGGAAGTCTCACTCGACTTTTTAGGAAATCAAGTTGTATCCCCACAGTGCTTCACATGACCTTATTTTTTTTAGATTCTTCAAGTAAAATCTTACTCAAAGGAACCAATAAATTGCCTCACGTCATAATTTTAAACTTAAGTGTTTGGAAGACTAATTTCAGTGAGTCTTTGCATTGGTATCTTTAGCCCACAAATCTTTTTGGCTCCAGTATCCACTTTAATAATTCTTATGGGTTAAGTAACTGTATTTTTAATATCTGTAGTTTTGTTCATTATCAGAAACTAGGTCACCAGGGTTTGTTGTGTCATTGTTAATTAAAAAGGTATTGTATGCTTTTTTTTTGGAATGTGCTTGTACTGAATGAAGCCAAAATATGTTAGTAATGCTCTGCTTTAAATACTCATAGAATATAATTTTGCATATTTTAAACTCAATCTATCTGCCAGTACAACAATGTTATTTATCTCTGAGAATTTTGACTATTCTTTCATGCTATTTAGAATTCAATGAATTGTTAAAACTTCTAGTAGGCTTTTTACTGACAGTCTCTGTCTGACTTCTCCTTTACAAGTTTTCCTCAATATTTTCAGAAGTAACATTTGGGTCTTACTGAAATAGGAATTTTTGGTTCTATAGTAGCAGATGGAAACAGTAGACTTTTTTAGAGGTTGGAAGCAGTGGGATACAGAGAAGGAGAAAAATCAGACTAAATTTATGTCATGCCTCTTTCATTGTGAAAAATAATTATAGCCTCATGTACATTACTTTTCTGAGGGTTGTAGTGGTGGTAATGGTTGTGGAAGTAGTAATAGTTGTAGGGATGAATTAAGGAGGCATTGGGTAAGAACGTGTCTCCCAACATAGGATTTCAGTTACTTCCCAAATATAAATAACAGTGGTTATTACCAAAAATTTTTCTTCAAGCGACAGTGATCTCACTGTATGTTGCCCAGGCTGGCCTGAAACTCCTAGGCTCAAGTGATTCTCCTGCCTCAACCTCCCAAGTTGCTGGGACTACAGACACACACACACACCACCATACCTGGCTGAATTTTTTTTTAACCAGAGAAGAGCACACTAATTTTTTCTTTACCCTTATAGCATTTTCATTACCAGTTATTATACTTTCATTCTGAATGATTTCAGAATGTTTGGGGATGGTGTTGATAAACTAGAATTATTTTGTGGTTAAGTAGAGGCCCTCAAACAGAGTACAGCTCAAGTCTCAGGTTTACCACTTTTTTTTTTAAGTAGTACATGGGGCAAATTATTTAATATCTTATTTTGCCATAACTAATTATTAATAAATATCTACTTTATAGGTGTGTTGATGATTAAATCAATTTGTAAAGAATAATGGGCTGGGTGCAGTGGCTTGTGCCTGTAATCCCAACACTTTGGGAGGCCGAGGTGGGAGGATTACTTGAGCCTAGGAGTTCGAGATAATTCTGAGCAACAAGCGAGGCCTCATATGTATAAAAAATGAAAAACTTAGGCTGGTGCGGTGGTGTGTGCCTGTAGTCTCAGCTACATGGGAGGCTGAGGCAGGAGGATTGCTTGAGTCCATCGAGGTCTATCCAGGCTGCAGTGATCTGTGATTGTACCATTGCACTCCAGCCTGAGCAACACAGCAAGACCCTGTCTCAAAAAAAAAAAAAAAATGCCAGCAAATAGTATGTGTTGAATATTTAGTTATAAGTATTATTCACTCTCTAAAATAGTCTTCTTAGTAAACTCTAATTGACCTTAGGGTAAAAAAATTTTTATATTTAAAAGCTCAGAAAAATTCAGCTTAGTTATTTTTAGGCTGGTGTTTGGTCTCACATACACACTTAACGCCCCTTTCAAACTGTTATGGAACAATGTTTTTCAAACTTTAATGTGCATATGGGATTGTGTAGGGAT
Source organism: Homo sapiens (assembly GCF_000001405.40). Lineage (NCBI taxonomy): Eukaryota > Metazoa > Chordata > Mammalia > Primates > Hominidae > Homo > Homo sapiens. The sequence continues at coordinate 65,500,078 of NC_000014.9, forward strand.
CATAATAACATGTAGATTCTTATTCAGTAGTTTTGGAATAGGATGAGATGTTACCTTTCCAACAAGCTCCTGTTGGTAATCTGGATGTAGCTCATTCTTATAACACACTTTGAGTAGCACAGTTATGCAGTGTTCCATTAAGTGGTTCTCATTCCTGCTTTCAGTATATTATAAACACTTAGATATTTTTTGTTCTTTATGCCTTGGCTCTGTGTCATACCAGTTAAATTAGAGCTTTGCCTTTGGGGTTCTGGGCATCATCGTCGTCATCATTGTCGTCATCATCATCATCATTTTTTCTTTCGGTAAAAATATCCTGGATCATTCTCTTGTGAAACTAGCATTAAGAGCCACCACTTTAGTTATCTGAAGGAGAGTCATAAGCTAAGAAGCTACATTTTAGGTCTTCTCTTACTTTGTTGTCTTCCATTTTAAGCTCATTTCCTCTGTAGAGATGATGGTGGACAGCTGGTTAGAACTCTTAAACTGGAAGGCAGTTAATATGTTGGCCTGAAGTTTTCTTTTCGCTAGACTAAAAGGTTTGACTGTTGAACCTTTCTTTATGGATCCTATTTCCTATCCCTTTTCATCATTTGTATAGTCTTCTTTGGACTTTCCCTAATTTCTCAATAGTCTCCTTAAAGTGTAATAACCCAAACTAGATACAAAACTGCTGTAACAAAACTGAACAATGGCAGAGGCAGAAGAATATAGATCTAAAAATCTGTGGTTTTCATTAGCGTTGAAAACTTGTATTTGCTTCAGACTTTTTATTGGCCTTTTCTTTATGTTTTTCAGGGTTAAAATGTGTTTTATGCCATGATATTTGTTTCAATATATTCCTTTCTTAGGTTATGCTTCTTCTTTCTTCCTCAACTGTGCTTCTTGTATCCATTTCCCATCTTGCACCTATTTTGGAGGAGAGGCAGTAAATATTTTCTTATGGACTTACCATGTTTGGGAAGACCGTTTTCCAAAGCGATCAAGATCATGTTAAATTTTATTCCATCTAGCCATGATGGCTCAGTTAGGATCAGGTCAGGAAAACAGTCCACACTAAATACTCGAGGCAGGAGGATTTCTTGAGACCAGGAGTTTGAGACCAGCCTGGGTAACATAGTAAGACCTGTCTCTACAGAATTACAAACAAAAACAAAAAATTTCAGCCCAGAAAATTTAATACAGGGAAGGGATTATACAGGTATTGGAGGGCTGAAAAAGCAAACAGGGAACACTGGGGTAACACAGAGACAATATTTGCAGGAATTAGCCACTATTCATATGGTTGAGGGGGAAATAAGAACTTGGAGTTGGGACCTCATAGAATTGGGGTTCAAAACCTCTGGAGGGGGTACTTCCTGACAGCTGTTGGTATGTCTGAGGGGAATTTCTGAGAGTGCCAGAAAAAGCTGGTGGTTATCACTGCTACTGCTGGGGTGGAGGATCTATGCTGGGCAATGCTGACTGGAAAAAGCATGTACTGCATTCTCCCTCTAGTGTCCTTATTGGCAGTGTGAGGAAGCTAGCTGCAGAAGAGAAAAGTAGTTTTCAGAGTTTTATTTTCAGTATTACAAAGATGAGTATTAAAGGGTAGATTTGGATCTGAGAGAAAATAGCTGAATAACCAGTATATATAGCCTTCTCTTCTGGTCAAAGGAGGCCATAGGCCTTTGGTCTCTTGGTCTCTTTTCCTAGCTACTTGGACCCCAGACCCAGATATTCTTAATGCTGAGGGTTTGGAAGGAAAGTTGTTATTATTATTTAAAAAATTAATTTGTTTAGTTAATGTGATGGGGGAGGGGGCATGAGACGGGTCTACTTTGTCTTTTCTTTTCTTTCTTTTTTTTTTTTGAGACAGTGTCTTGCTCTGATGCCCAGGCTGGAATATAGTGGTGTAATCTTGGCTCTCTGTAGTCCCGAGCTCCCAAACTCAAGCAGTCCTCTCACCTCAGCCACCCAAGTAGCTGGGACTACAGGCACCTGCCACCACACCCAGCTAATTTTTGTATTTTTTGTAGAGACGAGGTTTTGCTATGTTGGCCAGGCTGGTCTCGAACTCCTGGCCTCGAGTGATTCACCCATGTTGGCCTCCAAGTGGTCTGGGATTACAGGTGTGAGCCACCATGCCTGGCTGGGTCCACTTATTTATTGTTATTTTTTTTTTTGAGACAGAATCTCACTCTGTCACTCAGGCTGGGGTGCAGTGGTGGGATCTCAGCTCACTGCAATCTCCACCCCCCAGGTTCAAGTGATTCTCCTGCCTCAGCCTCCCGAGTAGCTGGGATTATAGGCACCCACCACCATGCCTGGCTAATTTTTGTCTTTTTAGTAGAGACAGGGTTTCACCATGTTGCCCAGGCTGGTCTCGAACTCCAGACCTCAAGTGATCTGTCCGCCTTAGGCTCCCATAGTGCTGGGATTACAGGTGTGAGCCACCGTGCCCGGCCCGGGTCCACTTATTCTGAGATAATTCTGTTACAGCTTTTTTTGGTAACTTACATTTAATCATTAGATACTCCTTCTTTGCCTCTTGAGGTATTTCTGTTTTTTAAAAGCCCTTATTTAAAATGTAAAATAAATAATGGTAAAAGTAATGATGTTACCCATAAACAAAGTTTTAAAATTGGTTGCTTATTAGCCAAACAGTGGTCTGCAGTGGTAACCAACCTCTGAAAAGATTATGCCTTTTTTACTCATTCAAAAATTCCCCCTCCTGCAGAGCTTCTTCAATTTTAATGTGTATATGAATCAGTTGAGGATCTTGGTAAAATACTGATTCTGATTCAATATGTCCCTGGGTAAGGCCTGAGATTGTGCATTTCTAACAAGCTCCCAGGGGAGGCTGGAGCTACTGGTCCCTAGACCAGACTTTTTTAACTCCCTTCCCTCCCTTGAGAACTACTGGTTTGGCTTAGATCCAGTGTTGGACTTGGATGGTTGAGTGGTGAGTGATCATAAAGTAAGAGTTTCTATTGTAAGCCTGCCCGTCTAGAAATATTTTGAGCAATTTTAGTAGAGCTATTTATAGCTGTTTCTTTCCAGGTAGGATCAGAGAAATATATGCTTCTGAATAGGTTAAATTTTCTTCCATAATATAATGCTGCCCTGAATGCAGAAATGTGCCTATCACTTGTAATTTTCCTGGAAGGCGTGAGACTGCTTGGTAATTGTGTACATATTTAAGGGAAACTGAGTAATGGAGGACAGAATAGAACAATTAACAAATTCATGCATCAGATAACTTGCTTTCATTAAAGCCATTGTTACTCTTATTTATTGATTGTTCCTGATGATAGGACATCTGCAGATTTCAAAAAGTGTGTTTAGTGTGAATTTCATACTGATGGCATTTCTCTGCTTTTGACAGTTTCATATACTTAAACTTGTCATTAAAACACAGCATCTTGCCTTGAGCCAAATGAAACTTTGAATAGAGCCCAAATTTATGAAATTGTTAATTTCTCTTTACATCTAGATTTTACTTTCAGTAATTTCTATCTGCTAACACAAATAGAAAGGTAATCTTTCATTTGGTTGCCATCCTTCAAGAGCCTCTCTCTGCCCTTCCCTCCCTGCCTTCCTGGATCTTTCCTTTTGTCTTTACAGACCTAGATTTTGAAAGGTTCTAGGTTCCTTTTGTCTGTTGATACTATGTGAATGTTATCCTTAAGTTTTTAATTCAGGCTACAACTAGACAGATAATGTGTCTCACAATTAGCTGGGGTGAGAGAGTTAAAATGGAAGTTAAGGATTCAGGGGATTCCTACAGATGGGTGAAGAAAAAAGCTCAATGTTAGGATCCTTAACAAAGCATTTTGATTGGCATATGGAGACCTTTGCGTGAACACAAATGTTCATATTTGAATATTTATAGAAGATAATCTGTCAAAATTACTGTTATTTTAATTTGCCAAGCTTGGCTGATTGCCGCAGTTGGATGTTAGTTGAATTCAAGTTGAAGAGTTGTAAATATGTTCTGGTGTGGGACATGCTTTTTGTCCTTGAAGCTGTTTGAATTTCTTACTTCTCCCACCTACACCCCCTTCTTTAAAACTGCGAGGCTTTTTTGTATTAGTTGAACTTTCATGTTCTTTTTTAGGAAAAAATATTAAAGTAGGATGTTAACTGTATGGATTAAAAATTTTTTTTAACTAAATTTGTTGACATTTGGTGATCAGGAATTGTTTAAATAATTTTAACTATTTGTCCAATCTTTGCTTCAAAGGACCTGTTCCTGGAGACTCAAATGTAGGGATATATATCTTATTTGAATGGTTTTGTGTGGGATATGTTTCACATTAACAGCAAAGAAAATGTAGACTTCTAGATAATTGATGTTTCCCCTTTCTTTTATCTCACTTGAACAGCTAATAATTTTAGTGACCCAGATTCAAGCAATAATACCTGTCTTCATAATTGTCATGTGGTTTTGTCAGCTTCTTATATTCTAGGGGAAGGAAGATAAGACTTTTTTAAATATATTGAAATAACTTGGTTAATAAATACTTTTTTTCTCTTTTTAGAAGCCAGGAACCTGTTCTCTTTCCATAGTGTCTCCTCACTCAGAAAACGTTGTGTTCTCCTGCCTCAGCCTCCTGAATAGCTAGGGTTACAGGCGCCCGCCACCATGCCCGGCTAATTTTTTTTTGTATATTTAGTAGAGACGGGGTTTCACCTTGTTGGCCAGGCTGGTCTCAAACTCCTGACATCAGGTGATCTGCCCGCCTTGGCCTCCCACAGTGCTGGGATTATAGGTGTGAGCCACTGTGCAGGAGAATGGCTTGAACCCAGGAGGCAGAGGTTGCAGTGAGCTGAGATTGTGCCATTGCACGCCGGGCTGGGCAACAAGAGTGAAACTCCGTCTCAGAAAAAGAAAGAAAGGGAAAAAAACCCCAACACACTGTATTAATTATTGATGCAGTATCACTATTCTTACTGAGACTACATTATTTTAGCTTTAGAGATGATATAGTGGCTTTCTTAAAGTTATATGACATTTTTTTGGGAGCAGGGCTGTATTCTGTGCCCCATGTACTAAGCTATCTTGTCTCATTTAACTAGCCACTGTTATCTGAATAGTTGAGTTTTACATGCGTAACCACTTGACCTGATTAGTCTTAATTTTTTTCCTGATGTTTTTATTTCTTTATCTCTTAGAAAATGACATAATTGAATCAGTTTTGTTGGTTATTACTTTAGCTAGAAACTATGTCAAGTACTACATTTCAGTTTTTTTTTTTTTTTTTTTTTTTTGAGACAGAGTCTCGCTCTGTCACCCAGGCTGGAGTGCAGTGGTGCAATCTCGGCTCACTGCAAGCTCCTCCTCCCAGGTTCACGCCATTCTCCTGCCTCAGCCTCCCAAGTAGCTGGGACTACAGGTGCCCGCCACCATGCCTGGCTAATTTTTTGTATTTTTAGTAGAGACGGGGTTTCACCATGTTAGCCAGGATGGTCTCGATCTCATGACCTCATGATCTGCCCGCCTTAGCCTCCCAAAGTGCTGGGATTACAGGAGTGAGCTACCGTGCCCGGCCTACATCTCAGTTTTATTTAGACTTTGTTTTGGAGTTTCAGGAATTTGAGGTTTCAGGAATGTATTTTGTATTTAGAAAATTAAGAGTGGAACTTTTATAGTATTTTCTGTCTTTCACAATCATCCATCTTCATTCTCATTTGACTTTTTTTTGCTATATTTTTTTTCTAGAAGATTTTATATAATCTTTTCCTGTTACTACTTTTGCCCATTCTTTTTGTGACCATCTCCAAGTCATTTCCCTTGTATCTCACCGTCATTCCTTATTATCTTCCTAGGAAAACTTATTTGTCCAACTCTGTAGCTATCCTCTGGCTGGATAACAAAATTATTAATAATTCCTTAAGATGTTACCCTAGCTACTAATTTTGTAATAGTCCACCATGTGTTCACTGTGTAAAGGGTTCAGAGGTGACTGTTGTACCTAATGCACCACAGATGTGGAAGTAATAATAAAATTTACATATATGTAAGGTGAAAATATTGCTAATACGTTCCCTTGGGTCTGGCCATTCTGATATGCTTGCTAAGTTTGGAGGCTTATTTTGTAATGGTTCTTTCGGATTTCTTAAGGTGAATTAGACATTATGTTTACCTTGAATTTTAATTGGTATACTTTTGGTTAAGTAGGTTAAAAGTCAATGGAATAAAAGTTAAGCCAGAAATATAAAAAGTAATAAGCCATTTTTCAGTGTGATTTGAAAAACAATTTAGCTGTATTTCTTGCTATAAAAAAAGAAGTAAAGAACACTATACAGTGGACTAAGATTTTCTAAGTAAACTAATTTTGATAAAGGTTAATTCCATGGTGATAGCAGATGTTGGGGATTGGCATCCATATGTCAGATTTCACATAAAAATTTAGCTTTCTACTGTTTTTTATTTCCTTAGGAAGAACTATAAAACTTAAATTTGTATAGAAGGTATGATAATGCTATTTTAATAAACAGAATTTGTTATTTTGAAAATTGGGTAGTAAGGACAACCAGTGAATTGTACTACTTATTGATTTTTTTAAAAAAATGTATTTTTAATTTTCGCGGGTACATAGTAGGTATATGTATTTATGGGATACATGAGATGTTTTGACACAGGCGTGCAATGTGTAAAAATCACATCATGGACAATGCAGTATCCCTCCCCTCAAGCATTTATCCTTTGTGTTACAGACAATCCAAATACACTCTTAGTTATTTAAAAATGTACAATTAAATTATTGATTGCGGCAGCACCCCTCACACAGGGGCACCAGCTGCCGGGGTCTGCCCATAGACCCTGACCCGGCCACGGATGAATAAAGTACACTGACACACAGATATTCTGTTTTGCCAGTCCAGCTGAGGGTGTCTCAGCTGTTTACAGACTCCCTGGAGGGTTCTGTAAACAGTTGTGACCATGACCTCGATCAGCAAGTGAGACTTGCATTTATGCGGTAAGATTAATTAACAAAGGCTTGAGTCAACACCATTAGAGGTAATTGACATTGTGGACTTTCCAAGTAAAAAGCCCTTAATCACCCATGGCACATCAAAGGTTAGTCTTAAGATTATATGAGTAAACAAGCTAGCTAGGTAAACTACTCTGCCTTCCTTTATTACTAGTTTAATTTGTTTAAAGGTAAAGATCAGGTTGCCTTCAACCATGTCTATTACTGAAGTTATGCAAACTCTCGGCCTTCCAAGAAGATTTGTGTCTGTCTCTATAACTATCTTCAATATTTTTCCCACCAGCCTGATTGAACCCCAGTAATTGATTATAGTCACCCTGTTGTGCTGTCAAATACTAGGTCTTATTCATTCATCCTGTTTTTTTGTACCCATTAACCATCCCCACCTCTCCCTCATCCCACCACTACCTTTCCCAGCCTCTAGTAACCATCCTTCTTTTTCCATGGGTTCAGTTGTTTTGATTTTTAGATCCCACAAATAAGTGAGAACATGAGATGCTTGTCATTCTTTGCCTGGCTTATTTCACTTAACGCAGTGACCTCTGGTTCCATCCATGTTGCACATGACAGGATCTCATTCTCTTTTATGGCTGAATAGTACTCCACTGTGTATATGTACCACATTTTCTTTGTTCATTCGTCTGCTAATGGACACTTAGCTTGCTTTCAAATCTTGGCTATTGTGAACAGTGCTACAGTAAACATGGGAGTGCAGATATCTCTTTGATACACTGATTTCCTTTTTTGGGGCTATATACCTAGCAGTGGGATTGCTAGATCATATGGTAGCTAAATTTTTAGTTTTTTTAAGGAACGTCCAAACTCTTCTTCATAGCAGTTGTACTAATTTACATTCCCACCAACAGTGTATGAGGGTTCTCTTTTTTCCACATCTTTGCCAGCATTGATTATTGCTTGTCTTTCGGATAAAAGCCATTTTAACTGGAGTAAGATGATATCTCATTGTAGTTTTGATTTGCATTTCTCTGATGATCAGTGATGTTAAACACTTTTTTTTTTTTTTTTTTGAGATGGAGTCTTGCTCTGTTGGCCAGGCTGGAGTGCAGTAGCATGATCTTGGCTCACTGCATCCTCCACTTCCTAGATTCAAGCAATTCTCCTGCCTCAGCCTCCCGAGTAGCTGGGACTACAGGCACACACCGCTATGCCTGGCTAATTTTTTGTTTTTGTATTTTAGTAGAGACAGGGTTTCACCATGTTGCCGAGGCTGGTCTCAAACTCCTGAGCTCAATCTGCCTGCCTCAACCTCCCAAAGTGCTAGGATTACAGGCGTGAGCCACTGTGCCCGGCCGAACACTTTTTCATACGTGTGTTTGCTAGTTGTATGTCTGTTTTTTTTTTGAAAATGTCTGTTCAGAACTTTTGCCTGTTTTTAAATTGGATTATTAATTTTTTCCTGTAGAGTTGTTTGAGTTTTTTTTTTTTTTTTTTTTTTTTTTGAGATGGAGTTTCGCTCTTGTTGCCTAGGCTGGAGTGCAATGGCATAATCTCGGCTCACTACAACCTCCACCTCCCGGGTTCAAGCAATTCTGTTGCCTCAGCCTCCGAAGTAGCTGGGATTACAGGTGCCTGCCACCACGCCCAGCTAATTTTTTGTATTTTTAGTAGAGACGGAGTTTCACCATGTTGGCCAGGCTGGTCTTGAACTCCTGACCTCAGGTAATCCACCCGCTTCCGCCTCCCAAAGTGCTGGGATTACAGGCCTGAGCCACCGTGCTTGGCCTAGCTTCTTTTATATTCTGGTTATTAATCCTTTGTCAGATGGGTAGTTTGCAAATATTTTCTTCCATTCTGTGGGTTGTTTGTTTGTTGCTTGTTTACTTTGCTGTGGAGAAGCTTTTTAATTTGATGTGATCCCGTTTGTCCAGTTTTGCTTTGGTTGCCTGTGCTTGTGGGGTATTACTTAAGAAATCATTGCCCAGACCGATACCCTGGAGAGTTTCCCCAGTGTTTTATTTTAGTCATTTCATAGTTTGAGGTCTTAGATTTTTGTCTTTAATCAATATTTTGATTTGAGTTTTGTATATGGTGAGAGATAGGAGTCTAGTTTCATTCTTCTGCATATATATATCCAGTTTCCAAGCACCATTTATTGAAGAAACTGTCTTTTCTGCCATGTATGTTTTTGGCACCTTTGTCAAAAATGAGTTCACTGTAGGCGTGTGGATTTTTTTCTGGGTTCTCGGTTCTATTGTTCTGTGTGCCTGTTTTTATGCCAGTACCATGTTGTTTTGTTTATTATAGCTCTGTAATATAATTTGAAGTCAGTTAATGTGATTCTTCTAGTTTGGTTCTTTCTGCTTAGGATGGCTTTGGTTATTCTGAGTCTTTTGTGGTTCCCTATAAATTTTAGGGTTTTTTTTATATCTCTGTTAAGAGTGTCATTGGTATTTTGATAGGGATTGCATTGAATCTGTAGATTGCTTTGGGTAGTATGGACGTTTTAACAATATTGATTCTTCCAACCCATAAACATGGAATATCTTTCCATTTTTTGGTATCCTCTTCAATTTCTTTCATCAATATAGTATAGTTTCTGTTACAGAGATCTTTCACTTCTTTGGTTAATTCCTAGGTATGTATTTATTTATTTATTTTGGTGGCTATTGTAAATGGGACTGCTTTTTAAATTTCTTTTTCAATTTGTTCACATTTCACATATAGAAATGCTACTTATTTTTGTATGTTGATTTTGTATCTTGCAACTTTACTGAATTAGTCAGTTCTTAATAGTATCAATTCTAATAGTTTTTTGGTGGATTTTTTATGTTTTTCCAAATATATGATCATATCATCTGCAAACAAGGATAAGTTGACTTCTCCTTTACAATTCGGATGCCCTTTATATCTTTCTCTTGTCTAATTGCTCTAGCTAGGACTCCCAGTACTATAATGAATAATAGTGGTGAAAGTGGGCATCCTTGTTATGTTTCAGATCGTAAAAGACAGGCTTTCAGTTTTTCCCCATTCAGTGTGATACTAGTTGTGGGTCTTTTGTATATGGCTTTTATTATGTTGATGTGTGTTTCTTCTATACTCATGTTTTTGAGGGTTTTTATTAGAAGGGATGTTGAATTTTATCAGTGTTTTTTCAGCATTAATTGAAATGGTCATATGGTTTTTGTCCTTCATTTGTTGATACGATATATGGTGATTGATTTGTATATGTTGAACCATTCTGGTGTCCCAGGGATAAATCTCACTTGGTCATGATGAATGATCTTTTTAATGTGTTGTTGAGTTCAATTTGGTAGTATTTCGTTATGGATTTTTGTATGAATATTCATCAGGGATATTGGTCCTTAGTTTTCTTCTTTTGATGTGTCTTTTTATGGTTTTGGTACTAGGGTAATACTGGCCTTGCAGGATGAGTTTGGAAGTATTCCCCCTCCTCTATTTTTCGGAATAGTTTCAGTAGGATTGGTATTAGTTCTTCTTTAAATGTTTGGTAGAATTCAACAGTGTAACCATTGGGTCATGGCTTTTCTTTACTGTCAGACTTTTAATTATGGCTTCAATTTCATTATTTATTATTGGTCTGTTTGGGTTTTGGATTTCTTCATGTTTCAATCTTGGTAGGTTGTATGTGTCTAGGAATTTGTCTATTTCTTCTAAGTTTTCCAATTTATTGGCATATATTTGCTAGTAGTAGCCACTAATGATTCTTCGGATTTCTGTGATATCGGTTGTACTGTCTCCTTTGTTACCTCTGATTTATTTGGATCTTCTTTTTTCCTTAGTCTGGCTTAAGGTTTGTCCGTTTTAACTTTTCCAGCAACCAACTTTTTGATTCATCTTTTGTATTTTCTTTATTTCAATTTCCTGTATTTCTGCTCTCATCTTTATTATTTATTTTCTTCTACTACTTTTGAGTTTGTTTTCCTCTTGCTTTTTTAGTCCTTAAAATGCATTGTTAGCTTGTATATTTAAAGTTTTTCTTCCTTTTTTTGATGTAGGCACTTGTAGCTATAAAATTCCCTCTTAGTACAGCTTTTGCTGTATTCCATAGGTTTTGGTATATTATGTTTCCATTATCATTTGTTTCAAGGAAGTTTTCAATTTTCTTCTTAATTTCTTCATTGACCCACTTGTCATTCAGGGGCAAATCATTTAATTTACATATATTTGTATAGTTTCCAAAATTCCCCTTGCTATTGATTTCTAGTTTTATTTTATTGTGGTCGGAGAAGATGTTTGACACTATGTGGGTTTTTTTTTCTTTAAATGTTTTAAGACTTGTTTTGTGACCTAACATATGGTCTATCCTTGAGAATGATCCATATGCTAAAGAAAAGAATGTATATTCTGTAGCTGTTGGAAGAAATATTCTTTAAATATCTATTAGATCCGTTTGGTCTATTTCTTTGTTGATTCTCTGCCTGGAAGATCTGTTCAGTGCTGAAAGTGGGATGTTGAAATCTCCAGCTATTATTGTATTGGAGTCTTTCTCTCTTTAGCTCTAATAATATTTGCTTTATATATCTGGGTGCTCCACTGTTGGGTGCATATATATTAAAGTACTTTTTTATATCCTCTTGCTGAACTGACCTCTTTATTATTATATAGTGACCTTCTTTGTCTCTTCTTACAGTTTTTGTCTTGAAATCTATTTTGTCTGATACAAATATAGCTTCTCCTACTCTGTTTTGGTTTCCATTGGCATGGAATATCTTTTCCATTTCTTTATTTTCAATCTGTGTGTGTCTTTATAGGTGAAGTGTGTTTCTTGTAGGCAACAGATTAATGGGTCTTCTTTTTTTAAATCCATTCAGCTATCCCGAGTCTTGTGATTGGTGAGTTTAGTCCATTTACACTCAGTGTTATTATTGACAAACAAGGACTTATTCCTGCCATTTTGTAATTTGTTTTCTGGATGTTTTGTGGTCTTCCCTTACGTCTTTCTTTCCTTCCTGTCTTCCTGGATGTTACAGCCTACTACCCACCTGGGGTATATGGTATAGCCTATTGCTTCTAGGCTACAAGCCTGTACAGCATGTTACTGTACTGAATATTGTAGGCAATTGTAACACAGTAGTAAGTATTTGTGTACCTAAACGTAGAAAAGGTACAGTAAAATTATGGTATTTATAATCTTTATTTTTGTAGACAGAGTCTTGCTCGGTTGCCCAGGGTGGAGTGCGGTGGCGCGATCTCGGCTTACTGCAACCTGCGCCTCCTGGTTCAAGCAATTCTCGTGCCTCAGCCTCCCAGGTAGTAGCTGGGATTACAGATGTGCACCACCATGCCCAGCTAAGTTTTGTAATTTTAGTAGAGACGAGGTTTCACCATATTGTCCAGGCAGGTCTTGAACTCCTAGCCTCAAGAGATCCCCTGCCTTGGCCTCCCAAAGTGCTGGAATTATAGGCATAAGCCTTCGTGCCTGGCTGGGTATTTATGATCTTATGGGACCACTCATATATGCAGTTCGTTGTTGATTAAAACCATCATTATGTGGTGCATGACTTTACTTTGTATGACAAGTTACTGAACGTTCTAAAGGAGATATGAAAGTAACTTAGGTTTGATTTTTGTTTGAAATTGTGATATTTTTGCCGGCTGTGGTGGCTCATGCCTGTAATCCCAGCACTTTGGGAGGCCGAGGCGGGTGGATCATGAGGTCAAGAGTTCAACAGCAGCCTGGCCAAGATGGTGAAACCCCGTCTCTATTAAAAATACAAAAATTAGCCGGGCATGGTGGCGGGCGCCTGTAATCCTAGCTACTCAGGAGGCTGAGGAAGAGAATTGCTTGAACCTGTGAGGCGGAGGTTGCAGTGAGCCGACATCACGCCACTGCACTCCAGCCTGGGCGACAGAGTGAGACTCTGTCTCAAAAAAAAAAAAAAAAAAGAAAAAGAAATTGTGATGTTTCTTTCCCATTCCAAGACCATCCTTTTCTTAGTACTCTTTCTTTCCTTTAGAGCTAGGCTAGTGGGGAGCAGAATCATGAGCTTAAATTAGTGGAATATGTGGACATTGGGTAGCATGGGGAGAAGTGTTTCAGCTTCTTTCTCTAAACTTTAATTTCCATTCTTTGGTGCTTAAAGTGGTGTTTTAATCACTTGCATCTGGTTCAAGAGGGTGTCTGATTCTTTGCAAAGCTATTCTATCGACAAAAAGCATTCACAGTGTTTTCCTAGTGGATTAATATTGGGTTGACATCTATTTGCATGTTAAGTGCTGTATTGTTATCATTTGGCATTTATTAACTAGCCTTGATATACTGTGCATTAGTTGGCATTTATACATGTTTTAGTCCCTGCTCTAGAGAAAATATCCTAAAAGGGAGCTAATTGTGGGAAATAGAGCCTTTTCTCACATATCCAGCTGCCTGGGAGCTTTCCTCTAAAGACCTTTAAGCATTGGAAAGTCATTCTTCAAGTAGTTAAGATAGGAAATGACAGTCGTGTAAAATAGGGCCTTAAAAACAACTACCAGGTAGACTCATGATAGTGACCCTACAGGGAATTAACAACATAGATATGATTTTCTCAAGGAGTTGGGAATCTTCTTATTAAAATTAGAGCAGTGAAATTGTTCCCTTCTCTGTAGAATATAAAAACAAAATCAAAAACAAAACAAAAAATCGATCAAACTTCTCTCCGTGTGTTAACAAAACGACCATGAGATCTGTGGAGGAAGGAAAAAGGAGAAAACTTTATTTTCAGAGTAACAATCTGCAGATAAGGGAAAGTAACCTCTGGTGGAACTGTAAGCACGTGCTTCACCGAAGGGGAGTGAACAGTAGTATTTAAGCCTTCTAGGGTTTGTTTTACATGCATATCCATCATGTAATATGAATTGTTTGAGGAATGTCTATGAATATATATGGGGAAGTCTAGTGCATGCACAGTGAGTTAACATATAAGTAACATACATCCCATCTTCGCTTCAGGGCACAATTTTAGCATTAAAATGAGGTGGAATTCAGCTCTTTATGTCAACAGGTGAACTATAGAGCACAAAGATATTTTGTATGCAGTCTCTATAAGCTGGCTAAAACTGGCTTAGGGTCTGTAGCATTTTAGCAGGAAAGAATGTTTGTAGGACTGGCCTCCTGTCCTATCAGTGCTGTTGGTAGGACCCTCAAGGCAGGGTTGTCCCAGTTGTCTTTATCAGGCAGTTTACCAAGATCGGTTGGGCAGTTTCTCTAGAACAGATTTCTGCCTAATAGAAGAGGAAAACTTCATGGCAGTTAATAAGAAAGAATGTTTGTAAGAATGGCCTCCTGTCCTATCAGTGCTGCTGGCAGGACCCTCAAGGCAGGGTTGTCCCAGTTGTCTTTATCAGGCAGTCTACCAAGATTGGTTGGGCAGTGTGTCTCTAGAACAGATTTCTGCCGAATACAAGAGGAAAACTTCATGGCAGTTAACAAACCCTTTGGTAGTTAACAATGTACGTATGTATGACCAAACCCTTGTTCCTGCTATGGCCATTTAATTTTCTCTCTTGAGGGTCTTATCTTAGCTACAGAAAGTCCATCTTATCTATCATTGTTGACCTTTGGATCACAGCTAGTAGTGGTTTGAGGACAGAATGTATCAATGTATCAATAGTTTCTGTCTTGTCTTCACCGCTGAGTAGGTATACAAAACTTAGTCAAGTCAAATCACTTCTTTTTTTTTTTTTAAATTTATTTTTTTATGATACTTTAAGTTTTAGGGTACATGTGCACATAGTGCAGGTTAGTTACATATGTATACATGTGCCAAGCTGGTGCGCTGCACCCACTAACTGGTCATCAAATCACTTCTTTACCTCAGTTTTCTCCTCTTCAAAATGGAGATAATGCCTACCTTACAAATTGATGGTGAGAATTAAATGAGGAAATGTGTGTAAAAATGTGTTGTATGCCTGGTACCTCTTTGGCATGCAACTTTGTGTTTTCCTCCTTCCTTTGACATTAGTAATATTTGGATTTCACTCTTTGAATTCAGTGGTTACTTGGTTGTGGAATCAAATTATTTTGTCTTTCCAAACCTCATTTTTCTCTAACATAAAATCAGTAATACACACTTTATGAAGTAGTGGTTGAAATTCAGTTCCTAGTGTAGTCTAGGAAGATTTTCTTGAATCTGAATGTCAAATTGCTAAAAACTTGTATAAATTTGTGAGTTTTGCTGTGTAGATCTTTTGGACATGAAAATACAATATCTTTTTAAGAATTAAACAGTAGGAGAAATATACTAAGGGAAAGTAAGTCTCTAGAATGTTTTTTGGGGGACTCTACAATAGCTTACTGCATTACAGTTACTGTAATTCATCAAGATAATAGGGAAATTATGCATCCAAAGGATTTATTTACTTGAAATAGCACCTCTAGAAGGGATATTCATAGAGCAGTAATATAAGAAGTGAGACACTTGAACATACCTTTTTCTTTGCTTTTTTTTTTTAATCTTAGGTAACTTCAGATTTTAATAAGATTTCACTATATAATGTTTTGTGGGCAGATATTGTAAAATCTACTGAAAATTTCCCAGTTTAGTAATTACCAAAGAAATAATAAACCAATATTAAAGTTCAGTTACAAAATTAAAGTCAGGACTCACAAACAAATCATGTTAAATGAGTTATGAATTAAATTAGTGTTATTGTTGAGTTTAACTGTGTGTCAAATCAATATAATTTCTTTGACATAATCACAGAATAGAAATCAATGTATGTGTGGTACATTGTATTGAAGGGTTACAAAGTGATGAACTAGTGAGTATGTATTTTTAAGGATGTTATAGACCTATGAATTTCAATTATATTTGTTTAAATGTGAATCACTTTTATAAGCAGCAGCAAAATATCATTGCCTTTGTATTTTGTAGCAGGTGATTTAGCTTTTGTGTATATTCAGATAAATATAAATTTTAATTTATTTTATTTTGACTAAAGTTTAAGAGATAATTTAGCATATTGTTTGCTAATCACTTTTAAGTAATCTCAGTTTAGCTGGTTGTGGTAATGTGTGCCTGTAGTCCCAACTACTCTGGAGGCTGAGGTGGGAGGATCCCTTGAGCCTAGGAATTTGAGGATGTTGTGTGCTATTGTTGTGCTTGTGAATAACCACAGCATGGTACTCTAGCCTAGGCAACATAGCAAGACCTTGTCTCTTATAAAAAGAAAAGGAAAAAAAAAAGAAATTTCAGTTAATAATTTTATTTGACATGTTACAGCTCCTTATTTGACCCTGAAAATGTTGCAGTGAGAATAGCCTTTGCATGCATAGTCCTTAACCCTGAAGAAAAGGATAAAAGAAAATAAAATCAAAACTTAGTTGAAAATCAGGAAGTGCGGACAAGCTTCTGTCGAGAAAATGGAGGTGAATTTATGTGTAAATGTTAAAGACATATGGATATGTTGATTATAGCCATCTTTAAGTGTTTGTGTTATAGGCAGACGGTTTGCAGAGTTAGAGTAAATGGATTAAAGATATTGCTAAAATTAAAATAACTTTATTTTTCAAGTTTTTTTGGTATTATGTTTGTTTTTTCAGGAAACCAGATACTTAAATATAAAACTCGGTAATTATTTTTGTAACTATTTTATTAATAATTTAATGTTAACTACTAGAAGTCTATAATTTTACATTGAATATACAAAATATTATTTGGGCAAATGATTATTAAAATAATATCATAGTAATATACATCCCCCCTTTTTGTTATGGTAAAATGTACATAACACAATTCACCATTTAATCATTTTTAAGTATACAGTTCATTGTTATGCAACCATCATCACTATCTCCAGAACGCTTTCATCATCCTGAAATGAAACTGTGTGCCCGTTACATAATAATTCCCCGTTACTTATTATCTCCCCTTTAATCACTATTCTACTTTCTCTCTCTCTGATTTTGACTATTCTAAGTATCTCGTATGAGTGGAACCACACAAAATATGTCCTTCTAGGACTGGCTCATTGTATTTAGCATAATGTCTTCAAGGTTCATCCATATTGTAGCATGTATCAGAATTTCAGTTCTATTTCACGATGATTAATATTCCGTTATATGTGTATACCACATTTTGCTTATCCATTTATCTATCAGTGGACATTTACATTGTTTCTACTTTTGGCTATTGTGAATAATTCTGCCATGAACTTTGGTATGCAAGTATCTGTTTGAGTGTGTTAATATATTTTCTATATATTTTAACAGAAATTTGTTAGTTTACATATTTTTACTTAAACGAGCTAAATATCTGAATTTTCAGTGTTATCAGTGAATATTTATTGAATACCTTGTATATTGTAAGTATTGTGGGGGTATAAAGAGTTACAATATCATGAAACTATTGTTTTAAAGAATTTACAGTCTAATAACAGTAATAGGGTGTGTTTATAAAGACACAGAACCTGGTAGCATATGCTTTTTGAAGCTGAAGAGATATCTGAGCTCTGATGCAAACCAGCATCGTTTCTTGCCAAAATTTTTGTTTGTTATCCTGAGCAGTTAGGAGGCAGATACATGGCCACAGTCAACATATGCATATTCCATTCAAGCATAGCATTTAACCTTCAAGGATGAATTTTGGGGTGATCATATCAACATGGAAATTAGATCATGACATATCTTTAAAGTCTTCTCCATGGACCTTATCTTTAGGTGAGTTACTTTCCTTCTACCAAACTGCCACCTTAACTCTGACCTCATCTCCTATCCCCTACTCCCACCTTGCACTGGGTAATTTTTTGTTGTGGATACATTTCTTATGTATGTAAACTGGCTTAAGTGTAAACAAGGTAAAAGTCATAAGGAGGAACTACATATATGTTTCAAGGTTCTTTCCAGCTTTATGATTCTAATTTAATCCCTGTGGTACCTGTGTGTTGCCAGTGAAAGAAAACAGAGTTAGCATGCTTAGAGGTTTCACAGCAGAGCTGCTTTGTGGTGATTTTTAAAGGCTAAAACTTTGAAATAAAAACAGTTTGGTATGTTTCAGTGGTCTCTTTTTCTTCTCTTTCAGAGTACTTTTCCTGGAAAAGCAGAATAAGTCTTTTATGAATTTAGTCATAACTTTGCAGTTTAATTGGACTTTTAGGGTTTTTCTATGTGTGCAAGCTGGACCTTTTGAAGTTTAACACTGGAATACTAGCATGAGAGTGTTCCTACTCTTAATTTCCACTGAGTTAGACCAAAGGAAAACATATATTTTAGATTCATATTTTCTTTGAATGATGTTTTGGAGCTCAAGATGAACTTTAAAAAACACAGCTAAGCAGAGCTTCTAAAAGGTAATACTGTAGTAGTATTTTTTTCCTCCATGTTAATCTACTTGGCTCCCCATAGTGAGCTTGAACTGTGAGTGGTAAAGACTCATTACTTTGTAGGGTGTCCTGGCCCTAAAAATAAAACTTCTTTCTCATAGCCTACAGCCTATGAATGTGATTATTCTGTAAGCCTCTGTAAGTCACTGTAAGAACAGTGACTGTGGCTTCATTTTTATTTATTTTATTTTTCTTATTTATTTATGAGACAGTCTCACTCTGTCGCCCAGGCTAGAGTGTAGTGGCTTGATCTTGGCTCACTGCAATCTCTCCTCCTGGGTTCAAGTGAATCTCGTGCCTCCACCACCCAAATAGCTGGGATTACAGGTGTGCGCCACCATGCCAGGCTAATTTTTGTATTTTTTTTGTAGAGATGGTGTTTCGCCATGGGCCTGTCTCAAACTCCTCCTCTCAAGTGATTCACCTGCTTTGGCCTCCCAAAGTTCTGGGATTATAGGCATGAACTACTGTGCCAGGCTTGTGGTTTCATTTTTGTAAAACGTTTAGTAGAGTTGGTGCCTTGCACATAATAAAATGTATCTTCTGAGGTTATGATTCCACATAAAAAATGAAAACTTTAGGAGATAATTACAGAAGTGAAGAAAGATGAATGAACAAGGATGGCCATCTATTCATTCAACACATAATGAGGTCTACTATGTATCAGACACACCACTAAGTACTGGAAATACAGCAATGATAAATTAGATAAATTAGGGAATTTAGGTTGTCTAGAACAGTGAATGGCATGTAATAGGCGCTTAAAAATATTTGAATACATGAAGGTCTGTTTTGTAGAAAATGATTTATGGTATGGAACATTTTAGTGAGGAAGTGGAACGTGTCCCATCGTATTAGGGACACGTTCATTCATTAAAAAAATGGAAACAAACTGTTTATTAATATGGAGACTACTTAAGTCGGTTATGGTAATACATAGAATGTAGTACAGAAAAGCCCTTAAAAAATGAGATATTTATTGGCTGACACAGAAAGATGTTCTAATTTACCTAATGTTGAATTAAACAAAGTAAGCTGTTGAATAGGATGTATGGAATGATTCCTTTAATGTAAGGTTATTTATATTTCTATAAAATGTCACAAGGTATGGTGGAGAAATGATAACAATGAATGATTCTAACAGGAGGTAAGTTTTTCGCTGATCTTTGCTGTATTCTTTATGCACTTCTGTGATTGTTTTACCATGATCATGTGCTACTGTTTAAAAATAATAAAGCTGCTTAAAAATGTTTCTGGATAAATTTTTTTAAACTTAATATTCTATCTATAAATAGTGTTACTGGTTGATGGTCCGTTGTCCTGTAAATGTAAAAGTGTTATTAAAGAATTCTGCATTTTCTTTCTAAAGAAATATAGTTAACCAGAGTTCACTTTGATACTCAACATTTACCTTTAATGTTTATTATTTATTATTCATTTTTTAATATATTTTTTTGAGACAGGGTCTTCCTCTTTCACTGAGGCTGGAGTGCAGTGGCATGATCTTGGCTCACTCCAGCCTCCATTTTCTGGGCTCAAGTGATCCTCCCACTTCAGCCTTCCAAGTAGCTGGGGCTACAGGAGCGTGCCACTACACCTGGCTAATTTTTGTAATTTTTGTAGAGGCCGGGTTTTGCCGTGTTGCCCAGGCTGGTCTCAGACTCCTGGGCTCAAGCAGTCTGGCTGCCTTGGCCTCCTAAAGTGCTGGAATTACAGGCATGAGCCACCATGCCCAGCCTACCTTTAACATTTAACAACATTTACCTGTAACACTCATAGAGTGTAGTTTTAAAATGAATAATAGCATTTACAAATGTGTAGTAGCAGGAATATATTTAATAATAATTTTAATTTTGTTTTGGAGGTACTTTGAGGGAGGTATGTCTACATAATTAAATGGCAAAGAACGGAAGTTTTTAAGTTTTTTTGTATACTTATAAATTTAATTTGGATTTAGTTATTAATAAATATTAGGTTGAACTGCACTTTTAATCTAAAGATTTATTTTGGCACTCATTTTTGCTTATTATGACTTCTCATTTTCTTAATTAGAGGAGAGAAGACATGTTCTTTGGGCGTCCTGGTTATGTCTAGTCAATAGTCTTAGTTTTCACAGGATAGTACGGAATGTTAAATTATTACTACCTATTTTCTTAATTTATTTCAATAACTTGCTGTTTTTATCAGGAAAAATTAATGAACTAATCAAAATGTTCCATTCTATACATAGTTTGCTCATAACAAACTCATTTTTTTAGAAATGTTATAGCAACCTTATTTTTTTTTTATCCTCCACAAGATCATTTTAGTGTAGTTACTGGAGTTTCAAATCATACGTAATTCAGTTTGAAAACTATGTCTATGGTTCTGTTTAGTAACATTTTAGATGATATTATTTAAAAAGGTTAACATTGCTTAGTTAAAAGTTATCATTATTCTTTTAAAACAAGTTTTATTTTTCAGACCACACAGTCCTTTGAATTCTGATGCATCAAGTTTCAAACAGTTTTTTGTTTTTGGGGATACTTACCTATGAGATCTCCAGAAATTGTATATTTAGCTATGAAAATCTTCAGAAACTGTGAGCATATTAAGCACACATATAAGACTGTAAACCTTAGAGGATGATTTTAGATTTCTTTCTCTTTTTTACTTTTTATTTTTGAAAAAAATAAGCCCATTCCAGTTTAATGAATATGATAATTTGAAATCCAGGTAGAATAATGTATCTCATTTTCGCCCTCATATTTTAAAGTGAGATAGTTTATAAAATGGAGAATAAATCATGTTGTTAGATGTTGACTCTTATAGTATAAAAGTATGAATCTTATATAGTGATATTCTATTTTAAATGCTTTATATGTTTAAATAATTTAGAAGAAGGGAATTATAGAAAAACTGAAACAAAATGCTTGAATTAATACTATAAACATGATGTTAGCATTTATAATTGATATTTTAAATTGTTACATAAAAATGTATGAGTATGGATAAAAACATATATATTAGTCTAAATGAAATTAATGGCTTCTTTTATACACTCACAATATTTATACTTTTCTTTAAGTATATCAGATGTTGATAAGTGTTCTAGAGAAAAGTAAGTACATTAGGGATGGTAATAAGGAATGTTGGAATTGGGAAGATGCCATTTTTATATAGAATGGTCAGGGAAGATTTCACTAAGAAGGTGATAGTTGAGTGATGCTCTGAATTTGGTGAGGGACATAGCTGTGGGGATATTCGGATAAGTGTGTTTCAGACAAGATCAAAAGCCCTGTGTTGAGTGCAGGCTCTGCATATTTAGAAACATAAGAAATTTAACTGTGCATGGCACAAGGTGGTCTTATATGTTAAAAAAATACATTTTTTTGGTTTCATTTTTGCTTTCCTGGTACATTCTAAGATATGCTGAAATTGAGATTTACTTGTCTTGCTTATTGTATCTTGGGCACCCACTACAGTGCCAAACACATGGCAGGCAATTTGTTGTGGATGATGAGAAAGAATTTTGGAGGAATCTTCTTCTTTTTTTTTTTTTTTAAATTCATACTACCAAATTATTTCAAGCTACAGAGGTCTTTAGAGATCATTTAGATAACTCTTTTGGATGTTATGCATGAGAAGACATGTCATTAAATAGAATGACTTCCAAAAGTCACCATTAATTAGTAGCAATCTTGAGTTGGCAAAGATTTTTGGTCTCTTAGTCTAACTTTAGTCCATTGATGGGGTGATCCTTTTGTTTCAGTTGTCTCATCTATGCATGGGAAGATACTTGCTATGGAAAACCTCCTTGCTGTGGAAGAACTCCTTGCATCTAGAATCAGATTGCTTGGTTGAAATTCCTGTTTGACAGTACTAGCTTTGTGATTTTCTCCCTCTCCCGACTTTTCCTTTTGGTGCCCTGGTTTTCTTGTCTGTTAGACAGATATTGTTATTCTCATTCCAGTATTCTTTACACCATAAACATTTTCTCATTAATCTTCTAATTTACCAACTCAGAGTGTTATTTCCTTTTTTTTTAAAGGGATTTATGATGAAGAGAATAGGAGTTTGAAATTAGGTGTTCTTGGGTTCTATAAAAATTTAATTCTTAAGGTTATTTGTTAGTATGTATCAAACTCTTATTTAATGAATGAGGAAAACATCAGCAAGACAAAAGAACTGCTTTCAAGAGTATTTGAGCATCAGGAGTTCATGTATTCATTTAGGAAAGGAATGTCAAAATAAAATTTTTTAAAAATTATACTTTAAGTTCCAGGGTACATGTGCGCGACGTGCAGGTTTGTTACATATGTATACATGTGCCATGTTGGTGTGCTGCACCCATTAACTCGTCATTTATATTAGGTGTATCTCCTAATGCTATCCCTCCCCCCTCCCCCCACCCCGCAACAGGCCCCGGTGTGTGATGTTCCCCCTCCTGTGTCCAAGTGTTCGCATTGTTCGGTTTCCACCAATGAGTGAGAACATGTGGTATTTGGTTTACTGTCCTTGCGATAGTTTGCTCAGAATGATGGTTTCCAGCTTCATCCACATCCCTACAAAGGACATGAACTCATCCTTTTTTATGGCTGCATAGTATTCCATGGTGTATATGTGCCACATTTTCTCAATCCAGTCTATCATTGATGGACGTTTGGGTTGGTTCCAAGTCTTTGCTATTGTTAATAGTGTCGCAATAAACGTAACGTGTGCATGTGTCTTTATAGCAGCATGATTTATAATCCTTTGGGTATATACCCAGTAATGGGATGGCTGGGTCAAATGGTATTTCTAGTTCTAGATCCTTGAGGAATCACCACGCTGTCTTCCACAATGGTTGAACTAGTTTACAGTCCCACCAACAGTGTAAAAGTGTTCCTGTTTCTCCACATCCTCTCCAGCACCTGTTGTTTCCTGACTTTTTAATGACCGCCATTCTAACTGGTGTGAGATGGTATCTCATTGTGGTTTTGATTTGCATTTCTCTGATGGCCAGTGATGATGAGCATTTTTTCATGTGTCTGTTGGCTGCATAAATGTCTTCTTATGAGAAGTGTCTATTCATATCCTTCGCCCATTTTTTGATGAGGTTGTTTGTTTTTTTCTTGTAAATTTGTTTAAGTTCTTTGTAGATTCTGGATATTAGCCCTTTGTCAGATGGGTAGATTGCAAAAATTTTCTCCCATTCTGTAGGTTGCCTGTTCACTCTGATGGTAGTTTCTTTTGCTGTGCAGAAGCTCTTTAGCTTAATTAGATCCCATTTGTCAATTTTGGCTTTTGTTGCCATTGCTTTTGGTGTTTCAGAATGAAGTATTTGCCCATGCCTATATCCTAAATGGTATCGCCTAGGTTTTCTTCTGGAGTTTTTATGGTTTTAGGTCTAACATTTAGGTCTTTAATCCATCTTGAATTAATTTTTGTATAAGGTGTAAGGAAGGGATCCAGTTTCAGCTTTCTCCATATGGCTAGCCAGTTTTCCCAGCACCATTTATTAAATAGGGAATCCTTTCCCCATTGCTTGTTTTTGTCAGGTTTGTCAAGATCAGATGGTTGTAGATGTGTGGTATTATTTCTGAGGGCTCTGTCCTGTTCCATTGATCTATATCTCTGTTTTGGTACCAGTACCATGCTGTTTTGGTTACTGTAGCCTTGTAGTATAGTTTGATGTCAGGTAGTGTGATGCCTCCAGCTTTGTTCTTTTGGCTTAGGATTGACTTGGCAATGCGGGCTCTTTTTTGGTTCCATATGAACTTTAAAGTAGTTTTTTCCAATTCTGTGAAGAAAGTCATTCGTAGTTTGATGGGGATGGCATTGAATCTATAAATTCCCTTGGGCAGTATGGCCATTTTCACGATATTGATTCTTCCTATCCGTGAGCATGGAATGTTCTTCCATTTGTTTATGTCCTCTTTTATTTCATTGAGCAGTGGTTTGTAGTTCTTCTTGAAGAGGTCTTTCACATCCCTTGTAAGTTGGATTCCTAGGTATTTTATTCTCTTTGTAGCAATTGTGAATGGGAGTTCACCCATGATTTGGCTCTCTGTTTGTCTGTTATTGGTGTGTAAGAATGCTTGTGATTTTTGCACATTGATTTTGTATCCTGAGACTTTGCTGAAGTTGCTTATCAGGTTAAGGAGATTTTGGGCTGAGACAATGGGGTTTTCTAAATATACAATCATGTCATCTGCAAACAGGGACAATTTGACTTCCTCTTTTCTCAATTGAATGCCCTTTATTTCTTTCACCTGCCCGATTGCCCTGGCCAGAACTTCCAACACTATGTTAAATAGGAGTGGTGAGCGAGGGCATCCCTGTCTTGTGCCAGTTTTCAAAGGGAATGCTTCCCGTTTTTGCCCATTCAGTATGATGTTGGTTGTGGGTTTGTCATAAATAGCTCTTAGTATTTTGAGATAAGTCCCATCAATATCTAATTTATTGAGAGTTTTTAGCATGCAGAGTTGTTGAATTTTGTCAAAGGCCTTTTCTGCATCTATTGAGATAATCATGTGGTTTTTGTCTTTGGTTCTGTTTATATGCTGGATTATGTTTATTGATTTATGTATGTTGAACGAGCCTTGCATCCCAGGGATGAAGCCCACTTGATCATGGTGGATAAGCTTTTTGATGTGCTGCTGGATTCGGTTTGCCAGTATTTTATTGAGGAGTTTTGCATCTATGTTCATCAGGGATATTCTCTTTTTTTGTTGTGTCTCTGCCAGGCTTTGGTATCAGGATGATGCTGGCCTCATAAAATGAGTTAGGGAGGATTTCCTCTTTTTCTATTGATGGGAATAGTTTCAGAAGGAATGGTACTAGCTCCTCCTTGTACCTGTGGTAGAATTCGGTTGTGAATCCGTCTGGTCCTGGACTTTTTTTGGTTGGTAGGCTATTAATCATTGCCTCAATTTCAGAGCCTGTGATTGGTCTATTCAGAGATTCAACTTCTTCCTGGTTTAGTCTTGGGAGGGTGTATGTGTCTAGGAATTTATCCATTTCTTCTAGATTTTCTAGTTTATTTGCATAGAGGTGTTTATAGTATTCTCTGATGGTAGTTTGTATTTCTGTGGGATTGGTGATGATATCCCCTTTATCATTTTTTATTGCGTCCATTTGATTCTTCTCTCTTTACTTCTTTATTAGTCTTGCTAGTGGTCTATCAATTTTGTTGATGTTTTCAAAAAACCAGCTCCTGGATTCATTGATTTTTTGAAGGGTTTTTTGTGTCTCTATCTCTCAGTTCTGCTCTGATCTTAGTTATTTCTTGCCTTCTGCTAGCTTTTGAATGTGTTTGCTCTTGCTTCTCTAGTTCTTTTAATTCTGATGTTAGGGTGTCAATGTTAGATCTTTCCTGCTTTCTCTTGTGGGCATTTAGTGCTATAAATTTCCCTCTACAGACTGCTTTAAATGTGTCCCAGAGATTCTGGTATGTTGTGTCTTTGTTATTACTGGTTTCAAAGAACATCTTTATTTCTGCCTTCATTTCGTTACGTACCCAGTAGTCATTCAGGAGCAGGTTGTTCAGTTTCCATGTAGTTGAGCAGTTTTGAGTGAGCTTCTTAATCCTGAGTTCTAGTTTGATTGCACTGTGGTCTGAGAGACAGTTTGTTATAATTTCTGTTCTTTTACATTTCCTGAGGTGTGCTTTACTTCCAATTATGTGGTCAATTTTGGAATAAGTGCGATGTGGTGTTGAGAAGAATGTATATTCTGTTGATTTGGGGTGGGGAGTTCTGTAGATGTCTATTAGGTCTGCTTGGTGCAGAGCTGAGTTCAATTCCTGGATATCCTTGTTAACTTTCTGTCTCATTGATCTGTCTGATGTTGACAGTGGGGTGTTAAAGTCTCCCATTATTATTGTGTGAGAGTCTAAGTCTCTTTGTAGGTCTCTAAGGACTTGCTTTATGAATCTGGGTGCTCCTGTATTAGGTGCAAATATATTTAGTATAGTTAGCTCTTCTTGTTGAATTGGTACCTTTACCATTATGTAATGGCCGTCTTTGTGTCTTTTGATCTTTGTTGGTTTAAAGTCTGTTTTATCAGAGAGTAGGATTGCAACCCCTGCCTTTTTTTGTTTTCCATTTGCTTGGTAGATCTTCCTCCATCCCTTTATTTTGAGCCTACGTGTGTCTCTTCATGTGAGACAGGTCTCCTGAATACAGCACACTGATGGGTCTTGACTCTTTATCCAATTTACCAGTCTGTGTCTTTTAATTGGAGCATTTAGCCCATTTACATTTAAGGTTAATATTGTTATGTGTGAATTTGATCCTGTCATTATGATGTTAGCTGGTTATTTTGCTTGTTAGTTGATGCAGTTTCTTCCTGGTATCGATGGTCTTTACAATTTGGCATGTTTTTGCAGTGGCTGGTACTGGTTATTCCTTTCCATGTTTAGTGCTTCCTTCAGGAGCTCTTGTAGGGCAGGCCTGGTGGTGACAGAATCTCTCAGCATTTGCTTGTCTGTAAAGGATTTTATTTCTCCTTCACTTATGAAGCTTAGTTTGGCTGGATATGAAATTCTGGGTTGAAAATTCTTTTCTTTAAGAATTTTGAATATTGGCCCCCACTCTCTTCTGGCTTGTAGAGTTTCTGCTGAGAGATCCACTGTTAGTCTGATGGGCTTCACTTTGTGGGTAACCCGACCTTTCTCTCTGGCTGCCCTTAACATTTTTTCCTTCATTTCAACTTTGGTGAATCTGACAATTATGTGTCTTGGAGTTGCTCTTCTCAAGGAGTATCTTTGTGGCGTTCTCTGTATTTCCTGAATTTGAATGTTGGCCTGCCTTGCTAGGTTGGGGAAGTTCTCCTGGATAATATCCTGCAGAGTGTTTTCCAACTTGGTTCCATTCTCCCTGTCACTTTCAGGTATGCCAATCAGACGTAGATTTGGTCTTTTCACATAGTCCCATGTTTCTTGGAGGCTTTGTTTGTTTCTTTTTACTCTTTTTTTGTCTAAACTTCTCTTCTCACTTCATTTCATTCATTTGATCTTCAATCACTGATACCCTTTCTTCCAGTTGATTGAATCAGCTACTGAAGCTTGTGCATGTGTCATGTAGTTCTCATGCCATGGTTTTCAGCTCCATCAGGTCATTTAAGGACTTCTCTACACTGGTTATTCTAGTTAATCCTTCGTCTAATCTTTTTTCAAGGTTTTTAGCTTCTTTGTGATGGGTTTGAACTTCCTCCTTTAGCTTGGAGAAGTTTGATCGTCTGAAGCCTCTTATCTCAACTCATCAAAGTCATTCTCCGTCCAGCTTTGTTCTGTTGCTGGCCTTTGGAGGGGGAGAGGCGCTCTGATTTTTAGAATTTTCAACTTTTCTGCTCTGTTTTTTCCCCATCTTTGTGGTTTTATCTACCTTTGGTCTTTGATGATGGTGACATACAGATGGGGTTCTGGAGTGGAAGTCATTTCTGTTTGTTAGTTTTCTAACTAACAGTCAGGACCCTCAGCTGCAGGTCTGTTGGAGTTTGCTGGAGGTCCACTGCAGACCTTGTTTGCCTGGGTATTAGCAGCAGAGGCTGCAGAACAATGCATATTGCTGAACAGCAGATGTTGCTGCCTGATTGTTCCTCTGGAAGCTTCATCTCAGAGGGGTACACGGCCATGTGAGGTGTCAGTCTGCCCCTACTGGGGGGTGCCTCCCAGTTAGGCTACTCGGGGGTCAGTGACCTACTTGAGGAGGCAGTGTGTCCGTTCTCAGATCTCCAGCTCTGTGCTGGGAGAACCACTACTCTCTTCAAAGCTGTCAGATGGGGACATTTAAATCTGCAGAAGTTTCTGCTGCCTTTTGTTCGGCTATGCCCTGTCCACAGAGGTGGAGTCTGCAGAGGCAGGCAGGCCTCCTTGAGCTGCGGTGGACTCCACCCAGTTTGAGCTTCCAGGCCTCTTTATTTACCTACGCAAGCCTCAGCAATGGCAGGTACCCCTCCCCCAGCTTCGCTGCCACCTTGCAGTTCGATCTCAGACTGCTGTGCTAGCAATGAGCAAGGCTCCGTGGACATGGGACCCTCCGAGCCAGGCGCGGGATATAATCTCCCGGTGTGCCATTTGCTTAAGACCATTGGAAAAGTGCAGTATCAGGGTGGGAGTGACCCGATTTTCCAGTGTCATCTGTCACAGCTTCCCTTGGCTAGGAAAGGGGATTTCCTGACCCCTTGAGCTTCCCAGGTGAAGCGATGCCTCACCCTACTTCAGCTCACGCTTGGTGGGCTGCACCCACTGTCCTGCATCCACTGTCTGACAATCCCCAGTG
The DNA here is from genome assembly GCF_000001405.40 of Homo sapiens. NCBI lineage: Eukaryota > Metazoa > Chordata > Mammalia > Primates > Hominidae > Homo > Homo sapiens. The sequence goes on from NC_000014.9 coordinate 65,528,585, forward strand.
AGATGAACCTGGTACCTCAGTTGGAAATGCAGAAATCACCTGTCTTCTGCGTCGCTCAGGCTGGGAGCTATAGACTGGAGCTGCTCCTATTTGGCCATCTTGGAACCATTGAGGATCAAAATAAAATTGATAAGATACACAGAAGACTGGTTAACTTTCTGTATGACAATGAAGCCATATAACTTAAGGGAAACTGAAGTTATATGGCTTCATTGGAAACTTGGATGTAAATCTTTGAATTTAATTTAGATATCATCAAGATCTTTATCATCATCTTGAGTATCATAAGATACTGGATTTTATCATCTCTAGGACCAAGTATATTGGTTTTATTGATTTTAGCAGATTCTAGAAACTTGCCATATGCCTTTAGACTTCTAGCTTCATGTGCATGGTATTTTAAAATAACATCAGATTTGTTATCCTAATAGTCTCACAGACCAACCAGTATAATGTCTGAGGTATTTATTCACTTCTTTTTTCTCAATTTTCCTCTCATATGACATAACCTCTTTACACCATCAAAGCACATTGATTCTAATCATCTGTTTTCCTTCATTTTGATTACCTACTCTTGTCTATCCCCTTTATATACCAACTCTCCTTTTTGGGGTTCTTATTTTTACTCCTGCCTCTATTTTTCTTTTTCTTTTTCTTTTTTTTTGACACAGAGTTTCACTCTTGTTGCCCAGGCTGGAGTGCAGTGGCACAATTTTGGTTCACCGCAACCTCTACCTCATGGGTTCAAGCGATTCTCCTGCCTCACCCTCTGGAAGAGCTGGGATTACAGGTGCATGCCACCACACCCTGCTAATAGTTTTTATTTTTAGTAGAGACGGGGTTTCACCATGTTAGTCAGGCTTGTTTCGAACTGCCGACATCAGGTGATCCATCCATCTTGGCCTTCCAAAGTGCTGGGATTACAGGCGTGAGCCACCACGCCCGGCCTCCTGCATCTGTTTTTACCTCCCTTACCTTACTCTTGGGCATGGCAGCAATGGCAGCCTTACGGTGTCCTGGACTCCTCTCTGGTGGTTGTGTTGGCTGTGGTGGCTGCTATTTTGAGGGGTGTGCATGAATATGTAGTCCCAGGAGGCTTGGTCACTTAGCGGGGGATGTTTTGCAACCAAGGTCTTTAGAGGCATGCTCAGTGGCAGCAAATCTTTAACTTCTTTTTTCATCTTTTGTTTTTTGTGCTAACATTTTTAAGGTTTTCTAGGGCAGTCTAGAGTAACATTTACTCTTGTGCATTCTTACCCTCATTTCTAAGATGGACCTCTATTGAGTGACTCTCTGTTGGATGTCCCAAGGATTCATTGAGGACTCTGTCTTGCCTGTGAGAACTTAAATGATTCCTGGCCCTTTGTGAGCTCTGGAAATTACTCAGCACTAACTACATCATAATTTTTCTTTCCTGGAAATTGGTTTTGCTCTGTATCATTGGTTTTTACCCTATGCACATGTAGATTAGTATTGATATTCAGGTAATTTAAGGATATCCTTTTTTTAAAGAAAATAGGTCTTTCTGTAACTCTCTCACTTCAGGAACTTTCCCCCAAAATTCTTGTTGTGTTGGCCTTTCTGTATTATGACCTCTTGTGTTTTTTAACTCAGCAATGGCACTAGATTCTATTAGGGTTTCACCTCCTACATACTACAGTCCCAAAAGTGCTTTCAGAGAGAAATCTCAGGCAATTATAGGGCTCACCTTTTTGTTTGTTTGTTTCCCTTATTACAGAAATCAGTTTTGAGCTGATTTTCAATGTCAGATCATCAGTTGTGCAATGTCATATACATTGTTTGTCCAGTTTTCTAGTTGTTTACATTTGGAGGGTAATTCTCGATCCTATTACTGCTGCATGGGTGAAGGTAGAGGTCTCCTAATACTTTTAAAATTGAGAAAATCCTTAGCAAGTGATATGTCTCACCCATTTCAAAGTGAGTTCAAATGCTATTATATGTAAAATTTCATTTTTAAATGTTATTTAAATTAATTTTAGTAACAACATTTGTGTTATTCTTTCATACATAGCTGTTAAGTAAAGCCTGCTTTGGCTGCTTTTCATCTAATATTAGTTACCAGTCAACTGATGCGTTAAATTAAAGTTGATATAACTCTAATGATTTATAAGAGTTGAATCTTTTTAGTACTTTAATGCCCTACTGAAGATCACTGCCTGTTTTATGGTGCTCTTGCGTGTATGCTCTTACGTTCTCTCTCTCGCTCTTTCTCTCTCTCTCTCTCTCCCTCCCTCCCCCTCTCTTCCTCTCTCCATCTCTCCCCAGAATTTGATGTAACAACACCAAAAACCTCATGACTTTACCATATTTTACTGTATCTCAACAGATAGAATATAAGACCAATTTTTTTATTGGTAAAAAGTATGGGAACTTTTTACCAATAAAAAAATTGGTCTTATATTCTATCTGTTGAGATATAGTAAAATATGGTGTTTAAGTTTACTACTTCTTACTCTTTCAAATTCCTTCAAGTAGCTTAAAAGCATTGGAAATTGTAAGCAGAATGCTAATGTAAATTGGTGGGAAGTAATTGGGAATGTCTCATTAAATATGACATTAAAAAAAGGACGTTTAAAAATTTTTTTCGAAAGGATATGAGGTACTCACGAAAGATTTAAATTAATGGCTCTTATGCTTATGATTGAGTCATTTGGTGACATTAGCTTCATTCTTTATTATTTAGTGCTTACAATATTTGAGTTCCTGTACTAGGTGTGAAGTGTACCATATCTGATTATTATATGTCTATGCTATTCTTAGAAGAGGAACTTGAAAATCTTAGGGGAGTGTTTGAAGATGAGCCAGTTAATTAGCATTGTGATTTAGGTGTTGTGTGCCCAGGGCATCAGAATTGTACATTGTGAGTCTTAAAAAAAAATGAGGAAATGTAGAGCCATAATTTGGATACCTCTGAAGAGATGAGGGTCAGGGTTGTAATTTTAGGTGAGAAAACTACAAATGCATTAATTCTGACAAATGGCCACAAAATTTGATTTCATTACCTTTTACTATTTTTGAACTATTAGTTTAGGTTCAGAGGTATCTGTACAGGTTTGTTATATACGTAAACTTGTGTTATGGGGGGTTTGACATACAGATTATTTCATCACCCAGGTACTAAGCCTAGTACCCAATAGTTATGTTTTCTGTTCCTCTCCCTGCTTCCACTCTCCACCCTCTGGTAGGCTCCATTGTCTATTGTTCCTTTCGTTGTGTTTATGTGTTCTCATCATTTAGCTCCCACTTATAAGTGAGAACATGTGGTATTTGGTTTTCTGTTCCTGCATTAGTTTGCTAAGGATAATGGCCTCTACTTCTATCCATGTTACTGCAAAGTACATGATCTCATTTTTTTTTATGACTGCATAGTGTTCTGTTGTGTATATGTACCACATTTTCTTTATCCAGTCTACCCTTGATAGGCATTTAGGTTGATTTCATGTCTTTGCTATTGCAAATAGTGCTTCTGTGAACGTAGGCATGCATGTGTCTTTATGATAGAATGATTTATGTTCTTTTGGTTATATACCCAGTAATGGGATTCCTGGATCGAATGGTAGTTCAATTTTTAGCTCTTTGAGAAATGGCCACACTGCTTTCCACAGTGGTTGAACTAATTTTACACTCCCACCAACAGTGTGTAAGCATTCTCTTTCCTCTGCAACCTTGCCAGCATCTGATTTTTTTTACTTTTTAATAATAGCCATTCTGACTAATGTGAGATGGTATATCATTGTGGTTTTGATTTGCATTTCTTTAATGATTAGTGATGTTGAGTGTTGATCAATGTTGGGCTTTTTTTCATATACTTGTTGGCTGTATATATGTCTTCTTTGGAAAAGTGATCACATCCTTTACCCACTTTTTAATGTGTTTATTTTTTTCTTGTGAATTTGCTTAAGTTCCTTATAGATGTTGGAAATTAGACCTTTGTCAGATTCATAGACCTTTACAGTTGCAAAATTTTCTGTCATTCTGTAGGTTGTTTGTTTTCTCTGTCGATAGTTTCTTTTGCTGTAGAGAAGCTCTTTAGTTTAATGAGATCCCATTTGTCAGTTTTTGCTTTTGTTGCAGTTGCTTTTTGTGTCTTTGTCATGAAATCTTTCCCAGGTCCTATGTTCAGAATGGTATTGCCTACGTTGTATTCCAGGCTTTTTCATAGTTTTGGGTTTTAAGTCTTTAATCCGTCTTGAGTTGATTTTTGTATGTAGTCTAAGAATGTGTCCAGTTTCAATCTTCTGCATACGGCTAGCCGGTTATCCCAGCATCATTTTATTGAATAGGAAATCCTTTCTCCATTGCTTGTTTTTGTAGGCTTTGTTGAAGATCAGATGGTTGTAGATATGCAGTCTTATTTCTGGGCTCTTTGTTCTGTTCCATTGGTCTGTGTGTCTGTGTTTTTTGTTTTGTTTTGTTTGTTTACCAGTACCATGCTGTTTTGGTTACTATAGTCGCATGATATAGTTGGAAGTTGGGTAGCATGATGCCTCCTGCATTGTTCTTTTTGCTTAGGATTACCTTGGCTATTTGGGCTGTTTTTTGGTTTCATATGAATTTTAAAATAGTTTCTCTAATTCTGTAAAATGTCGTTCGTAGTTTGATAGGAATAGCATTGAATTTGTAAATTGCTCTGGGCAGTATGGCAATTTTAATTTTAATGACATTGATTTTTCCTGTCCACGATCATGGAGTGTTTTCCCATTTGTGTCATCTCTTGATTTCTTTGAGCAGTGTTTTGTAATTCTCATTGTAAAGATCTTTCACCTCTGTGGTTAGCAGTATTCCTAGGTATTTTATTCTTTTTGTGGCAGTTGCGAATGGGACTGTTTTCCTAATTTGGCTCTTGGCTTGGCTGTTGTTGCTGTATAGGAATGGTAGTGATTTTTGTACATTTAATTTGTATTGTGAAACTTTGCTTAAGTTGTTCATTAGCTTATGGTGCTTTTGGGCTGAGACATTGGGGTTTTGTAGGTATAGAATCATGTCATCTCCAAACAGTGATAGTTTGACTTATGCCCTTTATTTTTTTTTCTCTTGCCTGATTGCTCTTGAAAGGACTTCCAATACTATGTTGAATAGTAATTGGTGAGAGAGGGCATCTTTGTCTTGTGCCAGTGTTCAGCTTTTGCCCATTCAGTGTGATGTTGGCTGTGGGTTTGTCATAAATGGCTTTTATTATTTTGATGTATGTTCCTTCAATACCTAGTTCATTGAGAGTTTTTAACATGAAGGGATGGTGACTTTTGCCGAAAGTCTTTTCTGTATGTATTGAGATGATCATGTGGTTTTTGTCTGTAGTTATAGTTGTGTGATGAATCATACTTATTGATTTGCATAAGTTGAACCAACCTTGCATCCCAGGGATAAGCCCTACTTGATCATGGTGAATTAGCTTTTCAATATGCTTCCGGATTTGTTTCGCTAGTATTTTGTTGAAGATTTTTGCATCAGTGTTCATCAAGGATATTGACTTGAAGTTTTCTTCTCTTTTTTTTCCTTGAGAAACAAAGGTACTTTTTTTTTGTCTTTGTTTTTTGAGCCAGGGTCTCACTTTGTCACCCAGCCTGGAGTACAGTGTGCAAACATGACTCACTGCAGCCTTAACCTCCCAGACTCAAGTGATCTTCCCACTTCAACCTCCTGAATAGCTGAGACTATAGGCATGTGCTACCATGCCTGGCTAATTTTTATTTTATTTTATTTTTTATTTTATTTTATTTTTAGAGATGGAGTTTCACCATGTCGCCCAGGCTGGAGTTCTCTTTCTTTGTTGTATGTCTTCCAAGTTTTAGTATCATCATGATGCTGGCCTTATAGAATCATTTAGGGAGGATTCCCTTACCCTCAATTTTTTTGTAATAGTTTTAGTAGGTATGGTACTAGCTCTTCTTTGTACATCTGGTAGAATTAGGCTGTTAATCTGTCTGGTTCAGGGCTGTTTTTCTTTTTTTTTTTTTTTTGGTTGGTAGGCTATTTATTACTGATTAAATTTTGGAGCTCATTATTGGTCTGTTCAGGGATTCAGTTTCTTCCTGGTTCAGTCATGGGAGGGTGTATGTGTTCAGGAATTTATCCATTTTTTTCTAGACTTTCTAGTTTTTGTGCCTAAAGGTGTTCATAATTGTCTGGTTATTTGTATTTCTGTCCAATCTGTAATAATATCCCCCTTTGTTGTTTTTGATTGTGTTTATTTGGATCTTCTCTTTTTTTCTTTATTAGTCTAGCTAGTGGTCTATGAATCTTGTTAATTTTTTCAAAAAACAAACTCCTGACTTCATTGATCTTTTGGATGATTTTTTGTGTGTGTGTTTCAGTCTCCTTCAGTTCAGCTCTGATTTTGGTTATTCTGCTAGCTTTGGGATTGATTTGCTCTTGCATCTCTAGTTCTTTTAGTTGTGATATTAGGTTGTTAAATTGAGATCTAATATATATGTATATATGTTATATATACATATGTATATAAATGCTATTTTTTAATTTTATTTTTTATTTTTTATTTTATTTTATTTTTTTTGAGACAGTCTCGCTCTGTTGCCCAGGCTGGAATGCTATGGCACGATCTTGGCCCATTGCAGCCTCTGCCTCCCAGGTTCAAGCGATTCTCATGCCTCAGCGTCATGAGTAGCTAGGATTACTGACGTACACCACCAAGCCCAGCCAATTTTTTATATTTTTAGTAGAGACGGGGTTTCACAATGTTGGCCAGTCTGATCTCGAACTCCTGGCCTCAAGTGATCTGCCTGCCTTGGCCTCCCAAAGTGCTGGGATTACAGGTGTGAGGCACTGTGCCCAGCTCTTTCTAACTTTTTGATGAGAGTGTTTAGTGCTATACATTTCTCCCATAACACTGCCTTAGCTGTGTCCCAGAGATGCTGGGTATGTTGTATCTTTGTTCTCACTAATGTTAAAGAACTTCTTTGGTTTCTGCCTTACTCAGAAGTCATTCAGCAGCAGGTTGTTTTATTTCCATGTAATTATATGGTTGTGAGTGATTTTCTTAGTCCCAACTTCTATTTTTATTATGCTGTGTTCCGAGAGAGTAGTTGGTATGATTTCCGCTCTTTTGCATTTGCTGAGAATTGTTTTTTGTCTGACTGTGTGGTCAGTTTTAGAGTATGTGCCATGTGCAGATGAGAAGAATGTATATTCTTTTGTTTTGGGGTAGAGTTCTATAGATGTCCATTTGGATCTATTTGGCCCAGTGTTGAGTTCAGTTCCTAAATATCTTTGTTAATTTTTTATCTCAATGATCTGTCTAATACTGTTGGTGAGGTGTTGAAGACTCCCACTGTTATTGTGTGGGAGTCTAAGTCTCTTTGAAGGTTCCTAGGAACTTGATTTATGAATCTGGATACTCCTGTGTTGGGTGCATATATATTTAGGATAGTTAGGTCTTCTTGTTGAATTAAACCTTTTACCATTATGTCATGCCCTTTTTTGTCTGTTTTGATCTTTGTTGGCTTAAAATCTGTTTTTTTCTGCTTTCCATTTGCTTGGTAGATTTTTCTCCATCTCTTTATTTTTTAGCCTACGGGTGTCATTGCACGTGAGATGTGTCTCTTGAAGACAGCATACCATTGAGTTGTGCTTCTTTATTTAGCTTGCCATTCTGTGCCTTTTAATTGGGGGCATTTAGACCATTTACATTCAAGGCTAGTATGGATATGTGTGGATTTGATCTTGTTATTGTGTTGTTAGCTTTTTATTATACCTACTTGTTTGTGTGGTTGCTTTATAGTGTCACTTGGTCTGTGTACTTCAGTGTGTTTTTGTAGTGGTTGCTAATGGTCTTTCCTTTCCATATTTAGTGCTTCTTTAAGGGGCTCTTGTAAGGCAAGTCTGGTGGTAATGAATTCCCTCAGCATTTGCTTGTCTGAAAAGGATCTTATTTCTCCTTCACTTATGAAGTTTAGTTTGGCCAGTTATGAAGTTCTTGGTTGGAATATCATTTCTTCAAGATATTGAATATAGACCCCCAATCTCTTCTGACTTATGAGGTTTCTTCTGAGAGGTCTGTTGTTAGTCTGTTGGGCTTCCTTTTGTAGGTGGCCTGTTCTATCTCTCTAGCTGCCTTTAACATGTTTTCTTTCATTTCAGCCTCATAGAATCTGATGATTATGTATCTTGGGCATAATCTTCTTGTAAAGTATTTTGCAGGGGTTCTCTGCATTTCCTGTGAATGTTGGCCTCTCTCTATAGGTTCAGAAAGTTCTCATGATGGTATCCTGAAAAGTGTTTTCCAGGTTGCTTCCAGTCTCCCCATTTCTTTCAAGGATGCCGATGAGTTGTAGATTTGGTCTCTTTACATAATCCCATATTTCCTGGAGGTTTTGCTATTCCCTTTTGTTCTTCATCTTCTTCTTCTTTTTTTTTTTTTTTTGCTGACTGTCTTATTTCAGAAAGCCAGTCTTCAAGTTCTATGATTTTTTTTCCTCAGCTTGGTCTGTTTTGCTGTTAATACTTGAGATTCTTATAGAGGTTTTTTCAGCTCTATCAGATCAATTATGTTTTTTCTGTACTGGCTATTTTGTCTTTCAGCTCTTGTATCATTTTATTGTGCTTCTTAGCTTGCTTAGATTGGCTTTTAGTGTTCTCCTGAATCTTGATGCTCTTTTTTCTTATCCATATTCTGAATTTTATTTGTTGTTTCAGCCATGTCAGCCCAGTTAAGAACCCTTGCTGGAGAACTAGTGTAGTCATTGGGAGGAAAGAAGACACTCTGGTTTTTTGAGTTGTTGGAGTTTTTATTATTATTACTATTATTACTATGATTATTATTATTATTACTTACATATTTTTTTTGACGGAATCTTGCTCTGTTGCCCAGGATGGAGTGCAGTGGCGTGATCTCAGCTCACTGTAAGCTCCGCCTCCCAGGTTCACGCCTTTCTCCTGTCTCAGCCTCCTGAGTAGCTGGGACTACAGGCACCTGCCACCACGCCCGGCTAATTTTTTGTATTTTTAGTAGAGACTGGGTTTCACCATGTTAGCCAGGATGGTCTCGATCTCCTGACCTTGTGATCCACCCACCTTGGCCTCCCAAACTGCTGGAATTACAGGCATGAGCCACTGCACCTGGCCGAGTTGTTGGAGTTCTTGTGCTGGTTCTTTCTCATCTTTGTGGGCTAATGTTTCTTCAGTCTTTGAAGTTGCTGTCATAAGAATGGGTGTTTTTTCTTTTATTCTGTTTGACGACCTTGGGGCTTTGATTGTGGTATAACATGGGTTCTGTGAACTGTTGTGCTGGAGTGGCCGAGGTGCCCTCGGACTGCTAGTCACAACACTTTGATAGGTGGTGCCAGCCAAAGCACTTCATAGGGTGATGGCAACGGGATCTATCCTTGTTCGCATGTGCCAGCGGCAGTGGCAATGTGGCGGGGTGCATGTTCATTGGCTGTAGCAGGGTGTTAGTGGGTGCTGGCCTCCCTGCAGGCATTCGGAGCAGTGAGTTCAGGTCTGACTCTTTAGTCCCCTAGGGCCAAAGTCTCCTATGGGAGCAAGTCGAGCCTAGTGGGTTAGGTGTCCCTGGCTGTGCTCCACTACAGATGCTCCCACACCAAACCCTCTGGGCTCTATCCTTACCACTTCTCGAAGCAGCTTTCCCTGCCAACTCAAGTGTCCATGGTGTTTGAGGGGTCTCCTCCTGCTGGGATTCCAGAGGCCTGTGGCCAGAGTGGGTCGCTCCTTGCCTGTTCAACTCACCCTCTCCGCTGGAGTTGTTGGGGACCAATAATGAGCCTTAGTGTGTGGTAGCTCCTGAAGGGTTTCCAGCTTCCTCTCTCTTCACATCAGCCCCTGTTCTTTCAGTGCCTTCCCTCTGAAGATCTGCTAGAAGTGTATCAGTCTCCCTGATGTCCTGGTCCCTCAGTTAGAGAGGTTCCTCCTGGCTGCATCTGGTCGACCATCTATGGCTCCTGGAGCTGAGGACATGAAGCAGTGAATACAGGACCCCAAGCTCTGGCTGGAGTGAGACAAAGACCCCACCATATCCCTGGAAGTCGCTACTGATATCTTTAAAAATTGCTGCTTCTAGGCCGGGAATGGTGGCTCACGCCTGTAATCCCAGTAGTTTGGGTGGCCGAGGTAGGTGGATTGCCTGAGGTCAGGAGTTCGAGACCAGCCTGGCCAACATGATGAAACCCTGTCTCTACTAAAAATACAAAAGTTAAGTGGGTGTGGTGGCATGCGCCTGTAATCCCAGCTACTCAGGAGGCTGAGGCAGGAGAATTGCTTGAACCCTGGAGGTGGAGGTTGGCAGTGAGCCAAGATCGCGCCATTGCACTCCAGCTTGGGTGACAGAGCAAGACTCTGTCTCAAAAAACAAAACAAAACAAAACAAACACAAAAAAAACGCTGCTTCTAGATAAATCCATTGAGTTTGGTGTAGCAAAAAATTGTTCCCCTTTAATTTTCTGCTGGCCGATATAAAATGAAGACATTTAATTATTCAAGATCTTTTAGATATTAGTTGTTACTCATTTGTGAGAAAACTCACATCGATACATGGTAGTCACTACATACACTTGCCAAAACTGCTTTTGTTTTTGTTCTATTATGGCTAAAAGAGATGGGTCTACCTGTAGTGTTACCTAGGCAATATGGATGTACACTGTATTTCATCGTCCTAAATTGCTTACCATTGAAATTCATATATTATGTTTGTTACTTTGGTAGTGTGTTCCCTTGTAACTCTGCCCGTGAAGAGTAATAATCCCTTGGTCAGCCATACCGTGTTTCTTTGATTCATTTGAAGTTGAGAGCAAGGGCTTCATCATTAAATAAATCTTTGCTCTTCCTGGTTTTGTGATCTTAGGCAAATTAATTAACCTTTTGTGTTTTACCTGATATTAGCATAGTTCAGTAGTTGAGTGGACTCTAGAGCTAGCTTGTAGGGATTTGAATCCTGGCTCTACTACTTAAAAGTATGTACGACTCTGGGCAAGTTACTAAATTTTTTGCTTCTTCTTTCTTATCTGTAAATTAAGGATAATATGGGTACTTATTTATGTACTAATAGAGATAATAGAGAATGTTTATTGAGTGTTTACTATGTGCCAGATTTAAACCTGGGTAAAAATAACATAATAGGGTTGTTGTGAGGCCTGAATGAATAAAATAAGTAAAACACTTTGTACAGGTTCCTAGTACATTTTCAGCCAATTATGTATAAAATGGGGTTGTGATAATTATAATGAAGCATATATGTCTGTGGAATAAGTATGGATCCAATATTTGTGGCAGAAAAAGACCACACTGTGTAACTCCATTGATTGGCTAATTGGTGGAGACACACAGAATGAGTCCCAACATTCTTTTAGGTAACTTGTATAAAACATATTAACTTTTCTCTCCCAGATCATGTGCAAGATATGGTAGATCCAAGAATCCTATCCAATGATACTTCAAAATTGTAACCTTAGTATACCTGTTGTGTTAAAAGTATTGTTTAGAATTGGCCACACTCGACAGATGGCCAGGGAAGTAAAAGCACTTATTGGGGATAGCTTTGACACCAGCTGTATTATATTAAAGATATGATATAAAACTTTTCTCAACATCAGTAGTGATTCTGAAGCTGTCAGAAATAGATAGGGAGTCATGATGCCCCTAAAGTTCATTTCCCCTTTCCTCTATAGTAATAGAACCCTGATTTTTGTTTGTTTGTTTTAACTGGGTACATGGATGACTAGAAGAAAAGACTATTTCCCAGCCATGTGATTAAATTCTGGCAAAAAAGAGATGAAAGCAGAAGTATTATGTGTGTACTTCTAAAAGACAGTGGCTCAGCTGGGAAGGCATACCTTTTTACCATTCAGTTTTCTTCCACTTTATTGAAAGTGTAATAACTGGAGCATTAACAATCATTTTGTACCATGAGGCAGTCTTGAAGATGGAAGCCAGGCATCTAGAGTGGTGGAAGAGAAAGCTAGAAGCTTGGGTCCCTGAGGACTTTGTGCAACCATCATCTCTACTTCACCTATCTCCAGACTTCTTTTACAAAAGAAAAAACCAAATCTCAATATTGCTTAAGCTATTGCTATGTTGAGATACTCTGTAATGTTCAGAATTGTATCCCTATACCAAGAGGAAGAAGTGTAAATAATGAAACACTGTTGAGATGGAATGGTTTATGTACACAGGAGCATGTGTTGTGTATGGAGAGCTGGAGAGTAGCATAAATAACTAACGAAGTGAGAAGATTGTAGATCTACTTTAATCATGCTAGTGAAACTGGAATATTGTATTAAAGGAAAATGTGAAACTTTGGAAAAAAGGAAATATGTAATAATTCAATGACATTTGTACAACTAGTTATCAGGTCACATTTTGATGGATATTGGGGATGGTTAAGAAAGCTAGGCGGCACAGATCACTCTGGTCTTTGGAATATAGATTAATGGTTTTTCATATGATTCTTTGTTATGCCATTGTTAAATGAAGTGTTTATAACCTTATTTTTTTCTGGTAAATCATATTTTATTAATGAGACTTCAAGTGTCTTATCTCAAAATGTTGGATTGGTAAATTTGAAAAAAATGTTAGAAAACATTAGCTATTTCCTGAGGGAGAGGTTGAGCCTTTACAACAAATGTTGATATTCTTTTACTTGTTAATATAAAGATGCGTAATTGTCAGGGTTGTCTAGAGAAACAGTACCAATAGGGTATAAATAAATAGATACATAAGAGGAGATTTATCATGGGATTATAGTCATTCAAGATGTCCCACCATATGCCATCTGCAGGCTGGAGAACAGGAAAGCCAGTGGTGTGAATTAGTCCAAGCTCAAAGGCCAGAAAACCAGGGGAACCCAAGGTCTAAGTCTCAGTTCAAGGTGGAAGGCCTTCGGAGGGGATTGCTGCTGCTGGATAAGTCTTGGAGTCTGAAGGCCCAACAATTAGTAGCTCTGGTATTTGAGAGCAGGAGGTGAAAGTACCAGCTCAAGAAGAGAGTGAGAATTCACCCATCCTCAACCTTTTTGTTTAATTCAGGTGGTCCTCAAAGGACTGAATGATGCCTGCTCACATTGGTGAGGGCACATGTTCTTTATTCAGTCTACTAATTCAAATGCTAATCTCTTCTGGGAACACCCTCACTGACACACCCAGAAATGATGTTTTACCAGTGATCTGGGTATCCCTTAACCCAGTCACGTTGACATAAAAAATTAACCATTATAAGATATTTTGGTTTTCATTCACAAATCATAAAAAATATTTGTGGTTTTCACTCACGAATATAAAAATAATTGTGGGGTTGCCTGTCCTTGTGTTAAAAGTATACATAGAGGAGATTTTCTAGTTTTCTCTTGCAATTCTTAAAGCCAGCATGTTCTTAATAATAGAAAAAAGCTGCCATTGATTCTGGTTCTGCTACTTACTGGCTTTATGACCTTGGGGAAGTTATTTAAATTCAGCGTACCTTAATTTTCTTCACTGTAAAATGGGGATAATAATACCTACCTACGTCGTAAGGGTATTGAGAGGATTAAATATTATGATATCTGTGAAGCAATTAGTAAAGGGCCTTGCATTCAGGAAACACTATATAAATGTAATCGTTATTATTATACTTAATGAGAGACCAGCGTAATAGGAATTATGACGGTCATTTTAAAGACAAAGTAATGCAGGTTCGGATATGTCCTGCTTGATTCTTTACTGTCCCATTTCTATATTAGCGGTGCCAGGATTTAGACCTTGTTCTGTCTAACCTTAGAGCCTGTACTTTCCAAGATCTTATACCATCATCCAACATTATCAGATCCCTCTGTGTCCTAACTGTTCACCTAACATATTATGTGTATTTGTCTTTAGCATATCAAACTGAGCCATAGTATCCCACAATGGTTGTACCATAATTTATTTGTTTCCCTTATTTTGTGAGATATATACTCTATGCCACTAATCTGGCCTATGTGTTAGTGAATTGAATACCAGCCAGTGATACCATTATGATATTCTTCATACATGCAGTAGTAAAGATTAGCCTTTAAAGGGCTTTCATGTCTCTTGTATGAAGAGTGCATGTTTACTGCACTTTTGAATCCCTACTATTCTGTAGAAACAGTTTTGAATGTGTTTGAATTTGCACCTTTGAATCTATTGTTCTTTAGAAACTGTTCCCTGGAAAGATTGTTAATGTTTATTCATTATTTGTGTTGTATATGACTAGGAATTTTTTATTTTTTTTTGAGACGGAGTTTTGCTCTTGTTGCCCAGGCTGGAGTGCAATGGCGCGATATTGGCTCACTGCAACCTCCGCTTCCTGGGTTCAAGCGATTATCCAGCCTCAGCCTCCTGAGTAGCTGGGGTTACAGGCATGCGCCACCATGCCTGGCTAATTTTGTATTTTTAGTAGAGATGGGGTTTCACCATGTTGGTCAGGCTGGTCTCAAACCCCTGACCTCAGGTGATCTGCCCGCCTCGACCTCCCAAAGTGCTGGGATTACAGGCGTGAGCCACCGCGCCTGGCCATGACTAGGAATTTTTTTTGCAATCCATTTATCTCTCCTTATAACTATTAAATGTTGTGTTTAAGGACCCTGCAGCTTATCAAGAGTTGATTTGAATGCAAGTTATTTCTTCGAAATTACATTTGGACCTATTTCTGAACATCTGCTTTTGACATTTTATGCACGTAAATATAAATGAGTAAACATATGAAAATGACTTTGAATCTTAGTTCTAATTCTTATAAGGCCTGATTTAATTTTTATTTTGCTTGGGATTTTGAATATAGGTATTAAATAAATATAAATTTGGATAATATGTATGGGCTTATTCAACAAATACTAATAAAGAGCTTGCTCTGTTTTAGGTGCTATGTATACTTTTAGCTCTTGCTCTACTGATACATACCTTTTAGTATAGGAAATAGATAAATAAGCCAATTTGTGTTATAATAGAGAATAATGGAAGAGGGTGAGTGTTTTTTTAAAAAAAACATAGAGTGTTGTATGTAGCATTCTTGTAGGGTATTGTAGTCATTCTTTCGTTCTTTCTTGTTTTTAGGGTCCCAGTTTTGTTTTGGAGCCTACCCTCAGGGATAAATTCTGATTAGTCTAAGCTGGTAATGGGAATCTATTCCATTTGTCAGTGATTGAGTTTACAAGGGACAGATGACTCAATCTTGGCTAGGAAGATGTGCAGGTCTTCAGGGGAGATGACTGTCAGTGGTTTCCTCTCTCTTAAAATTAAGAGACAGATTCCCAGTTGTTCTTTTGCACATAATTGCATATGGCTGGAATTGAGGCAGCTAACTTGCTACCAGGAAGAAAGTTAGCTAGAGGACAAAAACAGATATGCTAAGGTAGAATAGAAAGATGAAAAGGGATTTTTCACAGTTTCATTGAACCCCATTGAATTAGCTTTTTTGCTGTTGAGAAACTAAAATTTTCTTATTTTTAAAGTCACCTTGAGTTGCAATTTCTCTTGTATCCTAATGTGTCGTAATTGATACTAGTTGTCAGGGGCTGTTTTTTGGAAAAGAAGTATAATATAAGTAGAGATCTGAATTATAAGAATGAGCCAAAGGTGGAAGGAATAGCAAGAACAAAGGCTGCATGTTGGGTAAGAACTTGGCATATTCCAGAAACTGGCAGAAGGCTGATCTACTTGGTTTCTAAGCAAGGGAAAGATAATAACTAATATTTATAGATTGTTTTACTGTGTACAAATCACTTTTATGCATATTATCATAATCTTCACAATTATGTGAGTTTCTACGATTATGACTCCTACTTTATAGCAGGGTAAACTGTCCATATGTGATTGATTTGAAATGGTTGCTCTTTCTAATATTAACACATCATGGTGCCAATCAAGTATATATTATTTATGTGCACACACACACACAATTGGAGAAAATGGTGATATATATACACATTTCATTTGAATTTACTAGTATTACCATTTTTCAGCAGTATTAATTTATTTAGGGCTGAAGGTACAGATGGCAAGTCCAGATTTCTAGACCCATTTGAGTAGTTAATTGTATCAGTAAACACAGCCTGGTGTGTTATTGTGTGTAATTGTTAAGGTGAGTGAGATATTCTTGATAAGAACCTTATAAATGTGATTATGTGTTTGTACTTTATAACTAGGAAGATTAATTTCTAAGATATTGGCTGATTTCAGTGAATTAGTATTTTGTATTCATGTATTTATGATGCTGGCATTTTAAATTCATATGTATATACTATGACACTACTGATAAGAAATATGAAGTATGATAGATGAGTATAAGTAATGAATGAAAATCAAATTTTATAATCTTGGTAGGATTTATATGAAAATTTTCTTTTCTCTGTCCTGCTCTGCCCTCTTTTCCTCCCTGTCTTACCCTCTTCTTCTCTCTTTTCATCCTCTCCTCTTCCTTCCCCTCCTCTCCTCTTTCTTCCCCTCCCTTTCCCCCACCTCTCTTTTTCGTTGTCTTCATTTCAGTTTAGTTGGTTTTACCAAATGCTTTTACATAAAGTAAAAGTTTATTTCAGCTAGCATTAAAGGACCCTTTTAATTTATAATACTATTTTTACTTGTTCCTTTCTACTTCTTTCTTACATTAATAAACACATTATTTGTAAATTACCCTTTTCCCGTATAGGGAGCAAAGCAATAAAAAAGATTTTAATAAATTCTGTAACAATATTTAGTTAAAAAATGAATTGCGATCAAAGGAGAAGATATTTAAAAAATAGAGTCTTGGGCACATATTAATCCTGAATAGGATTGGATTATGTATGTACTATATATGGCTCTTAAAATGTTTGTACATTATAATTGATAATTAGCTTTTCTTTAAAAGTTTTATTTATAATTCTCTTTATCAACTTGAAAAATTTTTGTTTTCTAGTAGATTGTTAATGAAGAAAATGAGTGTGAAATATGTCATGCTCAATCTGTTACCTTGTAACAGTCATTCGTTAAATTTGCTAAATAAATGACTTCACTTTTCTGTTAAATTTTTCAGTTTATTCTATTATGTTGAATTACTTCAAGAAACACTTTGTAATAATGATTTTGGTTTTTACTCTTTTCAGTTGTTAAAAAAGTAAATTGATAACTCTTATAACTGCAGTGTATATTTTAATTTAGGAAATCACTATTATTTGAATAATTTATGATGATTCCTTTTATTCTGAGAAAAGGTTAGGTTAGTAAGAATGTTCAGTACAATTTCTCTGGTTTGTTAATTATATTACTAGTTATTTAAGTTGATTCTTATTGTCTGAAATTTGTGAAAAATATAGTTTTCACTTTAACATTTGGAAAGTTTATTACATCTATATAATAAATGCTGTTGAAATTTTTTTCATTAAAAGTAAGAATGTACTAGGTGATGATTTGCTGAAAAAATCTGTCTCATTGAAACTTAAATGCAAGGACATAATTTAGGCATTTAATGAAATAACAACTTTCAATTATTGACATTTTCAATTATAGTCACAAAATAGGGGTAATTTAAACTTTCTCTTAAAATTTTTGTCAACCTTATTGGAACATAATTTACATCAGTGAACCCATATTAAGTATACAGTTAGATGATATTTCTTAAATCTATATCCTCATGTAACTGTCATTTCCTTTCTTAATCAGTCATCTTCGTACTTGCTGGCAAGTACTAGTCTGATTTCCATCACTATCTGTTAGTTTCTTTGTTGTAGAACTTCATAATTTTATGAATTTAAGTTTTTAAGTCATTAGGCTATTCAAGTAATCTATTCTTTATTGAGCTTCAGTAGTTTGTTTCTTTTAGGGAATCTGTCCATTTCAGGTATGACTTCATATTTATTGGCCGAAAATAGAGTCATACAGTGTGTATTTTTTTTGTCCCTGGCATTTTTTGTCAGGCATGTTTTTGAGATTTAACCATATTGTGTATACTGGTAGTTGTTGTTTTTTTAAACTGATGAACAGTTTTCCATTGTATGAATGTGCCATAATTTGTTTATCCATTCACCTGCTTGAAGATGCCTGGATTGTTCCAAATCTTTGGCTGTTGTAAATAAATAAAGTTACTATGAATACTCATGTACTAGTCTTTGTATGGACATACATCTTAAGTTCCTTTGTAAATACCTGAATAGAATTGTTGAGGTATACGGTAAGTATATATTTGCAAGAAATTGACAAGCTGTTTATTTTTCTTTTTCCATTTTCTAGAACTCTTTGTGTAGAATTGTTGTTATATCTACCATGTTATGTAAATGGTAGAATTCGCACATAAAGCAATATGGGCCTAGAGTTTTCTTCATGGGAAGATTTACAAATACGCATTCAACTTCCTTAAGCTTTAAGTTTTTAAGTCATTAGGCTATTCAAGTAATCTATTCTTTATTGAGCTTCAGTAGTTTGTTTCTTTTAGGAAATCTGTCCATTTCAGGTATGACTTCGTATTTATTGACCGAAAATTATTTGTAATATTTTCTTATTACTCTTTTGTAGTATCTCTAGTAATACTACAGATAGTGCCTCTTACATTCCTAATATTAGCAGCTTATGTTCTTTTTTTTTTCAGCTTGTGTCCTTATGCCCTTGATTAGTCCAACTGGAAGATTTTTAATTTTATTGATCACTTCAGGGAACCCATTTTTTGTTTTCATTGATTTTTCTTTGTTGTTTATCGGTTTTATATTACATTCATAGAGCTTACACTGTGAACCTTTTACGTATTTCACCAAACTTTCAAATACTTTTATACCTCTTGAGGTATAATATAGGGACTTTAAAACAGTGTCCTTCCTTTTTTCTGCTTGCTATGTTTTGTGTAAGTATTGTCATATATTTTACTATTGTGTGTGTTGTAAACCCCATAATACTTTGTTATTATTTTAGCTTTGAGTCAAATTTATTTTGAAAGAAATTAGAAATGAGGAGGGGGCAGGGTGGAAAAAAGAGAAATTAGAAATGAGAAAAAATTTTATTTGTATTTACCCATATATTTAACATGTCTGTTTAAATCCATCATTTACATTCAAGTTTCTATCCACAATCATTTCTTTCAGCCTGAAAAGTATCCTTTTAAATATATCTTGTAGTATGTATCAGCTGGCAACAAGTTCTTTCCATTTTTTTGTTTTCCAAAAATATACTTATTTTGCATTTATTTTTTAAAAGCTTTTTGTTTCAGAATAATTTTAGAATTATAGAAAATTAGCAAAGAGAGTACAGTCACTGTATACTCTTTGCCCATGTTCCCCTAATGTTAACATCTTACGTAGCCATGGTACATTCATCTAAACTAATAAATTAACAGTAGTGAAATACTCTAAACTACAGACTACATTTGGATTTCAGCAGTTTTTCCATGGTGTCCCTGCCCTGTTCCAAGATTCAATTCAGGATACCACAGTATATTTAGTCATTATGTCTCCTTAGACTTCTCTAATCTATGGCAATTTCTCAGTTGTTTGTTTTTATGACTTTAATAGTTCAATACTTTTGAAGAGTACTGGTTAGGTATTTTGTTGAATGTCCCCAGATGAGGATTTGTCTGATATTTTCTTTTATTATTAGACTGGATTCATGGTTTTAGAGGATGAGTACTACAGAATTGATGGGTCCTTTTTTAGTATCATTTAGAATAGTTTCATCATATAAGTTACTCTTGAAGGGACTTTATAATCATCCCCTCCTTGTACTTTCAACTCTTGGGAACCACTGAACTATTTTTCAACCTATAGTTTTTCCCTTTCTGTAATGTCATGTAAATGAAGCACACAATATGTAGTCTTTGGTTTTGTCTTCCTTCACTTAGCAACATACATTTAAGATTCATTTTGTTGAGTAAATCAATGGCTTATTTCTTTTTATTACTAACTAGTATTCCTTTGTTTTCTATGTATCATGTTTGTTAATCTGTTCACCTGTTGAAGGCCATCTTGATTTTTTTTTTGCAGTTTTTTGTCTGTTATGAATAAAGCTGCTGCAAACATTTGAGATTAATTTTTTGTGGAAAAATATGCTTTCATTTTTCTTGGGTGGATTAACTTTGAAACCTCAAACTAAAACTTCTTAAAGAACCCATAGGAGAAAATATATGGGACTTTGGGTTTAGCATTGAATTTATAGACATAGTACCAAAACCACAGTCTATAAAAGAAAAGAAGTCAGTATATTGTATTATATTTAAAAAATTTAAAAATTTTGCTGTGTGCAAGATACTGTTAAAAGAATAAAAAGATAAGCCACAGACTGGGAGAAAATATTTGAAAATCATATATTTGATAAAAGACTTATGTTCAGAATATATAAAGAACTCAAGTCTCAGCAGTAAGAAAACAAGCAATCTAAAAAATGGGCGAAAGATCTCAAAAGATACTTTACCAGAGAAGATATACGGATACAAAATAAGCACATGAAAAGATGGCCAGATGTTCAGTGTCATTTGTTACTAGAAAAGTACACATTGCAACCACACTTTGATACCACTACACAGCTACCAGAATTGCCTTTAAACAAACTGACAATACCAAATGCTAGGGAGATTGTGGATCAACAGGAGTTCTTATTCATTGCTTCTGACAACTCAGAATGGTGCAGCCACTTTGGAATAGAGTTTGGCATTTTCTTGTAAACATACATTTTTCATGTGACCCAGCAATCCTACTCCTAGCTATTTGACCCAAGTTAGCTGAAAGTTCACATTCACAGAAACCTTTTATTTTTGAATATATTTTTACTGAATAACAAAGTGTAGTTTTGTCATTTTTTTTTTTTAGCATTTTAAAAAGATGTTGTCCCATTGTCTTACTAGATTGTATTTTTTTCTGATTAGAAGCCCCCTGCATTTCTTTGTTACCATGTATGGTTTACCCCCCAATCTTGTGGCTGTTTTACCCTCTAAATTATGGTTTTATTTGTATTTAAAAATAGATTGGAAATTCTATATATACCCATGGTTAAACATATTTTCAATGTACATTACTTCAAATTTGATGATAAATTTTGTTCTGAGAAGTCCTTTTCTGAAGCCAAACTCAAAAATGGGGAAGTGCTTACAGATTTCCAACTGGCCCCAAAACGGATATTGTAAATGGCTTTTTGCCTAACTAATGATGATGGATGAGTTTCATTTGCCTTTTATCATTTGAACGGTTTTTTGTTCACAATAATAGTTACTGTAAGGTGATGCAGCTGTGGTGAAGCTGTAAAACACTGTAGTATCTGACAATAAGTCCTATCAACAGTGGCTACCTGTATTAGTCTGTTTTTCATTGCTCTGAAGGAATTCCTGAGACTGGGTACTTTATAAAGAAAAGAGGTTTACACAGTGAAAACCTGTCTCTACTAAAAACACAAAAAATCAGTTGGGCATGGTGGCGCGTGCCTGTAGTCCCAGCTACTTGGGAGGCTGAGGCAGGAGAATCGCTTGAACCCAGGAGTTGGAGGTTGCAGTGAGCCGAGATCTCGCCACTGCACTCCAGCCTGGGTGACAGAGCGAGACTCTGTCTAAAAACAAAACAAAACAAAACAAAAAAGTTTACTTGGTTCCCAGCTTTGCAGTCTGTAGGAGAAGCATAATGCCAGCATCTGCTTCTGGGTGAGAGCCTCAGGAAACTTCCTCTCATGGTAGAAGGCAAAGGGGGAGCCAGCGTATCACATGGTGAGAAGGGGTGCAAGAGAGAGAAGGGAGGAGATACCAGGCTCTTTTTAACAAGATCATTGTGTGTTCTGATGAACCCATCATAAGTTGAAAGTATCATGAGTCGCAATATGTTTAATACACCTAATCTGAACATCATAGCTTAGCCTACCTTAAATGTGCCCAGAACACTTATATTAGCCTACAGTTGGACAAAATCATTTAACACAAAACTATTTTGTAATGAAGTGTTGAATATTTTGTAATTTATTGAATACTTTACTGAAAGTGAAGAACAAAATGGTTGTAGGGTTACTCAGAGTGGTTTCTACTGAATATATATTGCTTTTATACCATCATAAAGTTGAAAAATTGTTAAGTTGAGCCATTGTTAATTTGAGGACCATCTATATGATATTTTTTGTTCTACAAGTTATACATTTTTATTGTAGTTTTCTTTTTTCAACATTTTCATTTTTTCTTTTAAATCCTAGCACATATTTCGATACTTGTTTCAGCGCTCTTGTCTGCTGTCATCATTGTCATTTCTGTTTTCTGGATCTGTTTAAATGGACTAATTTTCTCCTGGTTATGGGTTACATTTTCCTTCTTGTTGGCATCATAGTATAAAATACATATTTTTGGCAAAGTAATTAATACTTTATTCAACTGTACTTCTGTTGATGGGCAATTACGTTGTTTTTCCAGTTTAGTGCTGTTGCAGACAATGATGTAAAGAGTATGTGAATGCATTTTGTTTACATATTAAAATGCATCTTAGCATAAATTTTTGCATGTGGAATTTCTTGTCAAAGGGCATGTGTATGTAAATATTTGATATATAATGCCGTATTACCCTTTGCATAGGGTACACATATTTTTATTATTTAAATAAGTGCTGAATTATTTTTGAGTTTAAAAGGCAACCCTCCTTTGACATGGCTCATAGCACAACAGGCCAGGCTTTTATCTTCAGCAGATTGTCGCATACTCATCTTCTGGCCTCAGCATCAAAGTCAAGCTGCTTGAATATGATTCTTGGAAACATCCTTTTCACACAGTCATATGCCAAATGTGGCCATTGTTCATTTTCTTGTTAGACTTAAGAAGTGTCAGTTTGATCGTATTATAAATGGTACTGCATTTTTTGTTATGTCTAATGGAATAATTGAGCTATATCTATCTTTAGGAAATGTAGGAGGGGGAAATGAGGAATTATTAGTCAAAGGGTACAGAGTTTTGGTTATAAAGATAAGTCTCAGAAATCTTTTGTACAGCGTGGTGCCTATAGTTAACAATACTGTATTGTATGGTTAAAAATTTCCTAAGAGGATAGATCTTACGTAAAGTATTCTTACTACAAACACACAAATTAGTGATAGTAAATAAGAGAGTGGGAGAAAACTGTTGCAGATGATGAATAGGTTTATGGCATAGATTGTGGTGATGAGTTCACAGGTGTCTACTTTGCAAACTCATCAAGTTGTATATATTATGTATAGCTTTTTGTATGTAAAACATGTTTAAAAGAATGTTGAATTTTAAAAAAGAAAAAGACAACACATCCTAGCCTGCTTATATTTTTGGGGAGTTATGATGATGGTAATGGTCACAACAATGACAACACAGTTATCGTAATCATTGTAAATTTAATAGAGACTTCGTTCTACTTCTGAAAATTTTTTTCAGTATGGTTGGATCTTACAAAGGTGCTAAATGTTTGTGATAAAATAGCTTAGTTTCAGCTCTGCGGTAAAATCTTGACATAATGATCATCTGTTTATATATATAATTTTAAACATTGTGTAATACATAAGGATTTTGAAGATTGCAACAATAAATTACCATGTTTTATTCTGACACTGTACATATATTTTGATTTTCAAATTATAGTATTATAACTGTGGTATGCAGGTGGCAGTGTTCAATTTTATGCTTAAAAATAAAATGATAGCAAAAAATGCAATTATTTGTGGAATAGTTTATATTCAGTTTCTGTTGAGTCACTCAGAATGTTAGTTGCTGTAAGAAGAGGCTTTTTTTCTTTTTTGGTTGTTTGTTTTAGTGGCATTACTTCACTTTGCAATTAGAACCCACTGTAATATTACCTATTGAAGGCAGGGATTTGTGTCTGTCTTGTTCACTGCTGCATCCTCAATGCCTGGGATATGTAATGTATTTTATGTAATAGAAATTGAATGATTAGTTTTTGAACATATGAGTGAATGGATCATAGTGTTGTATAGATTTAGGTAGATTTCTTCCAGTTGCTTTCCATTATAAATGTTGATAAGAACCATGCTGCATATTTAAAAAATAAAATTTACATAACATGAATGACTGCACTAAATGAAGTATATTATTTAGGAGGTCAGTTACTTACTGCTGACATAGTAGAGGATGCTTCCGAAGTGATCATCCTGAAGAATGGAGACTGCAGCTCATTGTCATTTCTTTTATTAATACTTCAAATGTGCTCCCTTCTCTACTGCAGCTGTGAAACTTTTTCTGGTCTTCTCAAGAACTTTCTCTTCTCTGTTTTTTCTCTAATGAATTATACTTTCATTTTTTAATTCCATTTTATCTTCACCACTGGCTTTTTCTTTGCTATACCTTTTTATTTTATTTAATAAAAACTACTTGTTGCTCTGGGGGAATGCCATCTGATGTTGGAAATGCTCTGTATCTACACCATTCGTAATGGTAACCACTAGACACAGGTAGCTATTGAGCAATCAAAATGTGGCCTACTGTGCCTGAGGAAATACGTTCTTTTTTTCCCCCAGACAGGGTCTTGCTCTGTCACCCATCCTGGAGTAGAATGGTGTGATCACGGCTCTCTGCAGCCTCAACCTCCAGGGCTCAAGTGATCCTCCCACCTCAGCCTCCCAAGGAGCTGGGACTATAGGCGTGCACCACCAGTTTTAATTTATTTATAGAGACAGGGTCTCACTATGTTGCTCAGGCTGGGGAAATAAATTTTTAATTTTAATTCTAATTTAAATAGTTGCATGTAGCTATTAAAGCAGTGTAGCTCTGGATCTTTATATATATGTATATGTATATATAAAATTATTAGTCTACTTTCAAATAATATAGCAGTTCATGTGTAGTGAGACAACTTGACTTTTGTGCACTTCCATTTCCTCCGTCTCATCTTTTAAATATTCTGTCATATGTTTTACATCTACATATATTATAAACCCAGTGATACATTATTGCCATTTTTGAGTTTAACAGCTTTTTATCTTTTAATGTGGTTAAATTAAGGGAAAATAGCTCTGATTTTTTAGATTTCATCATTTCTGGTGCTATTTTTGTGTGTGCAGATCTGCATTTTTATCTGGTATCATACTCCTCCTTGAAAAATTTCATTTAACATTTTTTATAGTACAATTTTGCCGGCACAGAATATTTTTTAACTTTTTTTTTCTGGAAGAGTTTTGATTTTGCCTTTATTTGCCTTTGTTTTGCCTTCATTTTATCCAGTGAAAGGTATTATCTAGAATGCTCAGTTGCCGTTTTTCCCCCCTTGGTATTTTAAAGATGATGCTCCATTGTTTTTTGACTGGCCTTCTTTATTACATGTAGTGTGTTCTCATTTTTTTTTCTCTGTATGTAATATTTCTTTTTTCCTAGTTACCTGAAAGATTTTTCTCTTTCAGTTTGTTTTTTAGCAGCTTTTTGTCTACATTTTAATTTTGCCCTACTAGCAATTCTCTGCATTTCTTTGACCTGTGGTGTTTTATCATTTTTTTACTTTGGAAAATTCCCAGCTAACATCTCTTTAAATGTATTTTCTTCTCTGTTCTTGTTTTCTTCACATTATTAAACTCCAGTTACACCTGCACTAGATCATTGGATATTATACTACAGCTTTAAAATTCCTATTCTGTTTTTTAAAAATTTCAATCTGTTTCTTCTCTTTGCGTTTCATTTTGAATAATATCTATTTACCTCTCTTCAAGCTCACTGAGTTTTTAGCTTTGTCTAATCTTCTGATAATTCTGTTGAAGATTTTCTGATATAGTCCATTTAGCATTTCTTCTTTGCCGAATCCCTTATCTGTTTTTGTATTTTGTTCATATTTACCATGAGATCCTTTAATATATCAATTACAATTATTCTCTTTTCTGTCTGATAGTTCAAATATCTGATTCATTTAGAAGTCTGGTTTTGGTGTTTGCTTTGTCTTTTGACTATGGTTTGGGTTTTTTTTTTAACTATATATCTATATATATATTATATATATATATTTATATCTATAGATCTATATCTCATGGTTTTTTTGTTGCATGCCAGACATTTTAGGTAAAAGGCAACAAAGATTGAGGTGAATAGTATTTATGCCCAGAAACGGGTACCCTTCTTCTTTGATGATGTTGGTGTATATGTGGATTGGGATGGGGCAGAGATTGAGTCAGTCCAACAGTGGTTTGAGTTGGATTTGTTTTTTTGTTGTGATTGTAATAGTTAAATTCACTGAATCAGAAACTTGAAATTCCTGCAGTAGTGGACTGCTTGCTGCTTCTTCATTCTTGGTTTGGAGCCTCGGTGCTGGAGTCTTTCCTCTGTGTTCCAGCTCCATCCTTAGCTTTTAGCAGGTCTTTGGATGCCTGCATCACAGCATGACCTCTGTTCATATTCTTTGTAACTTTTGATAAAATGCACCTTCTAGTTTTGATTGTCTGTATTTTCTTATCTTTCTTTGAAGATTGTTGAGTTTTATTTTGACAGGCAGATAATTTACTTTTGGATTACACTGATCCTTTTGTAGCTTGTTTTTAAGCTTTGTTAGGGCTCTTGTTGGCATAGCTTTTATTCTATAACTGGAGTCAGTAGACTTTGGTTTATGAGCCAAATCTGGTCCACAGCCCATTTTTGTATAGCTCATGAGCTAAGAATGGATTTTTCATTTTTAAAGGGTTATAAAGAAACAAAAATAAAAATTAAGAAGTATATGTGACAGTGACTATATATGCCTCACATAGCCTAAGATATTTATCTTGCCCTTTACAGAAAACATTTTCTGATCCTGCTTGCTTAATTTTAATTTCTAAGGTGTTTTATTTCTTGGATTTTTACCGAATGCTGCAGGTTTTCTCTGTGGTATTTTTATTGTACCTGGTTGGAACTCACAGGTCTGTCAACTTTGCCTAATCTTTGAGATGTGTTCAGCTTTTAGCTACCCAGTATTTAATTTTTCTATTTCTGATAATTGTCCTTTGCAAGCCTCATGAGTTCTTACTATAACTTAGTTTCCTGCCAAAGACTTAAAGGATCTCCTATGCAAATTTTGGAGCTTTCTGAGTATCTACCTCCTCTTTAGTATAATGACCTGCAAATTCCACCTACCTTAAATTCCCTGAACTTTGGTCTTTGTCTTCTCACCTGAGGAAGATGGCTGTGTTTTGTTTGGGTTCTTCCTTTCTGTGCTGGTGTTCAGCAAATGCTTCTAGGCAGAAGGCTAAAGTGATCATAGGGCTTACTTTTATTGTTAATTTTCTCTCAGACATTACAGTCTTCTTTGACCTTTGCCCAATATCTGAAAACAGTTTTTCTAAATATGTTTTTTAAAGTTTTCTAGTTTATATGTGAGGCTAATCTAGTAGTTATTCTTTCATGGTTGGAGATGGAACTCTGTTTAGCAGCTATTAATAAATGTGCTTTTTTACCTCTGGTATTAGTATAAAACCAATAATTGTAATTGTATCTGTTAAATCTCTTATTTGCTGTAAATTGAGTTTTGTTTTATGGTATGTATAAGAGGTATTAGCAGAATACATAAGGAAATGTGATTAAGACTCAGTTCTGTCCTGCAACTTGAATGCCTATTCTGTGCCCAGGGCTTTCTATAACTTGCTAGAGACAGAAAATAACACATGAAGTGAAGATCAGGCTTTTAACCTACTAGAGGAGGTAGTCATATGTATTAATTATTTATTGCTATGTAACACATTACCTTTAGACTAAGTGGTTTAAAGCAACAATTTATTATCTGTTGGTCAGAATTTAGGGATGGTTTAGCTGGATCCTCTGGCTAAGCTCCATCTCCTAGGTGAGGGTCTTTAAAAAGCCTGCATTCAAGATGTGGACCAAAGCTACAGCTGTCTTGAGGCTTGACTGGTGATGGTGCATTTCTAAGCTTGCTCACGTTCACTGGTCATTGGCGGGATTCAACAACCTTGTGAGGTGCTTGTGGTCTTAGGACTGAGCACTTTAAATCTTCGTTGGCTGTTGTCTGAAGGCTGCCCTCAGCTCCTTTCCACATGGGCCTCTCAGCATGATGGCTGACAGTATGGTAGCTTGTATCATCAGAATAAGCAAGCAGGGACAATGTGAGCAAGACACAGAAGCTCCAGTCTTTTGTAACCTTATCTTGGAAATGAAATTCTGTCACTTTTACTGTATTCTATTTAAGAAACAAGTCACTAGGTGCAGCCAACACTCAAGAGGAGGAGATGATACAAGGGCATGAATAGTGGACGCAGAGATAGTTGGCAACCATTTTAGAAGCTGCCTACAACAGCATGTGGCATATTAATTATATAAAGAATTGTAAATGGGTCTATAAAATAATGTAACAACGTCAATATATACCACATAATAATTTGCTGCATGGTATGCTGAGGTGCCTCACCACTGATGATTATTTTATTTAAGCCTTTTCCAGTATTCTCTGGGAGAGGTGGTATTTATTATCTCCAGTTTACAGATTGATGTTCAGTGAGGTTACCTAGCTATGATGTAGCAGAACTGAGACTCCAGTCTAGACACTGCTGATTCTAGCACCCATACTTTTAATTTCTATGTCTTGTCAGCATTAAAATAAAATTACTTTTTTTGGAGCACTTCTTCTGTGCCAAGCATTATGATAAGTGGTTTATATATGTTAACCTTATTTAAGGCTCGTGGCAACTCTATTAAGTCTCCTTATCTTACTGATATTACACTCGAGCTTCCAGATTCAGAAAAAGTACTTTGAAAAATCAAATATGTTTATTGTTCCAGAGACATTAAACAAATATTACCCAAAGAATCTCTGTAAATACTGAAAGAAATGAATCATTTAAATACCTTAGTACCTTAAAAAGGTGATATCAATCTAGCCTAGGCAACATGCCGAGATTTTGTCTCTCTCTCCCCTTTTTTTTTTTTTTGAGACAGAGCCTTGCTCTGTCGCCCAGGCTGGAGTGTGGTGTTGTGATCTCGGCTCACTGCAACCTCCACCTTCCAGGTTCAAGGAATTCTCTGCCTCAGCCTCCTAAGTAGCTGGGATTATAGGCACCCACCACCATGCCTGGCTCATTTTTGTATTTTTAGTAGAGGCGGGGGTTTCACCATCTTGGCCAGGCTGGTCTTGAACTCCTGACCTTGTGATCCACCCGCCTCAGCCTCCCAAAGTGCTGGGATTACAGGTGTGAGTCACTGTGCCCAGCCAATTTTGTCTCTTAAAAAAAAAAAAAGTGATATCACTAATTAAATAAATTTGCAGAAAGAATCCTGGCACATTTCAGTACATTTAGTATATTTAGTATTTTGCAGAAGGGTACTTTGTGAGTCTTAAGTAGTAATAAATTTATAAATTCTTGAAAGCCCACTCTGAGAAGAAATCTCAACAAACACTGCTATATAAATTTTAGTCAGAAATTAGCTGATATATGTAATTTTTAAATATTTTTACGAATTTGAACTATTTTTACTAATACTTTCACAAATAAGTTGAGTGGTTGTCATATCAAAGGCTGAACATACTTTCTTCAGTTATATCGTTGTCTTTGCAAAGTGAATCTTCTAAATGAAGAAAATAAGATACATTATTTTTTCATGGTTAAAAGGTAAACCATAAGACTCTCTTGGCTGGGTGTGGTGGCTCACATCTGTAATCCCTACACTTTGGGAGGCTGAGGCAGGTGGATCACTTGAGGTCAGGAGTTCAAGACCAGCCTGGCCAACATGGTGAAATCCCATCTCTACTAAAAATATAAAAAATGAGCCGGGCGCCACAGCAGACACCTGTAGTCTCAGCTACTCGGGAGGCTGAGACAAGAGAATCTCTTGAACCCTGGAGGTGGAAGTTGTAGTGAGCCGAGATTGTGCCACTGCACTCCAGCCTGGGCAACAGAGCGAGACTCAAAAAAAAAAAAAAAAAGACTCTCTTGGTCTTTTAGGCCAATTAAATTTAATCAATCAAGGAATGTCTTTATAAGATATATGTTGACAATAATAAATATGAAAGTTTATTAATGACTTTATTTTTGAACCATTTCCTTATAATAGCATTCTCTCACTTTCTGCATTACCATTTGCTGTCTTAAGTAGGGCATAAATGCAGTTTAAGCTGTATTTATTAGTGCCAACTAAGTGCCAAATACCGTTCTGAGTGCCTGGGATACATCAGTGAACACAATGAACAAAAATTATGGCGTTTGTATTTTAGCAAGCATGGTTCAGACAATAAACAGTAACCATAAGTAAGTAAGCAAGCATTCATTGTAGTTAGTAGATAGGGAAAAAATTCTGTACTTGTTCTTTTAAACCTTGCAGAGGAAAATTGCATAGAAAACTATTTGTTTTTCAGCTTAACTTGGTTTTCTTGACCCCAAAACTGGGGATTTAAAAAATACTGGCAAAGACAAAAAAAATCATGGGAAACATTCTCTCCAAAAACATAGTTCAAATGATGCTATTAATTAGAAAATGACCATGTTTTGCTCTTATAAAAATGTATTGCTTTTTAAAACTCAAGTATTATCAATATTGATATATAATATAGTAATTTAATCTCTTAGATATTTTTGGTAATGGTTTATAAAAAATGGAAAGTATTTTTTGTTGTACAAATTTTGTTATTCAAAATGTATGTTTCTGTAAACTTTTGTTACTATTCAAGTTATGCTGGCTTTAAATATTACGATTTTTATGGTAATCCCAAGGAAAATGTTTCAGCATGTCTTTTTATTATTTAAATTACTCTTTTAAAGAAAGCTACCTTTGCTTTGGTTGTTTATCTCAGTTGTCTGTTTTCTGCGTTACTTTTGCAGTGAAGGGAAAGAAAAAAATTGTAATATCTGATATATAGTTTACCCTCTGTAGCTGTAGTTTTAGTATTCTTGATTCAGCCAACTACAGATCAAAATATTTGCCAAAAAATACCCCCAAAATTGACTATCTACATAGCATTTACGTTGTATTAGGTGTTATAAGTAATCTAGAGATGATTTAAAGTATTTGGGAGGATGTGTGTAGGTTATATGTAAATACTATGCCATTTTATGTAAGAAACCCGAACATCTGTGGATTTTGGTGTCCGTGGAGGGTACTGAGAGACAACTGTATATCTTAATAGCTTAGAATTAACTAGGATATAGTACAGTTTCAGCATATAAGTATAGTAACATTTTACAGTGTTGCATATGTTGTCTCAAAATTACTGTTAATTGAAATATTAATACTTATATTTTTTGGCTGACGTACCGAATTGAATCAATTTCTTATGCCATCAGAATGAATTCACTTCTTATTTGGTTTTAAAGTCACAGAGCCCTGGATTTCTGTATTTTTTTTACATAAGATGAAAAGTAGGGGATACCTGAGTTTAGAGGAGTGGGGATTGAGAAAGAGTTTTAAGAAAGGGACAGGATAAACAATGGAGTCAGTAAAAAGAGTGTTCTTGATAGATTTAAGAATAGTTATTAAAACAACAGACAACTTTTTACTTGGATTATTCCTTTTTAATTTGGTTTTCAAACAGTTCTCAGCAAGTACAATTCTTTTCATTCTATGTTTTAGCCAGTGTAAATCAGTAACATTAAGGTAAATGTTGTAGGAGTAAATGGGAAGGAAGTAGAGTGTTTCTAGGACAGCCCTTTGATTTTCTTCTCTTTGAATATTGGTGTTTTAAAAACAATTGAGATTTAAGGTGCAAACATAGAAAAATAGTGGCCCTGTGCTCTGATTTTTGAAGCCTCTTCTCCATCTTTTCTGCTCATCTTTTTACCACTGTTTGATTTGTGGTCAAGTGCCCCTCACATTCAGTCTCGTATACAGAAACTATTTCTTGTTTTTTCTCTCTTCTCTTGTATATGGAACTCTGTCTAGACATATGATTTCTCTTCTATAGCTTTAAAATTATCAAAACATTTTTAAAATTAAAGAAAAAAAAATTTTTATAGAGATGGGGTTTCACCATCTTGCCAGATTGGTCTCAAACTCTGGGTTCAAGCAATTCTCCCGCCTTGTCTCCTTCTAAAGTGCAGGGATTACAGATGTGAGTCACTGTGGCTGGCCTGTCAAAAGGTTTTAAATTATATTTTTGCCTACAAATTCTCTCCTGGGGAGAAAATAGTTTTGTTTCCAAGGGAATTCTAAGCCTAATGATGGAGAAATGACAAATGATACTTGTAACCAAGCCTGGAAAAGAATGTGCATTTGTAGTTTAAGATGCACAGTAACTAAGATGTAACTGGTGCTAGACGTTTGTTGCAATTGTTGGTATTTTTATAAATTTGAGGAAGCAGTAGTCTAGCCTGATCCATTTGAACCTTTGCTTCTGATATTTGGAATGACTGCCAGCTGGTTAATGGCTATGATAACCTTTACTTGGCTAATATGCATGTCAGTTTTAGAATTTATCCTAAAAGTGACAATTTGCCTGTCACCTGCAGAGTTAAGTGGTATAATGGCAGCTGAACAATGAGGGAGGAGAGTGGAGTTGAGAACTGGTAGAAATGAAATCACTCATACAGGGAACATGTTTTTTCTTGAGATAATGAACATATAGCCCAAAATATGTGGTTGAGTACATTTTGTTTTTGATTGATTGTTCAAAGATATAATTTTTAAGTCTTCATATATAAGTTAATGTATAATTATGCAAGAAGGAAAAGAAAGTGATGATGGCACTTTGAGGACTTTCAGGCTTAGAGCTAATTAGTCTGTTATCTGGTAGAGCACTAATGTACATGGCTGATTTAATATACAGATTAACAGATTTAAAGCTTTTACCCTTTACTTGTTATTAGGCAGTTAGGTTATCTTCCAACTTGTTGGCCAGTCAACACCAATGTGTTTCCTCCAAGAATCTCAGTATATGCTATTTTATATACCTTAAATAATTTAAATACATTTCTTACTCTTTCCACAGCATGTAGAGCGCATGAAGTACAGGACAATAAAGCTTCCTACACATATCACCAGGAGGATCTCTTTGAAAGATTCACTGCAGGACTACCAGAGAGAATAATTTGTCTGAAGCATCATGTGTTGAAACAACAGAAGTCTATTCACCTGTGCACTAACTAGAAACAGAGTTACAATGTTTTCAATTCTTTGAGCTCCAGGACTCCAGGGAAGTGAGTTGAAAATCTGAAAATGCGGCCATGGACTGGTTCCTGGCGTTGGATTATGCTCATTCTTTTTGCCTGGGGGACCTTGCTGTTTTATATAGGTGGTCACTTGGTACGAGATAATGACCATCCTGATCACTCTAGCCGAGAACTGTCCAAGATTCTGGCAAAGCTTGAACGCTTAAAACAACAGAATGAAGACTTGAGGCGAATGGCCGAATCTCTCCGGTAGGTCCTAAAATACTGAATGAAGAATGATGAAATATTGTACTTTGTTTTTAGGTGTAGGGCTTCATTCCGCTAGGAAAAATAGTTAATTATTTTTATAACCTGCTGTCTTTGCCACAACTTAGCATGACAGTTTTCTATCTCTGTGTATTTAATACAGAACAAGCTTGTCCAACCCACAGCCCATGGGCCACAGGTGACCCAGAACAGCTTTGAATGGGGCCCAGCACAAATTTGTAAACTTTCTTAAAACATTCTGAGATTTTTTTATTTTTTTTTAAGCTCATCAGCTATCATTAGTGTTAGTGTACTTTATATGTGCCCCAAGACAATTTTTCTTCCAGTGTGGCCCAGGGAAACCCTGATATAATTTCTCCATAGTGGCATCATTATTTTGCATATGCATTTTAATGTAGAAAAACTATGCCATTTCATTTATATACTTACATTTCATTTACAGTTATGTATTTAAAAAAATTGATATATTAAATCCAAACTATGTTTTAAACTCATGTATATTAAAAATTTTATATGAACTGTAACAAAGATTATAATAACTGGGAGGCTGAGTTAGTCTAACTAGAACTTATTAAAATGCAGAAACAAAAGTTTATCATTAAACAACTGGATCTGGAATGCGGAGAATGATTATCATTGCTATTTCTAGTCTGTAAAAAATGTGACATATATCTATTAGAAGGCATCAACTGTTTGAAAACCAAAGTCTCCTATATATTTTCAGGGAGCAAGTAAACATAATATTACATAGGCGATCTCTGTATTTTTTTCCAAAGTTATTGAGGTAAAACATTACCTAGTATCTTATATGCGAAGATGATCATGTAGTACTCACTCTCTCAAACTAGAGAAGCTAGAAATGAAGATTTGAGAATCCTTACTCCAGAGGTGGTAATTGACCCTAAGGGAAGTGGTATAGAGAAAGAGCTGAAAGTTCATTTCTCTTTGAGAAACACATAAATTAAGGAGTAGAAAGTGGAAACATCCAATTGTACAGAAAGCCTTTAGAATAGTTGGGGAAGAATAGTGGGACAGAGCTGTTACGGAAACTGAGGAACATTCTGTGAAGGAAGAATGTAGTTGGCAGTGTTAAATTACCCTTGATGCTATAGAGAGGATGCCCATGGTGCTCTCATTTTCTACTCTCACTGCCCTTCACTCTTTGTTTAGAACTCGGATTTTTCCCTTTGTCTAGTTTCATAACTTTTTCTTCATAATATTATTTGGGTCCTTTTATGTCCTTTGAAAGACAATGCTACGTGTTAAGACAAAAATGAATGAAACATTATTCTTGTCATTTGTACCATTCAAGAAGATAGCAAGCAGTCAGGGATTAGAAAGTGGACAGAACTTCTTGAATTTGTCTATTATTTTCTTTCCTACTTGGGGTACTCAGGGAACATCATGGAGGAAGGTGATCTTTCAGTAGAGTCTTATTCATTCATTCTAAAGATTGATAATTTAGGGGTTAGTAATAATAGCTGTCATTTATTACATGCCAGGTACTGTGCCAAGGACTTTGCATGGATCATCTCACTGAATTTCACACTATCTTTATGAGATGTTAGTACCATTTTTGTAACCATTTTACAGATTAACAATTATAGAGATGTTAAGTAATTTAATTTGCTGAAGGTCACACTTTTCACAAGTGGTAGAGCCTACTTTGAATCCCAGTAGTATGACTCCACAACCTAAACTCTGAATAACTGTATTGCCTTCCTGAGCAGAAAACAGAGAAATCAGTGACCTAAACATCTTAGGTATGAGATCACCAAGAATAGCTACTATTCTAGTTGATTTTGGAGTTTGCTTTGATTGTAATCAAATCTCCTTCTATATCATGGGAATTTTGCTCCTAAAAAGATTTTTCCCCTTAACAATTTAGACTTATAAATAATTGCTCACTTTCCTTATGGTTCCATCTTCAATACTGATATTTCAATTTGTTTATTTCTGACTGCCAAATGTCTTGTTTTTGTTGCATGAAGGGAAAGCTTGCTTTAGTATGGGTTTTTCTTTCTGCAAAATAATCTTTAGGTCTATTAAGTCACTTTCTTTATATTCTTATATGTTGAAATTAATTTCTCAACTACATTTAAATGTAGAGACTACTTTCAAGAGCTGAATCACCTAAGTCATGTGGTAATACCATGTAATTACAGTCTGAAAACAGACTAAGCAAATAGGCCCATGTTTATATAAGGGAATATAATTTCAGGAAAATAGTTTATAGTTATTTTCCCTCAACCTCATTGGGCCCTTTCATTGACTTTACTGCTGGGGCCATTTGTATTTCTTCCAAAGGGATGTCGTTTTAGAGCCCTCTGGCATGAAAGGAAGAGCAATGGAGGTGCTACTAGCATTGGGATTTTTTTCCCCTTATAGTAATTAAGTTAATATTTTGTACTCAATTTGCTATGTCTTTTTCATATAAGAAAATGTGTTCACAAGTCAGACTACAAAAGATTAATTCAGATGTTTATAACTAGGTCGTTTCTTTGAGATAAGGCATATGGATTGGAGTTGGAAAGCAACACAAAAGCTTGAAACTACAATTTTTTAGATTTTCTAGATTCAAGTCAATAATCTGAAAAGCCATTAACAAATCTTTCGGCTAGAATTTTCTGATTTTGTTGATAGTTTTAGAAATTTAGGAAAATAATTTAAATATCGTATCTTGGAGGGATGCAAATGTAGAAGCACAATATATAGGAGGTTGCAGTGTATTTGTGTAAATCTGATCTATTGATGAGTAATGTCTGTACATAAAATTCACTTCCTTTATCGTAGATGTCTGTGAGTTTTGGCAAATACAGTCACGTAACCATCACAAAAACTATAGATGAATTCTACCTCCCTCTAGAATTCTGTTGTTCCCTCTTATGGTCAAATTCTGTCCTGACCTCCTGTCCCTGGCACTTAACTGATCTGATTTCTGTCACACTTTTTTCCTGTTTCAGAATGTCATATAAATTGAATTACATAGTATGTAGCCTTTTGAGTCTGTCTTTTTTCACTTACTATAATGTTTTTGAGTTTCATCAATACTATTGTCTGTATTAGTAGTTCATTCTTTTTTATTGCTGAGTAGTATTTTTATTCTTTTTAAATGTTGAGTAGTATTCCGTTATATTGATGTGTCTTAGCCCATTTAGCATTGCTATCACAGAATACCTGACACTGGATAGTTTATAGAGAAAGAAGTTATTTGGCTCATGATTCTGGTGGCCAGAAAGTCCAAGATTGAACAGCTGCATCTGGTGAGGGCCTGAGGCTGCTTCAATTCATGGTGGGAAGTGGAAGGAGAGTAAGCGTGTATAAAGAGATCACATGATAAGAGAGGAAGCAAGACAGAAACCGAGGAAGCCAGACTTTTTTAAACAACCTGCTCTTTTGGTAACTATTCCATTCCCATGAGAAGGAGAACTCAGTCATCTCTGAAGGAGGAGCATTAATTTATTCATGAGGGATCTAGCTCCATAACCCAAATACCTCCCACTAGGTCCCACCTGCCAATACTGCCATGTTGGGGATCAAATTTCAACGTGAGTTTTGATGAGGACAAACCACATCCAAATCATAGCAAGATATATCACTTTTTTTTTTTTAATCCATTCACCAATTGAAGAATGTGAGGTTATTTCCATTTTGGGGCAGTTGTGAACAAAGTCACTATTAACCTTTGTTTCATAAACTTTTGTATGACCATAGTTTTTATTTCTCTTGGGCAAATACCTAGGAGTGGAACTGCTGGGTCATATGTTAACTGCATATTTAACTTTATAAGAAGCAACCCAGTTCTTTTTCTAGAGTACCTGTACCGTTTTGAAATTCCTACCAGAAATTCTTGAGAGTTCTACTTGCTCTCCTCCTACCCAGCATTTGCTATTGTCAGTTATCTTTATTTTAGTCATTGTAACAGATATATAATACTATCTCATTGAGGTTTCAATTTATATTTCTGTAATGAATGATATTGGCCATTTTTTTAATGTGTTGATTTGCCATTCATATGTCATCTTTGGTGAAGTGTTTATTCATTTCACCAAAGAATCTGTTGTCTATTTTAAAAAATCAAACTGTTTTCTTTTAATAAGTTCTTTGAAAAAATTATTTTTAAAAAACATATAAACACAAAATTATATTTATTAGTAATATAAAATATGGTATAATATAATAAAAAACAAAAACATGGTGGCATAAAACAATCATTTATTTGCTCTTGATTTTTCCAATTTGGGTTAACTTCAGCTAGGCTTTTTTTCTAATTATAAATAGGGTCACTCATGTGGCTGCAGTCATCTGGTGGCTTGGTTATGGTTGGGCAGTCCAAGATGACCTCACTTACATATTTGGCAATTAGGTCGACCATTAACTGGCTCACTTCCATATTTCTTTTCTGGAAGGATAGCCCAGATTTCTTACATGGTAGTGTTCCAAGAGGAAAATAGCAGGAATTGCATGGCCTCTTGAGACTGAGCATCAGAAGTAACACAGTGTCAATTCTGCCACATTCTGTTCATTGCAAGTCAAGAGGCCTACCCATATTCAAAAATGGAAGAAATAGATACTGCATCTTGGTTGATGGAACTACAAAGAATGTGTAACCGCATTTAACCTACCGTTCTCACCACAGAAGGGAAGTTGAATAGATTGGATTAGGTCAAATCATGGTGGGCTTATATAGCCAGAGTTATGTATAGACCCGATTGATAGATAATAGAGAACAATAGTTGGTTTTCAGCAGAGGAATGACACAGTGAAAATGGTTGAGGAAGATTTAGATTTTCAGGTGGATTTGGTGCATGTGCCAGATTGGAGTTAAGATATTTCTTGGGAAACTCTTAAAGTATTAATCTAGATAAGAGGTAATGCAACTTACACTGAAATTAATGATTGAATCAGTTGACTTTGATGCTTAGGTTTTCAACATGCCTGTATTTAGAGTTTCCCAGACATCTCTTTCTTTCTTGTTCATTGGTATCATGTTAGAACACATGTAGTGGGCCTTTAAAAAATTTAGAAATTATCACTTTCTCAGTCCTTTTATGCTTCATGTTCGTTTTGTTTCAAGTTTAATAATGTGAAATAGCTATTTGCTCACAGAATTTTTGCTCCTTGGGACTTGAACCAGCCATGTTGCTTCCTAGAGTTGAAATTTACCAGAAAACACCCAGAAAATTGTTGGTTTGTGCAGAAATCCCCTTGAGCAGTGAACCTCAACCTGGTTGGATGTCAATCTCATGGAGTTGTAAAATCTAAAAAGTGCTTAATTGACAACTTTCCTTTTAACCTAATCCTTGTTATTCTAGGGACATTTATTTTTGAGAACAGAACTTAAAAAAATTCAAATGTGGCTTTTGGCCTTTTGGCCGATTAATAGTTTTTTTGTTTATTTGTTTGGTCTAGGAAAGGAGAAGAGATTTCTTCTAGAATTTAGATGCTAGCTGTAAAACTGTAAATTTAAAAACCACAAAGAATGTATGATTAATTTCCGATTACCTGTTTTTCTGAGCTGTGTGTCATCTGCCAATACGGGTTACAGACAAAGCACAAATCTTCTGGTGGAAAAATTTGTCCCAGGCAACAGAAGTATACTGAGTTGGGTAGAAAGGAAACTGAAGTGGTTCTTCACAGGTCATGTTTTACTGTTGTTTGAGAAGATTGTGTTAAAAAGTGGGTTGCCTTTGTTCTAGTTGGTTGGTTGGAAGATTTTGCTCTAGACCGTCTTCTCTATAACTCCTAGTCTCTCATATAAGAAGTGTACATATATTCTTAAAGCCAGTGAGATAGATTGGAATGTGTACAGCACCTGCCATCTAATTATAACCTTTCATGATATCTGCCTTTTGCTTTTTCAATCTTGTATCCATTATTCCTCATGTTATCAAGAATATCTTATTTTTAAGATATAATGAAAGATACTCCTTCCCTGAGAACATTACAGTGGGAACAACATTCCTATCCTGATAGGCCTGATTAAGCAGATATTCTCTCCCTGGAATTTCTTGTAACTTTTTAACATTTTACTGGATTAAATTTGCTAACATTTTGTTTTGGATTTTTTCTATATAAATGAGCTGTTTATTTATGATTTTTCCTTCTTGTGATGTCTTTCAGGTTATCAAGGTTTATGCAGGCCAATTCTGTTCTCTGGAAAAGTTTATGTAAAGTTGATATTCATTTTCTTTTAAATATTATAATTCTACCAGTGAAGTTATCTGGGCCTGGAGTCTTTTTGTGGGGAAGGGTGGTGGCGAGGAAGGAGAACATATGGGAAGATTTTAGATTCTGGATTTCATCTCTTTAATATAAATTGGACTGTTCAGCTCTTTTTTTTTCTCATGTCAATTTTGGTGAGACGTGTTTTTCAAAGCATGTGTTCATTTTATCAGCATGTTCAAATGTTCTAGCTTAAAATTGTTCTTAGTGCCATTTTATTTTCTTCTCCATACTTGTATATCTATAGTAATGTCTCCTTTTTCATTCTTAATATTGGTTGTGTTTTCTCCTTTTATCTTGCTAACAGTTTATCAATTTAATTTGCTTTTTCAAAGAACCAACCTCTGTGCTTTTTTTTTCTTTATTGTATATCTGTTTTCTATTTTATTTTCTTTTATGTCCTGGAAAGCCTTAAATTTCTCTCTAAGCACAGCTTTCAGTTGTATTCCATAAGTTTTGATATTCTATTTTTGTCATTAATTTAAAATACTTTAAAATTTGTATTGTGATTTTTTTTTTCTATGACCCATAGGTTATTTAGTAGTTGTTACTTAATTTCCAAATTGGGCTATTCTGTTTATCTTTCAGATTTTGATTTCTAGTTTGTTCTTCAACCAGATAGAATTATATTCTATATTTCAGTTCTTTGAAATTTATTTAATGGCTTAGCAAATGACTTATGTTGTTGAATGCTTAAGAAATGTGTATTCTGTTGCTGAGTCTGATCTAGTATATATGTCATTTAAGTTAGGTTGGTTAATTAAGTTATTCAGATTTATTAATTTTTATAAACACTCATATTCTTTTATAATTGGCCACATATTTTTTCTTTCTAGTGTTCTTTACTCCTTCCTGTTATTCAGTTCTTTCATGTTGAATCATGTTCTTCAGCCTTAATAATATCCTATAGTATTTATAGTGCAGGTTTGATAGCAATAAATTCAGATTCTCTTTTTTAAAAACTTTATCTTTCATTTTGTTAGATATTTCTATTGAGTGTAGAATTTACTTTAGCAGTAATTTTTAAAAGCATTTAAAACATGTCATTTCATTGATTCCTGCCTTTCATAGTCTCTGAGAAGTCTGCAATTTTAAGAAGCGTATCTTTCTCTTTGGCTGAGTTTACTTTTTTTTTTGTCTTTGGTGTTAAGCACTTGACTATGAGTGCCTAGATATGGCTTTATTTGTTTTTATTCAGCTTGAAGTTCACTGAGCTGCTTAAATCTGGGAGTTGATGTATTTTATCAATTTTGGAAAACCCTCAGCTACTATTTCTTCAAATACTGCTTCTGAAGCCATTATTTTTTATTTTTTTCCTTATGGAATTCCAATTATATGTATTATTAAACTTATTTTTATGGTATCTCACATGGCTTTATGTGTCTTTCATGATCTAATTTCTCTTTGCACTTTATTTTGTATTATTTTCTATTGAACTGGCTTCCAACTTATTTCACCTGTCTTCTGTTTTGTTCATTGTGCCGTTAATCACACACAGTTAGTAATTTTTTATATTTTTTGATTCTAGAATACTCACTTGATTCTTTTTGATAATTTCAAATTTCTTTGGAAATTCTCCATTTTTCATCTGTCTTGTCCATGTTTCTTTTAATTTCTTAAATAGTTATTCTAATATAACTATTATATTTTCTCCTAATTTCTATTTCATGGATCACCTTTTGGTTGATTTCTTTTGATATTTATTTTGATTGTTAGTCAAATTTTCTGCCTCTTTGCATGTCTAGTGATTTTAAATTTAATATATTGTGTATAAAGGCACTGTGGAGGCTACAGAGGCTTTTCTCTGTTGGAGATTGGGCTTAATATTTCAATCCAGTACAATCAGTGATTGAACATGGCTGTGTTTTAGTTTTAGTAAAACCTAGCCCACTTTGTTTCTTCCTTGTTCCTCAGGTATAATTCTTCTAGGCTTTTTATTGACAATTTGGTAGATTTCTCTTCAGATTTGAAGTATAGGACATTTCTTCTGCCCTTCAGAGGTTTTGAGCTTTGCTCTTTGGTCTCTTGCTCCATGTAGCATCTAAATTTGACATACATTGAAGAGAAGACTAGCTGTGAGTTTAAGGTAGACCTCAAGCAGGACTTCATCCTGTAAATTTCGTAAGACTATGAGAAATTTCATTCTGTCTTAAAATTACTGTCTAGCCTTGGAGCCATAGAATCCAGCAAATCAATCATGGAGAAAACTGGCTATGTGTTTACTGCTCTTGCAGTTTCCAAATTTTCACACCACTCTTCTGTGTGATCCCTACCCAGAATCAGCAAATGCTTCCCAAGTAAGAACATAGCTAGTTCAGCCTGCTCTGGAATTTTAGTTAATTTAATCCCTCACTTCCACAGCTCTCTAATGCCTTTAAAAGGATTATATTTGCAAGTTTTTTTTTTTCTGGGAGTGGTGGGGAGTGCTTATTGTCATTATTACAGTGAGAATGAGAATAGGGTTTGCCATGTTATACTGTATTCTACTTATAACTACATATACTCCTACATATACTCTACCTGTATTAAAAGTGGAGTTCATTTATCCCAGTGTTGCTGACATACACGATTTCCATTAGTTCCTGTGCCTAGATCTCTGGAGACTTCTTGGTTCTTGCTCTTTTAATGACCTGGTTCTTCAGGCTTTCCTTTGATTCCCTTTTAACCTTCTATTGTATACCTTAATTGTGTGGTAAAGGAAAGGAAGAGTTTAAGTGGATTCAAAGTTTGTCGTGTTAAAGTGAATTAAATATGGTCTGAGAAGGACTTTGTACTCTATATTTGAGTCCTAGTGGACGAACTGTAACCTAACTTAATAGGTAGACAAGATCGAAAACCTGACTTAGGAGTATGCGCCTGTAACAATAGCTGAGTCTTGCCCAATCCCAGCAGCCATATTTCAACCATTCACACACTGCTGAGCATTCAGACTGTGTTCAAATAAGGCAAATGCTGAGCTGTAACCAATCTAGTTGTTTCTGTACCTCACTTCTGATTTCTGTATATCACTCCCCCTTTTTTGTCTATAAATCTTCTTCCACCATGTGGCTGCACTGGAGTCTTTCTGAATCTGCTGTGATTCTGGGTGCTGCTGGATTCGTGAATCGTTCATTGCTCAATTAAACTCCTTTAAATTTAATTTGGCTGAAGTTTTTATTTTAACAGTAACTGTCAGTAATCTTTTTCAATGACTGATATAATGAACCTGTTAGGAGAAAGACCAGGATGGGATTTAGGTAGGTTGAACTTGATGTGCTTGCTGAACCTATCCAAAAGAAAGTTGGAAAGTGAGTCTAGAACTCAGGAAAAAAGCCCAGGTGAGAGAGAAATATGACTTTGGGAATCATGCACATAGCAGTGATTGCCAGAAAATGTGTGGCACAAAGTAAAAATTTCTCCATGCACTTCAGATGATCCATAGTTTCCCTAAACACTGTGGACTTGCAGAGAAGGAAGTGTGGGAACAGCATCAACATACTCTTACATACAGGGCCTGCAAGAATCTCACGTGGTAGGAAAATTCATTTTTCAACCACTACACCTGTTCTATGAATACAGCAATTGGTTATGTGTAGAGAAGCATAGCATCATATGTATTTTTACATACTATTGCCATTACTAGGTTTTATTAGGGACAGAACCTTGGTAGAATAAAAGCACATTTAGAATATAATGCTACTTTCATCATCATTTGTTATATTGTCTTAATATTCTTCACACCCAAGACTTGAATATATATATATATTTACATGGAAGTAAAGTTTACATGGAACAATGCCAAGGAAGGGGTTTTCAGGCAACAAAAGTATTATATCAGTTGTTCTATTTAGAACACTGTGTTATAGCATTGTTACCTGTTTTTTCTTGTGTACTGAAAAGTATAACCCCACTTAAACTCAATATATGAAAATCTAGGTTTACACAGAAGATAAAAGGT
This sequence comes from Homo sapiens, assembly GCF_000001405.40. NCBI lineage: Eukaryota > Metazoa > Chordata > Mammalia > Primates > Hominidae > Homo > Homo sapiens. The sequence continues at coordinate 65,571,947 of NC_000014.9, forward strand.
AAAATAGTCTTTATAAAATAGCAGACTCTTAGTGAATTTGGATTCAAGATTTAACAATCCACTTTGCCCATAGTCTTACAAGTTTTTTGTAAATCTAGGCCTACCAGTGTATAGGCACAGTGAATGGCTTATAATCCTATTCATAGGAGAGTTGCAGCTCATAATCATAATTTTATGACACTTTTCTCAAGGTCTCATGTGGCACCCTATCAACTAGATGTTGGATTGCAGTGGGAAACAATGCAAGAAGAGCTGTTAGCTTGTGCTTTTACTCTTAGCATCTCGATTGTCCTAACAGTAACATTAGCAGCAAGCAGGAACAGCAAGACAACAAAAACAACAGCTGTTAATATGTGTTACTATGTATCAGGTCACATTCTAAGCTTTGTGTATGTATGAACTCATTTAATCCCTATAGCAGCCCTGTGAGTAAGTACTCACATTATCCCCATTTTGTAGATGTAGACAGAGAAGTACAGTTAAATAGCTTGCTGAAATGTATACAACTGTGAGTGATGAATGTGGAGTTCATCTTGCTTCATATTCCACATTCTTAATCACGTTGGTATGGTGGCTCTAAAAGTCACTGCTTTTTCCACAGAAAATGTGCAACAATCCTTTTTTGCCTAACACCCTTTGCGTGTTTTGTATATGGGTCCAGTAGACTAGACCATAGACTATAATGTACATTCTCTTTCTACCAGATTCCTTTCTTCCCCATTTATCATTAAGCAGACTTAGCAAGGAAAATTATCAGCGATAAAGATGGGTCATTCTGTAGTGATAAAGGAGTAATGAGGACATAACAGTCCTTAACATGTATGCACATAACAACAAAGTGTGAAATACCTGAGGCAAAATATGTGAGACAGGAGAAATAGATAAATTCACTATTATAGCTAGAGACTTCAGCACCTCTCTTACAGTAATTGAAAGATTAAGCAGGCAGAAAATCAGTAAAGATATAGCTGATGTGAATAGCATTTTCTTCAATCAGCTTGACCTAATTGACATTTACAGAATACTGTTTTCAACAATAGCAGAATACACATTTACCATTGAAAACCTGTCTGTCCTGATGGACTCTGATATTTGGATTGGGGAGTTTCTTGTAAAAGGCTGTCTTGTCATAATGAATAGGGAAGTCTGTGTATTTGGAGTTGGCTCAGTGGGGAGGGATAGAGCTGTAGAAATTTATTCTTATTTATAGTATCAGCTAGAAGTCTATCATGTAGAGAAACATTTCTTTTCCCGTTCATTTCAAGCTTTGCCTGCTCCCCACCCACAACAAAGATGGTTCAGATGGTTCAGTAGAAACTGGTTATGTGGAATGTAAGGTAAGATCATGCTTTCTCATTAGGAGTCATAATCACTTTCCTCATTCATATTAATATATTCATATATAATACCAAAATCACCACCAAGAAAAGAAAATTAGAGTAAGGTAACTTTCAATATTTGGAAAATAATACATGTGCAAGACTTCTGGTGATAGCTATATGATTTTGAAGAGAAAGTAAAATTTTTTATAAATCAAAAAGTATAAACCATTAATATTACAAATAGGAGGGAAATTGCAAAGCTTAGCGAAAGGCACTGGATAGATTGTGGCATACAAAAGGGGGTCCACGTTGGATGCAGTGGCACAAGCCTGTAGTCCTAGCTGCTAGGAAAGCTGAGGCAAGAGGATCACTTGAGTCCAGGAGTTCCAGGCTATTGTACCCAATGATCGTGCCTGTGAATAGCCACTGTACTCCAGCCTGGGCAACACAGTGAGACCCCCATGTCTAAAAAAAAAAAAAAAATAGGGCGTCAGGTTTAGTGATTCATTCATTTATTCTTTTAATTATTTATTTTAGGTTCATTAGAACTATTAGAGAATAAAATGCATCTGATTGTTTATATCTTGTCTGTTAAATGGTATTTAGTTATCTTTTGCTGTTCAACAAATTACCAACCTAGTGCTGTAAAACAACACAAACTTACTATCACACAGTTTCTGTGGATTAGGAGTTCTTGCACAGTTTAGGTGGTGTCTCTGCTTTGGGGTCCCTCACAAAGGTACAAAAGGTGTTGACTGGGTCTGCAGTTTATTTCAAGGCTCAATTAAAGAAGGATACAGTTCTAAAATCATGTGGTTGTTGGCAGAATTCACTTCCTTGATATTGTTTGGACTAAGGGCCTCAGTTTCTTGCTGTCTGCCAGAGGCTGCCCTCAGTTCCTTTCCAAGTGGACCTCTCCAGAGGGCAGCTCACACCATAGCTTGCTTCATCAAAACCAGCAAGGAAGAGAATCTGCTAGCAAGATAAAGTTTCAGTCTTTTTAAACACAGTCATGGAAGATACATTCCATCATCTTTGCAATATTCTATTGATTAGAGCAAATCACAGGTCCCATTTACACTTGGGGAGGCGATTTTCCAAGGTCTTGACCACCAGAAGATAAAAATCAGTGGGGGCATCCTACAGTCAACCACCACAGCAGGGATCATGTGTTTTTAACATGTTTTATTGTGCTCGATAATAACATCAAAGTTTTCATTGTGTACCAACACTTTACATAAATTATCTTATTCAGAAGTTAAGTGATTTGCCTCACACCACATAGTAAGTGCTAAAACCAGCAAGAGCTCAAAGAGTCTGACTCTAGGTATTATAGAATAATATATTTTTAATTAAACATGAAAAGCTTTAAATGGTGCTTCTTGTCTGTTTTAAAATGTTCTAGAATTGAGGTGGGTAGCATTTTTACAGCAATAAGAATGCTAATCTGGTTATTAATTGTTACCACATGATTTCAGACTAAACATTTCAATCACAGTGAACTTCATTGTTTGTGGCGCAATGTCTTGCTTCCCTTGGTTCCTAGTACAAAGATTAAAGGGGCAAATAATGAGCAGATTCTGTGAAACATATCCTCTGAGGAGGAACCATAAGCATGGCTTGAAGGCAGGGTTGCTGAACAGATACTTCATTTATTTCGTTGATGTTGCAGGATTAATATTGTATACTCTTTTTGTGGATGATGGCTTTGGTTACTGGATTCCAAAGGCCAGTATTCTTTTCTATGAAATGTTTTCTAATTCGTATAAAGCGAATTCTTTTTCCTCTTCATTCCTGTATTTTATTTTATTTTATTATTTTATTTATTAATTTATTTTATTTTATTTCTTATAATAGTCTAGGAGTGCCTCTGGACGGCTGTGTCCAAGGGTATAAATTTGCAAGTAGTAAAGAAATTTACCATTACTTAAAAATCATTTACCTTCGTTGTGAAGTTCCTTTCCTCTCTCTCCCTCCTTTCTTCCTTCCTTTTCTTTCTCTCTTCTTCCAATTTAGAGTGATTACATATGGCAAGACTTTAAATTATTGTACTCAGGGATTATTTTGAACTTGCCTTTAATTTCATTTATGTGTGACTTTTTCCTGTAATTATATGTATACAGTACATATGTAATCTTTCATACATGGGCATTAATTTCATAGCTGTGAGTACAGAAAATCCCATTTTGATAGGATATCCAAATAGGATACTTTTTGGATAGTCTGACCTTTTGCTCATTTAATGACAAGTTGGTTACCTCTGTTCACTTAGAACCAACCTCCCTTCCTCCCTCCCTTCTTTCCTTCCTTCCTTCTTCCTTCCTTCCTTCCTTCCTTCCTTCCTTCCTTCCTTCCTCTTTTTTTTTTTCCCCCACACTCTTGCTCTGTCCCCCAGACTGGAGTGCAGCGGCACATTCTCTGCTTACTGCAACCTCCACCTCCCGGGTTCAAGCAAATCTCCCACCTCGGCCTCCCGAGTAGCTGGAATTACAGGTGCGCGTTGCTGTGGCCTGGCTAATTTTTGTATTTTTAGTAAAGACGGGTTTTTGCCATGTTGGCCAGGCTGATCTCGAACTCCTGGCTTCAATTGATCTGCCCGCCTTGGCCTCCCCAAGTGCTAAGATTACAAGTGTGAGCCAGAAGCAGATATTTTTGATGAATACTTTATAATTCAGTTTTCAAAATATAGATAAAAATACAAATGGAATTAGTCAACAGTTGGCCGCAAGTAAGTATAGCTTTTATATAAATAATCACAACTATTCAAATGTAAATTAAATTTGACTTTCTCCTCACTACAAATCCTTATAATAGCTCACTTGCTGTGAATAGTTGTCTGCTTTTTTTGGTTTGCTTAGCTTTAACAGGGGTTGACAAACTATGGCCGTGGGACAAGTCTACCTTTCTCTGTTTTTTGTTTGTTTGTTTGTTTCTTTTTCAATGGCTTCCAGGCTAAGAATGGTTTTACATTTTTAAATGGTTGGATCAAAAACAAATTCAAAGCAGAACATGTAAGAGGCCATTTGTAGCCACAAAACCTACATAGTTTACTCTCTGACCCTTTATAGAAAAAGTTGACTAACAAGGTTTGTGTGAACCAGGATGGTTTCATTATTTTCATTATTAAGTCTTGTCTTTTGTAGTCTCTGAATTGTTAGGCATGTTACATGTTGATATAGACATGCTCTGAAATAAAGGTCCAAATAGTAATATTATTCTTAGGCTCTTGTTTTACTGTACATCTTTTGTACTTGTTTCCGTTTTTGTTTTTTTTTCCCAAGACAGGGTCTTGCTCTGTCTCCAAGGCTGGAGTGTAGTGGTGCAATCATGGCTCACTGCAGCTTCGATCTGCTGGGCTCAAGCGATCCTCCTACTTCAGCCTCCCAAGTAGCTGGGAACACAGGTGTGTGCCATGATGCCCAGCTTGCTTTTTTTTTTTTTTTTTTTTTTTTTTTTTTTTTTTTTTTTTGAGACAGAGTCTAGCTTTTGTCGCCAGGATGGAGTGTAATGGCGCGATCTCAGCTCACTGCAACCTCCACCTCCCAGGTTCAAGCGATTCTCCTTCCTCTGCCTCCTGAGTAGCTGGGATTATAGGCACGCGTCGCCATGCCCAGCTAATTTTTGTACTTTTCATAGAGATGGGGTTTTTACCGTGTTATCTCCTGACCTCGTGATCTGCCCACCTAGGCCTCCCAAAGTGCTGGGATTACAGGCATGAGCCACCACGCCTGGCCTATGCCCAGCTAATTAAATTTTTTTTTTGTAGAGATGGGGTCTCCCTATGTTGCCCAGGGTGGTCTCGAACTCCTGGGCTCTAGCAGTCCTCCTGCCTCAGCCTTCCAAAGTGCTGGGATTACAGATATGAGCCATTGCGCCTGGTCTTACTATAAATCTTTATAAGCTTACATTTTACCTCTTATTTCTTCTTGCTTTTATTATATGTTCAGTTATTCTAATGTGTTTGTGTCTCTGCCTCCTAAGAGGCACCTTGTATTTAGTGCTGAAGTGGCTCTTAGGTGGAGGAGATCTGATCGGTTATGCTTAGAAAGGAACAATCTAGTGAAATGAAAGGCCTGGGCTTCTCAGATTTGGATTTGGATCCCAAGTCGACCACTTACTAACTTAGTGATCTTAAAAAAGTCGTGTAAGGGGGCTTTTTGATCTTCAGTTTCTTCACTTTAAAAATGGCAATAATATCTATTTTGCAATAAGTTTAAAATGAGATTAAAAAAATAGAAGATTTTTGTGTATTAGTAGGTCCTCAATAAACAGATTTTTAGCTGCTAATGGTAGCTGATAATCCAAAATGCATGATTTTACATAGTTTTATAGAACTCAGAATATGTTTTCATTTTTTCTAATGTAAAATAATTAACACAATGGATGAGATAATTTGGAAAACTTGCACATTCTTCAGAATGATTGCTCACCCTGAGATAAATCACTTAACCTCTTTGGGTCTAGGATCTACAATTGTAGGAAAAGTAGATTGGGGTAGGTGATCACATTCAATAAATGTATTTATTGAAACAGAATAGTTAAATATATACTAGGTTAAATAGAAGCATAGAATGGGCTTTATTTCTCATAATTCTTCTCTCATAACTGGACAATATGATTTTTAAAACTGATGCTTCTAAATATGGGAATTATAATTGCCCACCCTGAGCTTTATTTAGAATATAGAAATTTTAATTATTCATTATCACTACCCAGACCTCTAGGGAAGAACACACCATTCTTGGAGAAAGGTGTCACATGAAAAAACATCTTAAATAACTAAATTGTAAAAATTTAAACTTTGTATTTGAATTTTTTTCTCCCGTATATAAATGCTACATAGGCAAAGTAAATTTTCATTAAATATTTTATTTAATATAATGTATGAATAGTTGAGCTGAGGGACTTGATTAAACATTCTTTATATTTTATTCTTTTACCCGACTATACTGAGCTGATGATGACTTCAATAACTTCTTGATAATTGAAGATAAATAATAGCAGGAAATACAGTCATTGTGGCATATTGATTTCAGTATCACTTGATTTATAGATGACACATCTGCTACAAAGTCTTTAGAAAAAAATACCCTGGGCTATTTCTTACGTTTCTTTCAGGCAAATTTGTATTTCAGTATGAAGATTTATTTTGTTTTTGAAATTGTTATATTGACGTCTTTTAATTCATTTAGCTCAAGCTTGTCCAACTCGCATGTGGCCCAGGACAGCTTTGAATGCAGCCCAACACAAATTCGTAAACTTTCTTAAAACGTTATGAGATTTTGTTGCGATTTGTTTTTTAAGCTTATCAGCTATTGTTAGTGTATTTTATGTGTGGCCCAAGACAATTCTTCTTCTTCTAATGTGGCCCAGGGAAGCCAAAAGATTGGACACCCCTGATTTAGATAACATAATGAAATAAAATGGTTGTTTAGTTTGGAGATCAGTATTCTAGGCAAAGCTGTCTGAAGGAGAACAAATATAAATAGATTTCAATATATGTATTAGAGCTAGCCTGTGAATTACAATGGCTACAAGGAAATATAATGTAAAATAGCACACTATGCTTTTCTTGTTATTGTTGCTTGTTCAAATAGAATGAATTTGATTTTAACATAGTCTTTCTGTTCTTTTTTAAAAAAATGTATGCAAAAGCTGTTGCTTGGCGGGGGTATTTTACATCAGAAATGCTTAAGAGATTGTAATAAGGTTGGTGAAAAACTGAGGTACATTTAATGAATATGGAATGCTATATCTGCAAATAAAGACAAAAGGGACTTTCAAAAGTGTAATTTAATGTTAATTCTCAGTTTTACTTAATAGCACTTCAGAAATATTATCTATTTTACCATTTGTTATGTGCAGAAGCTAAGAGACTTATTTTTCTGCAGGTCAGTGGCAGAAGAAGAAATAAAAATCTTCCAAAGAATTATGAAGTTGTATCTGATTTTCAGTGTACTGCCAACACTGTCCTCTTTTATACTTTTAAGTTTCCCTTCCTTTTAGAATTAATTCAGGACAGTATGGTTTATTAGCCTATAGATAATGACAGAATATCCAATTTTATATTACAGTTACTTTTGGCATTTGTTTTGTGTGATCAGAGATCCCCATGTAACAGTATTGAAAATGGCCACTTGAATCATTACATCTTTGTTATATGGATATATCTGTATAAGCATATAGAGACCTTGTTTAATATTTATTGAGATTAACCATAATGATAGGTTAGTGTCTTATAAATAAGTAGAAATGGCACATTAAACACAAGTTTGCTAGATTAGGTAATTGCTGTATTTCATGTGGGTCATGGGTCTCTGGGAAGAAACCACATACTGTAAGTTAAAATTAAGTCCCCAGTTTATTTGATCAGTAATACAAAAGCTTATTGGACATGGTAATGCCATATGGAGTAGAAATAGATATAGTATATCTAAAAATAGCTTCCTGTGGTCCTTTAGAGTCCCCAGTGGGGTCATAAACTGCCTGTGCAGTTGTCCACACAAGGTAACATCTTGCCAGATCTAAGCTGATTTCTTGCTATGCCGTAATCCTTTTATACCTGGAGCTGATGTCACCTTTCTACAAGAATATGCACAATTTATGCACTTCCATTTAAAGGAATGTGTACAAGCTTCTAGGATCTATTAGTTCTTAAACCAAACCTGTGTCAGTAATACCCTATTCTGATCCTTGAGAAGAAAGCAAAAGTCATTTCAAGGTATCTCAATAATAAATACACCTTTGGCTTCCCTGCACTATGGGAAGTGCATCTCTTCAAAATACTGATAGTGCTATATTTTATATATATATATATATATAGTCATGCATTGCTTAAGGGCGGGATTACATTCTGAGAAATACGTCATTAGGTGATTTTTGTGGCTGTATGAACATCATAGAGTATACTTACATCATAGAGTGTAGTAGGCTAGTGTGTACTACATACCTAGGGTATATGATATAGGCTATTGCTCCTAGGCTACAAACTTGTACAGCATGTTGCTGTACTGAATACTGTAGGCAGTTGTAACATGATGGTTAAGTATTTGTGTAAACATATCTAAACATAGAAAAGGTACAGTAAAAATATAATCTTGTGGGCCTACTGTTATATATGCGGTCCATTGTTATGTGGTGCATGACTAAATATATATATATGTGTATATAATACTGTATATAATACATATATATGTATTTTCTATCTTGTAGAAAATACATGTTATGTGTGCGTGTATATAACACACTATGTATACACAGACACGCACATACAAACACACATGGAAGTTTGTTGAAAACCAGCAAGTTGGTTGATCACTCATTATTATTTGATTGTTTTTGATAGGTATTGGTAGCTTCCAATAACTAGAGGTCAGTGAAAAATATAGGCTTCCTCCCCCATAATTCTGCTAACATTTAATATGTTACAGTGAAGACAAGACTCAAAATGGGGAAGTTCATACTCTGTCTTTTTAGGTGTTCCTGCAATATCTTATATGAAAGATTATCTTGAGAAAGTTGTGACCTTATTCCAACAACAGGATTTGATCATCCTTCTGTTCAGGCATCAGATAATAATCTGAATCAGCCCCTAGACACAGTGTGGATTGGAATCTAAGCCTAGAGCATCATTCCAAAGAGTATTGGCTACTGGATTTACTAAATACTTACATATTGTTCTCAAAGTTGGTAGTGCTTCTGTAATATTTCTAGGTATTTCACATAAGTTAATTTTACCCAGCAAAATACTATTTCTAGAGTCCATTTAGCTTACAATAAACTTGCTGGTTTTTATAGGAAATAAAGCTTACTGAACAGCTTGATATTGCTGCTGCCTTTGGGATGTAGGTGTTTGATGATGTAATAGTTAATTAATCCTGAAGTGTTAATTCCCAGACCTACTGAGTCATAAACTCTGGTGATGAGGCTCAGTAGTCTGTATTTTAACAAGCTCTCAATGTGCATCTGATGCACACTAAAATTTGAGAACCACTGTCCTAAAGTACAATAACATTTTGATATTTAAATTACCGACAGAGAAAATTCATAACAGAATAAGAAGACTAACAATGAGTCATCTTTGGGATTTTATTATAACCAGTTAGTCTCAGGTACCTGGTATTTACCCGTGAAGTAAACATTTATTATATCTTGTGTCCTGTTAAGTATAGCACATAATGCATTATGATGGGACTGAGGTTCAGTTCAAAAACTATTCAGCACCTTCTATTTATTCATTTTAGGATACTGCTGCTTTTGTAAGACTTAACTCATTTATACAGCCAGAGCTTTTAGTCACAGCAAGAGCCTTGAAAGAAGAATGTAAATAGAATATTGCTATGCATGTTTGTGTCAAAGGATATAAACTGACACATGTAAATTTTAAATATAATTTACTTTATCCATTCCAGTCGTGTCCAGTTAAAACCTACTGGAATCTTTTTTTTTCATAGTTTATCCATGTATGATACGTGAGTTTGTATATTTTATTATTAATGGATGTCAACCATTTTTACCTTTTTTGTTCTACCCATAATTTTCTTCCTCGAATGATGCCACTATTGCCAAATTAGCAAGAAGATATTTATGACTTTTCTGTTTTCTAAGAGGACTTTTGCATATTCACATATAAATTGTGGTTTAAGAAAGATACACATTGACATTTTGACAGATTTTAATTTTCTTAGGCTTGGCAGGATACAACTACTTTGTCTGTTACATCTGGATGAGACCATTAGAATCTTGTTGCTATAACTGTAAGTCATGGTGTTGAATTTGCCTTTGCGGTATAGAAAATAGAGCAGTGTACTTGAATATACTCTGCAGCATAGAGACATAGCGTGAAAGGAGCATAAGTGTCACATGATGAGTTGAGCTAGCATTTTCTTCTTCCATCCAATTAAAATAATATATAAGGTCATGAATATCCAGTTATGGTTGTATATCCATATTCTATTTGTGATGAACACATGATTTCTTCCATTTTAAATTTATATATTTTTTTTCCTGGAAGTGTTATACTATTCTGAAATATTTTGATATAAGAATATATTTACTTCATTATTTTTAGACAAATTTATAATGTTGGCGTTTCGTGATCTCTGTTCACCTCATTAATGTTTACTCTTAATACTTTCTAATTTGCATCCTAAACTTAAGCCTTTATGCTGAACAACCCACTATGCTTCATGTCTGTGCCTTTACACATTTTACTATTTTACTGATTCAGCCCCATCCCCAGCTGTCCTAAGTATTTTTAGTAAGTGTTGGTGGTTCTTTAAAATTCAACCTAAGCGTGTCTTCTTCTGAGAATCCTTTCTTGACCTCATTCATCTGAATTAGGTGCCCTTTCTATATGTTCACCCAGCAGCCATGGCCTGCTCCTGTCATTGTACTCTCCACAGTTTGATAACTTTTAGTGCATTTGTCTTTTAGCTGAATCTTAAGTGAGTATTTTGATGGAATGGATTATATCTTATTCATCCTTGTATCATAGTGTTTAGAATCTGGCGTCTTTAATAAAGTGAATTAAATGCTCATTGAATGAATGAATGAATGAATGAGCCCAGTTGATTTGGGGAACATTGTACCTGATTAAAAAATCATTCTTTGTATTCTCAGGAGATAACGGTCATCTTAGACATGCTGATCTATGCCTGTTATATCTTTGATCCCACTTATTACTTAGTCCAGTACCTCTGGCATAGTGAATGCTGCATGAATGGATTGGAATTAAGGGCTGTATTTTATATAAATCATAAACATTTTCTTCTGTAGATTTAATTATTTTATAATTAAAACTTAACATCTTTAGATGCCATCTTTTTTTAGAAAAAGATTTTATTGATCTGCCTTTTACCACTTTGATCAAAGTACACCTTTTGGGTTTCATGGTTTTATTTCTTTTTCTTTTGTTTTTTTCTTTTTAGACAAGATCTCACTCTGTTACCCAGGCTGAGTGCAGTGGTGTAATCACTAGCATGCTCACTGCAGCCTCAACCACCTGGGCTCAAGTGATCCTCTTGGTTCAGCCTCCCAAGCCAGCTGAGACCACAGGCACATGCCATCAGGCCTGGCAAATTTTTGGGTTTCATTACATTTGACTTTTTGTTGTTGTTGTCCAGCCATAGAATTCTTGTCAATATTATATAGTAGTTTCCTCTGAAATTTTGCATTTTCATGTCATTGTGAAAGGTATTAGAGATAATATTTTTTGTAGGTCAGGCCACAATCACAGTTATCACTGTGATAAAATAAAAAAATGTACACTGCCATTCATAACCAACAGGAAGATCTGGTAAAACTCTGATAAGTACCTTATGGGCTCTAGGCAACATAAGCGACATTTAATTTATTTAGATTGCTGAAAATAATAAGCAAAAAAAAAAAAGAATGCTGAGTCAAATGCAATTAATTTAGCATCTATAGTAACTTGGTTTTAGTGATTTTAATGATTAATTAGAAAGTGCATAGAAGCTGTGAAGCTGTTTGCTCTTCCCAACCCTATATTTTGATATTAAGGATCTCATCTTTGTTGTGTAGAATAGGCAAATATTTAGGAAGACAGCAATTTATTTCCATTAAAATATCCGAATTAGCCAGCTAAGAGTCTTTGTTTACTTTTTTTGTGAGATGGAGTCTCGCTCATTCACCCAGGCTGAAGTGCATGGGTATAATCTCAGCTCACTGCGAGCTCTGCCTCTCCGGTTCACACCATTCTCCTGCCTCAGCTTCCCGAGTAGCTGGGACTACAGGCGCGTGCTACCACGCCTGGCTAATTTTTTGTATTTTTAGTAGAGATGGGGTTTCAACAGCTAGGAAGGTCTCAATCTCCTGACCTTGTGATCCGCCCGCCTCTACCTCCACCTCCCAAAGTGCTGAGATTACAGGTGGGAGCCACCACGCCCAGCCTTTTTTTTTTTTTTTTGAGACAGAGTTTCACTCTTGTCGCCCAAGCTGGAGTGCAGTGGTGCGATCTTGGCTCACTGCAAACTCCGCCTCCCAGATTCAAGCGATTCTCCTGCCTCAGACCCCTGAGTAGCTGGGATTATAGGCGGCCACCACCACACCTAGCTAATTTTTTGTATTTTTAGTAGAGACGGGGTTTCGCCATGTTGGCCAGGCTGGTCTCGAACTCCTGACCTCAGGTCATCTGCCCGCCTCGGCCTCCCAAAGGGCTGGGATTACAAGCATGAGCCTCCGCGCCCAGTCTGTTTACTTCTTAACATCAAACTTTGAAACTCCTTATTTAAAAGATTAAAGAAAGTGAATTACTGTCTATCACTGTTGCTGTTTGCTTATTAGGGATATAAAAAATGGGATAAAGATAGAAATATAATAGATCAGGTGGTAACAGAAGGAAGTAGAGAAATTCAAGAGATTGAAGACATGTAGATTCAGAGTCAAGTTCTAATATTTTAATGCATCTTCTGTGTTAGGATCTAAGTACTTTCACATATATTACTTGTAATTTAATATCAAGTGAAAATTAGTTTGTTTTGCCTTAGGTTCTTCTTTGTCATCTTTCAGTACTTAACTCCTTAGTTTGTGTATGTTTGTATTTGGCATCCAGTTTGTAAGACTTCATCCATTCACGTAGTCCTTCATTCAGGCTTTGTAGTCAGACAGATCTAATTTATATTCTATATTGGCTGTGACAATTTCTTAAAATAAGACAATAGTACGTATTGCATTTTGGAAATATATATAACCTATAATTATTTTAACAGATATTCCTAATTGTTTATACATTTCTTGATTAAACTAATTTATTTAAACAGATCTGTTTCATTTGCCTCCCAACTCAACTGTTAGGATGTTTGCTCCTGCACGCTTTCATGGGTTTGCATTTGCCCCCTCCCCATTTTATAATTCTCTAACCTACAGAATGATTGATTTCTATATTATTTATTTATTTTAATTTTTAAATTAAGTTTTCTTTAAAGGCAGGGTTTCACTCTGCTGTCCAGGCTGGAATGCAGTGGCATGGACATGGCTCACTGCAGCCTCCTGGGCTCAAGTGCTCCTCCCACCTCAGCCTCCCAAGCAGCTGGAGGACAGGCATTGAGCCACCATGGCTGGCTAATTTTTAAATTTTTTGTACAGGCAGGATCTTGCCATGTTGCTCAGGCTGGTCTCAAAGTGCTAGTCTCAAGCAGTCCTCCCAACGTGGCCTCCCAGAGTTTTGGGATTACAGGTGTGAGTCACTGCACCCAGCTGGAATGATTGATTTGAAATGATAGCCAGTGTAAAGTTCTGTCTATATAAATAATATGAAATGACAGGAAGTAACATAAACATGTACTTCTAAAAGTATGGATATTTTAAGCTGTTTGTTCTTTTGATGCAACTATGATTACTTGTGTTTTAAAATATACTTTTAGACAAGGAATAAAAAAAGTAAATATAAATGCTTTTTCATAAATTGTTAAACAACAGTGAAGATTGGAAATTGGTGGGCATGTCTAATTAGCGTAGTTTCCTTCGGAAATATTGGCGTTTGATTTCCTCAAAGCTGACACAACTCAGCATGTGGAAGTCAGGCTGCCTTGCCCCAGAAGGAAACTTGCTGCATGGTGCCTTGTAACATAATTACTGAAACAGTAAGCAAAGTAGTAGAAATAGCAAGGGATGGAAACAGTTCCTAAAAATTAAATATTGAGACTGAAGAAAGACTTGACATAATCAGAGAGAATATGGACAAGCAAGAGATTAAAACATAGAGAAGGAAATAGATATGGATAACCAGTAAAGATCTAGCATTAAAATAATTGCATAGAGAATAGAAAATATGGAAGAGAAAAATTATTCAAAATAATAAAGACACTTTCCCTGAAAAGGAGAAACACATCCTCAGGTCAAAATGATATTTTGGGTCCTGTGAATTTTGATTGCTTGACATATCTAGGTTAAATGATAAAACCGATATTTCTCCAGGTATCCAGAAAGAAGAATATATCATTTCAAAGAGGGGGAAATCAGGCTCTTGCTAAATTTCTTCCTAGGAACAGTCAGTGCTGGAGATGAATGTAGCAATCTTTTTACATTTCTGAAATAAAGAAAATGTGATCTAGGAATGCAGTTCTTAGCTAAGACACCAGCCAAGTATAGATTCAATAGGCAGGCATTCCCAAATACCCTCAGTCTCTCTTGAAAAATATATCATTTAATTAGGGTATTGAGCCATTTAAAAGATAAATTGATAAAATTGGCAGTAACATCATTTAATATGAAATGCTAGACATTTATGTAAGTTATGATTTTGGAATCTAATGTATTTGATATAAAGTTTAACCGTGAAGAATAGCATGCCAACAAAATTTGGAGTTGGAAGTATTTTCATGTTTCTGTTAATAACATCTAAAATTTAAAATATAAAGACATTAGTCCAGTATATTAATGTTTTTGACAGTTTTTTAACCTTAGATCTTTTTAAAAATATCCATTTGAAATTGAGGAACTCATGCATTTTCACTGAATTTGTGCTTCTATCAAATAAAAGTAAAATTAAATGTACTATATTTTAAAAGGACAAATAATTTCCTCTAATTTTGTAAAAGCTTTTTAACCTATTTTGACATATTTGAGGGGTTTTCCCCCCTACACGTTTTCATCTCTGTAATTCTTTTAAAGAGTATGTGCTGGGCGCTGTGGCTCACGCCTGTAATCCCAGCACTTTGGGAGGCCGAGGCGGGTGGATCACGAGGTCAGGAGATCGAGACCATCCTGGCTAACACGGTGAAACCCCATCTCTATTAAAAATACAAAAAAGTCAGCCGGGCATGGTGGCAGATGCCTGTAGTCCCAGCTACTCGGGATGCTGAGGCAGGGGAATGGTGTGAACCCGGGAGGCGGAGCTTGCAATGAGCTGAAATCGTGCCACTGCACTCCAGCCTGGGCGACAGAGCGAGACTCTGTCTCAAAAAAAAAAAAAACAAAAAAAACTAATTTTTACAAAAATAGGAAATATTTGTATATTTAGGAAAACGTTATTCACTGCAAAAGAATTTTTATGTATTCAGGAAATAGTTATGATCCTCACAGATGAGAAAAAGTGAAGTTCAGAAATGATATGACTTAAGTCAAATATTTAGTTAATTTTATAAGCAGGCCAATAGTCCAAGTCTTTTGAATCTTTGGTAACTGATCTGTTACTGCGTTACACAAGTGATAATATTTAGGAATTAATATATTTCTAGAGCAGTGCCATATGTAGCCACAGTGTGTCACAAAGAGAACAAATAGTATGTGTGTGTATAGGCTGAAAAATTTTACCAAGACAAACGTCTGTATAGTACCTGTGCTATTAATATTTTATGAATAAAATTATATTGTCTAGGTAACTTTTAGGCATAAAGATGGCAACACAGTGGATCTGTGAGATTCAGGACACTGAATCTAAAAGTCCACTTGGACTATTAAAATATTGCTAAATATGAATATTTCTGGGGCTTAGAGTTGCACAATTACTTTGAATGTATGCATGCCTGATTTTATAAAGGCAAATGCATCCATGTATTAGTTGTGTGGTTGGTAGTCAGTCTGAATTAATGACAAATGTGAATTCTGTAACATTTGATGATAAATACAGCTTTATTGCTTTCAGGTTCATGTAAACCAAAGTAAATCTTTACTGTTTCCAAGTTGACAGCCCACTGAATCTGATATAATTAATAGATGATGGTAATTGGTAAATAGTGCCATCCATTTTTACTGATAATTAATGTATTCACTTGTGTTCTGAAGAAATTTGTTTTTAAAACACTGCCACCAACCTTTACCCCAGCAAATATTTACAGAATTTACTTTTAAAACAAACATTATTTTAGAGTTTAAGAAAACTGACACTACCTACTGTTCTAGCTTAATTTTCCACTACTCCTCCTTCCACCTTAACCTCCCTTTTCATCTTCATTTCCTGTTCTCCCCTGTACCCTATGCTCTAGCCATATAAAATAAGTTCATTTTTACTGAATGTGGCATGCTCTTTCACACTTCTTTTCCTTTGCACATGCTCTTCCTTCTGTTTGAAATGTCTTTTCCTTCATCCCCCAACAGACTTTTCCTTGACATGGTTCACTATGGCTATCCTTTTAAAGTTCTTAATTATACCAGGCATTATTTATCTCTTCTTGCTATGGTCTAAACTCTCATACCAAATTATCGCTGTTATTACATGTGCTGCAATTTGTAATTTGTGTCTGACTTTTCCACAAATTATGAATCTGACATTTCCAGATTGTAAAATATTTGAGGATAGTGGCTGTGTTTGTTTCATGTTTGTGTGCTTAAGTACTTGGCATGTAACAAGTACTTGGCAATTTTTTAAAAATGAGTTGTGACTCTTAGTCCTGCAGAGATCATATTACTGTGGTCCCCTTTATCCATGGTTTTGCTTTCTGCAGTTTCAGTATACACAGTCAACTGTGGTCTGAAAATAAGATATTTTGAGAGAGAGAGAATGCAAGAGAAAGACCACATTCACCTAACATTTATTACATTATCTTGTTATAATTGTTCTATTTTATTATTATTCTTGTTAATCTCTTAGCTGTGCCTAATTTATAAAGTAAACGTTATAATAAGTATATATGTCTAGGAGAAAACAGTGTATATAGGATTTAGTACTATCTGCAATTCAGGCATCCACTAGGGGTCTTGGAACAGTATCCCCACAAATAAGAGGGAACTACTATGTCACATTTTCCTTTTCTTTCTCAGCCCCTTTATTTCGCTCCTTTTTCTTGTCGCTCTCAATCTCTTTTACTTTCCTCCTCTTTCCCCTACTCCCTCCTTTTCAACTTTGTTCTTTTCTTCAGTGTTACACAAAAGACAGACATTTTTAGAAGTGTTTGCCAGGAAAAGAGTGTTATAAAATCCACCAATGGGTACTGCTTCTTTGTTTTTACATGTAATCTAGGTAGATTTATTTATGATGAAATATTTAGAAAAGGAATCCTGATTTCAGTAGAAACTTCTCTTTTAAATGTCAAAATCTACAATAGCATTATTTAATGAAACTCACATAGAAGAAATAAAGGATCATGGGCCTATGTAAACTTGAAAATAAGAACTTGGCATAGAGACTTAGAATTCTATAGAGAACACCATGGCACTTCCCAGACCTTTGCTTTGATATTCACCCTTTGCTTGTCAAGGGCCTTGCCTTAAATCTTTTTTTTTTTTTTTTTTTTGAGATGGAATCTCGCTCTGTCGCCCAGGCTGGAGTGCAGTGGCGCAATTTCAGCTAACTGCAAGCTCTGCCTCCCGGGTTCACACCATTCTCCTGCCTCAGCCTCCCGAGTAGCTGGGACTACAGGCGCCCGCCACCACGCCTGGCTAACTTTTTTGTATTTTTAGTAGAGACGGGGTTTCACCGTGTTAGCCAGGATGGTCTCGATCTCCTGACCTCGTGATCTGCCCGCCTCGGCCTCCCAAAGTGCTGGGATTACAGGCCTGAGCCACCATGCCCAGCTTGTCTTAAATGTTTTGACTCAGACTGGTTCAACTTCACTCACTCAGTTTAAAGACCTCTCTTCTCATTTCTTTCTCTTCACAGTAATAAACTTACTTTAATTAAATTTTTGACACAACAAGAGATTTTCATTTTTTAAAAGATGATGCATAGACATGGTAAACCATCCAAAGAGTACAAAAGGGGTATACATTGGCATGATATTTCTGCCACAAACCCAACCCCTCAGTTTCTCTTTCTAGAGGTAACATCTTCTATTAGTTTCTTCTGCTTCCTTTCAAAGATATCCTCCCTATCTTAGGGGAAAGAAACAGAAAGATACGACATACCAATGGGTAACACCATCTGTTGGAGTAATTTCCTAGCATTTTTTTTGTTGAGAGCTCTGATTACTTGATTTTGTCCTTATAAGTTAACATTTTTTTTCTTCATAACCTTGCACAAAATAAGAATCATTTGATGACCATGAGTTCATGGCAGAAAATTGAGTATTTTAATAACCGTTTGAAACAGGAAAAGCATTGATTGGTTCTCAGTCTTTGGAATTAGAAACTTTGCAATGAGTATGTTTTCACCCAGCATATCCAGTTCATTTATCACATGGTATAAAAAGAAACTCACATGGAAGGGGATGAGTTTATGCTGAAATCCAAACATCTTGACTTAACCTGCAGAATTGTTTTTATGTCTTTGCATCATGGAGTCAAAGAATAGGTACCATTGGAAAAATCCCTTAAGATGTCTCTCTGTTTCTCCTCTTGACCAAACTGGGGGGGAATAATAATAATGAAAAAGGTTTAATTGCCTAGATGGGAGCCTGGTAGAACCCAATGTGTCATTCATCTGTTACCTAAATGTGGATTAGTATCTGGAATACATTAGGTAAGAATCACAATATAGGGTAATTCTCACCTCCATAGAAAATAAAGGGTTCTAAAACACTACCACATAACTTAAGGGTTCAGTAACTCAGAGAAATCCTGCATAAACGATTGTTTTTCTAGTCTCCTGGTATTTGTTGGAAATAGGTTTCATACTTCAAGGTGATACATGTCTAAGGGCAAAGGATAGTAGTATTCTTTCACCTTCTGGCACTCCATCTCCCTGGATAAAATTCTCCATGGGGAAAATAGGTGGTGGTATTTCTGTACTTTGGGAATTTTAGACATTTGTCATTTCATTGTTGGGGAAAAACAACATTTCTGGTTTTGACTTGGCAAAATGTTATGGCCTTCAGTTTGTGTTCTTTTACCTATAGTTTATTTGAAAAATACACATACACACATAAAACATACATTTTTCTACAGTAATGGAAGAAAACAGAAACTACTTTGTCGACATTTTGGAAACAAAGCCTAGAAGTATTTGTGCAAAAGGTTAATTCCTCCTTCACACAAAGAATAGTGTGAATACATTTAAGTTATTTAAATGAATGTGAAGTTAGTTTAAAATTTTTCCATTTTAATATGGAGAAACTCGGATTTACTTTTGGAGTTGGTATTAATGGTCTATATGGGTTTCTCTTGGCCTATCACTTGTCATTGTTTTCAATAAAAGGCAAAAAGCAGTTGTTCAGGTTTAGACTGAAGTATTTAAGAACATGAAAGGGGCATGAGATTCTACTTCTGAAAGCTTATGATACATTATATCTTTGAAATTCAACTCCCTTGTTCTGACAAGTATGTTACACATCAGCCAGGCAGCAAGATAATATACAAGAAAAATCCAAGTCTTTCTTTGAAAGGATTAACCTTCAGTTGGTAACTTACCTCCCTGGGGTTTTGTGTAGCTTAATTAGCATTGGCAAAGCAGCTTGATACTGTTGGATGAAAGGCAGGTAAGTTATTAGAGGTAAGATAGAGTTATGATTGTGATTTTGCAAACAGATAATCATTTTTTTCATTGGTGACATGAGGGGAAGCTGAGGAGGATCTTTATCTTGGGTCTTAATCTCAGGTAGTATAGTTTGAAGCTAGAATGCTTTATGAAGGAGCTCCATGTTTAATATCTCAGCTGAAAATTAGTTGTTGCCTTTCTCTTAAAGTATTGTGGCATGTAAACCAAGAGAAATGTGCACTATTGAAGCATTGAAGCAGGCTTTTTTTTTTTTTTTGGTGTATGTCATATATAATCTAGTAACAGCATACTTTACTTATGTGATTAACACCACAGGCAAGTCACATACTGTAACAATTTGCATGAGTTGGTTGTAACTAAAAAACATGTAAACTCTATTGCAAGATACTTAAAAAAAACTGGGAATAAACAAAAGGACATTGCTTCTAGATCTCACCTAGTTCTTCAGAAAGTTTCTTATTAACTGAGGGATTAATTATGAAGATTTTTCTGCGACTTTGCATATGCAGCTGTATATACAATTGTTTTTTTGTCAGCTTCATTTTTAAAACAGGCACTAAATCCCTTTGGATATATATGAGAGCTTTCACTTTGGTTTTGTGTTATAATTGTTCCTCTGGTGTAAAGTAGTTCATGAAAAAATGGTTGAGTGCGACTTGAAATAAAGTATATTTAAATTCTAGACAAAAGAATGACTAGATTTGAGTGGTGGGGGAGAACTGACCTATTATCTATTTTTTTTCCTTCATTCAAGCATAAGTGGCTTCCTATAGAGGAATTAATTGTGTTCTCTCAGAGAATACCTAAGTGGTGAGGTCTGCTTGCTAGCTAGCTAGCTACCTACGTACCTACCTACCTTCCTATCTATCTGTATTAGATAGATAGATATATTAAAGGAGCTGTTCAAACTTCAGCCTTTGGTGGAAGGCAAAAGAAGACTCTACCAGAGGACCTGATACTAAGCTTACATTTAAGGGATTTTATTCTTTTGAGTAAATAGCCTAGTTCTGTCTAATGATACTAAAAGATATTTCATTCTGAGTAGGACAGTTTATCTTCTAGAACATCCTTAGAAGTTTTCATGCATATTCAATCTCCTTTTCCCCTTTAAATAATCCCTATTGATCTGCAGTCTGTTGAGTTATTGAAACTTTATTTGAACCTGAATGTGTTGTCAGCATTGGGAACAATGCATCTCATGTATTTCTGTCTTTTGTGGAAGATACTCCTCTCTTCTACTTGTTGGGAAACTAGTATCTTGAGTCATTCTTTAATGCATCTTTCATTCAATAGACATTTCTTGGACACTCACTATATGTCAGCATCTGGGCTGGACCAAGGCATGTTCTATACATGGTATTGGTATGGTTTTGGTAATCTGGTAATTTCTTTTGCATTTTCTTCACATCCTCTGAGATCATGTAATGTATCCAGTTTAATTTCTTTCTATAATACTAGTCTTTAGGCAATTGGTCAGTCCTTCTAGGCTCTAATGATGTTTATAATCCCCAACATAATTCTATAGGATTTCCAGTGTAATCCTAGATTATTGATTTTACCTTATTTTCTGAATTATTTCCTTGAATCACTGTAAAACATAATCACTTGCACCTCACTCCTTTTTTGAATCTTTATGTGTCAATACTTGTATGCCTTTTACTTAAAGTGATAAAGAGTAGTTTAATAGTTGTAATAAAGAATAATATAACTTAAATGAATATTAAAGTTAAGAGGGGAATCTACTGCATTCATTTTGAAATAGGAAAAATTGCAATAGCAATCAAACCAGATTTTCTTTTGTTCTTGAAATGTTCAAAATTTGTCATGAACATTATAGATTCTGTGTTTCATAGTGTATAGATACAGATTAATATTGTCTGTAGAATACCCATGT
The DNA here is from genome assembly GCF_000001405.40 of Homo sapiens. Classification (NCBI taxonomy): domain Eukaryota; kingdom Metazoa; phylum Chordata; class Mammalia; order Primates; family Hominidae; genus Homo; species Homo sapiens. Next base: position 65,593,494 of record NC_000014.9, read on the forward strand.
AAGGGAATGTGATATTAATACAGAAATTAAAATAGCCGTAAAATGATGAGCTTCTCTAAGGTGCGCTCTTCTTTTTTCTTTTCTTTTCTTTTTTTTTTTGAGACAGAGTTTTGTTCTTTTTGCCCAGGCTGGAGTGCAATGGCACTATCTCGGCTCACCACAACCTCTGCCTCCTGGGTTCAAGAGATTCTCCTGCCTCAGCCTTCCCGAGTAGCTGGGATTACAGGCATGCGCCTCCACACCCAGCTAATTTTGTATTTTTAATAGAGATGGGGTTTCTCCATGTTGGTCAAGCTGGTCTTGAACTCCCAACCTCAGGTGATCCACCTGCCTTGGCCTCCCAAAGTGCTGGGATTACAGGCATGCACCACCACACCTGGCTAATTTTGTATTTTTAGTAGAGATGGGATTTTGCCCTGTTGGTCAGGCTGGTCTCAAACTCCTGACCTCAGGTGATCTGCCCACCTTGGCCTCCCAAAGTGCTGGGATTACAGGCATGAGCCACTGCTCCCGGCCTAAGATGTGCTTTCTAACAAATTTCACAGTGCCAGATTTGACTTTTAGTAAATCTGCATTAAAACTAGTCAGAAAATAATTAGTGAAAAACTGATGCAGGATATTTTCTTGACCCCTTTGTGGGGTGTATGACAGGGGTGCCTCGTTTACTCAGCCTGCCCCGCTTAACCCCTTGTGGGAGGGAGAGAGTGTGCAAACGAGTACAGGAACCCAACTGCAGGAACTGGCCAGGGGCCCGGCAGTTTACTTGGGTAAACTTACTATTTACTTTGGTCTGCCTGGCTCCACCCCTCGCAGGAGGGAGCATGCAAGTGAGTGAGTGCAGGGACTGCCAGCTGCTTCAGCGATGACAGGAGTAAACTCCCTTCAGGCCCTGTGGCAGCATCCAGGTAGGGGTTTCTACGACCCCAAGGCCCCAGGGGGTATGTTGCAATGCTGTCTTAGCTCCATTGTCTGCAGACATCAGTGTGTTATCAGCTCAGTGTGTCCTTTGCCTCATTGCATTGGGTGGCTGCCCTCTGCCAGTGAGGGCAGAGGGCCAGTATGACAGACTTTTTGGGTACCGGCATGTGGTACATCCCAAATTCTTGTCTGGTGCCCAAGAGAAATGAGGTCATGCAGATGAACTGAAGGATGGTGAATATAGAGAATTTTATTGAGTCGTGAAAGCAGTTCTCAGTGGAGAGGGGAGCGAGAAAGGGAGCGGGAAGGGCAGGTTGCTCTCCCCTGAAGTCAAGCCACCTCTCTGCCTCTCTCTTCTGAAGTCAAGTTGCCTCATCCAGCCGGTGTCTCTGAAGTTAAGTCCTCTCTCTTTGATATCCAGCCACTTCTCTCCTCTGCCGGCTGAGTCTGGGGTCTTTATAGGCACAGAATGGGGGTTGGGACGGGCCATAGGTAGTTTTGGAAAAGGCAGCATTCGATTGGTAAAAAGATATTATTGAGAAACAACCAATTGGGAGAGAGCGGGCACACAGGGATGGAAGTTTTCACTTTGGGCCACCGATTTCAGACTTTTCCACTCGAAGTTGGGATTTTGCCAGTGACTTGCCCCTGTCTGCCTAGAGTGTCTCTGCCTCCTCTGCCTCCTGTTGCTGTCAAAACCACTTTCAAATGTGTATTCTTAAAGTTTCATCTTATGCATTAGAATATTTAATCTTTGATAATGGCATTTATCTGGCACCTTATATTTACTGTATTTATTAATTATTGATTCCTGAGTCTCCTGAAAGTGTCTGGATATGGTTAATATGAGAGGATGTAATAATCAGAATGCCGTTAACTAGCATAATTTCAAAAATATTTTCTTGAACCCTGTTGTGTCTATTTGACTATTTTAATATGAACTAAAAATGTTAGCATTTCTTATTTGAGGTGAAATTATAAAGAAAATTTGTTTCCAGGGTTTACTTCATCCTCCTTAAAAGTAAAGTATTTTGTTTCCTCACTCTCATGTTATATACCTCAGTCTGGATTAGAACTAAAACCACTTACTTGATTTTGAGAAGAAAGTTCACTTCGAATTAAGTAGAATTGACATATATTCCTTATATTCTTTATCAAATAACTTGACGATTTATCTTCTACACCATTCTCTTTTTTTTTTTTTTTTTTTTTTTTGAGACGGAGTCTCTCTCTGTCACCCAGGCTGGAGTGCAGTGGTGGGATCTCGGCTCACTGCAAGCTCCGCCTCCCGGGTTCATGCTGTTCTCCTGCCTCAGCCTCCAGAGTAGCTGGTATTACAGGCACCCGCCACCACCCCTGGCTAATTTTTTTGTATTTTTAGTAGAGACGGGGTTTCACCGTGTTAGCCAGGATGGTCTCAATCTCCTGACCTTGTGATCTGCCCACCTCAGCTTCCCAAAGTGCTGGGATTACAGGCGTGAGCCACCACGCGCGGCCCACACCATCCTCTTATATTATTTCTAGCCTAAAACATTCTGCTGTGGCTGATAAACAGTTACTATGACTACCTTTGTTTTTGAAAGTATCAGGATAAATAGTATCACCTGGGCTAGGAAATATAAATTTATCTAATAACAGTAGAAATGAAGTTTGTAGAATGACCTGACAAACTGGTAATCTGGATTCTAAAACCTTTGGCAGTAGAATTGAAGATTAATTTTTGTCCTCTTCAGGCTCTGTGGGGTTTTTTTACCCTTTTGGAATGATTATTTTAACTGGGTTAGAGAAAGTATACACAGAGATGAACACATGCACATACATATGCAAAATGAAAAGTTGTAATTTTGATGTGTTTTGATTTTAAATATAGATTTGCTATAATAAAAACTACATCTTTTTATTTGGATGTGAGTGTGTATAGTTTGAAGATTAAACATACTTATTAATCATTGCTTTGACAGCAGCAATATTCACTTAGAACTCTTGATATTATCATATAATTTTATAGTATTCTTTCCAAAATTGTTAATTCATTTATAGCAGTTATCCAAACCATTGTTCTGTAGGAGGACTGTCTTCCTTTCTTACATGATCAGCTATTTTAATGTTACTGAAGTTTTTAAGAGCCATCTTTCTTTCATTCTTCAGGTTTTTGAAGGAGATGATGGTATGGATTTGCAGAATAGTTAGGGGAGTTACTTATTTTTTAGATAATTTTCAACCAATACCTTTAGGGTAGCATAAGAAGAAACCAAATATACAAATATCCAACCTCAAGAATATCAACTACAGAATTCTTTGATGATATAACACTTTTTTTTTTAAATGAAATCATAGTTTAAAATGCATGGTTGTTTTCTCTCATAGGACTTGCTATATTCTAGTCTTTTGAGTTTTCCAAGCATGGTCTATCTAAACACTTACTGTGATATGTAGAATTTTCTTAAATTTTCTCTAGACTGTAGACATCCTAGTTAGCTCAGCAGCATAATTCGTAAGAGGAAGCTGTTATCATATTCCTTATAATCCTTTTAAAATTTGAGGGCTATACCATAAAATTGTTTACCAGTAATCTGTGCTGTTCCACAATAGAACACAATAAATAATTTTGATAGGTAACATTTATTGAGCCCCTACTGTTTTGGAACATTTAGTCCTCAAAATAAGTCTTTATGGTACTATTGTTATTTTCATAGTACAGATAAGGAAACAGAGCTTAGAAAGGTTAAATAACTTGCCCAGAGTCACACAGCTAGGAAAAGTTAAGAGTCACACGGTAAGACTCTTACTAAAGTCTGTCTTCCTGTAAAAACTATAGTTTAAATCTCTATATTATTTTTCTGGATAATGCAGCTAACCAGCATTTTAAAAGGCGCTGATTTGAATGAGCTTTTCAGTGATGGTGGTGGATTAATCTGATTTATCCACACTATCAGGCCGGGTGCGATGGCTCACGCCTGTAATCCCAGCACTTTGGGAGGCCGAGGCGGGTGGATCACGAGGTCAGGAGATCGAGACCATCCTGGCTAGTGAAACCCCGTCTCTACTAAAAATACAAAAAATTAGCCGGGCATGGTGGTGGGCACCTGTAGTCCTAGCTACTCGGGAGGCTGAGGCAGGAGAATGGTGTGAACCCGGGAGGCGGAGTTTGCAGTGAGCCGAGATCGCACCACTGCACTCCAGCCTGGGCGATAGAGCGAGACTCTGTCTAAAAAAAAAAAAAACATAAATAAAAGAAGAAGAATGGTGCATATCACAGAATGGCTTGTCTTGGAGTAAAGTCCATGATAGTGTAACAGAATTTTTTTTTGGAGGCTTGGAAACTCTAAACATCTGTTATACAACATTGAGGACAGTAGCTCTAGTAGCACTGACTAATATGGACAACTAAATCAGTTTAACATTGAGCCAGGTATTTGTGACTCAGGCCATCTCACAGTGAATTTGTTCTTAATATGTTTTAATTTAAGCTGTTGGCCAGGCGTGGTGGCTCATGCCTGTAATCCCAGCACTTTGGGAGGCTGAGGCGAGAGGATTGCTTGAGCGCAGGAGTTGGAAACCAGTCTGGGCTACATAGTGAGACCTTGTCTCTACAGAAAATAAAAAATACAATTAGCTGGGCATGGTGGCGTACACATGTAGTTCCCAGCTACTCTGGAAGCTGAGGTAAGAGGACAGCTTGAGCCCAGGAAGTCAAGGCTACACAGTAAGCTGTATTTGCACCAGCGTGGGCAACGGAAAGAGACCCTGTCTCAAAAATTTTATTATTCTATTATGTAACAGTCATACAGTTTGGCTGTATTTACTAAAAAAAAATTTTTTTTTTCCGAGACGGGAGTCTTGCTCTGTTGCCCGGGCTGGAGTGTAGTGGCGTGATCTCAGCTCACTGCAACCTCTGCCACCCAGGTTCAAGTGATTCTCCTGCCTCAGCCTCCCAAGTAGCTGGGATTACAGATGCACGCCACCACCCCCAGCTAAGTTTTGTGTTTTTAATAGAGACGGGGTTTCGCCATATTGGCCAGGCTGGTCTCGAACTCCTGACCTTGTGATCCACCCGCCTCGGCCTCCCAAAGTGCTAGGATTGCAGGCGTGAGCCACTGCGCCTGGCCACAGTTTTTTTATTCTGTTAAATAATAGTGATGTGGTTTGGCTCTATTTACTATGTATACATCTATTTACTAATTTAGCTTTGAGTGTTTTTTGATAGAGATCTTTTTCTCATTTCTCCAGTTCAACTTCATTTTAATTACTGAATTATGGAGGAAAATAATGTGTTTTCATAGTAGTATAATTACTATTCCAAAGGCTGAAATATTATTGGAAGATATATTTTATTTAGAAGTTAAGTAAAAATTTACAAATACTTTGATGGTTCTTGGAACATATTTTTTTTCCCCTGAGGTCGAGTCTCTGTCTGTTGCCAGGCTGGAGTGCAGTGGCACAATCTTGGCTCAGTGCAACCTCTGTCTCTGGGGTTCAAGCGATTCCCCTGCCTCACCCTCCTCAGTAGCTGGGACTACAGGCATGCACCACCACGCCTGGCTAATTTTTTGTATTTTAGTAAAGATGGGGTTTCACCACGTCAGCCAGGATGGTCTCGATCTCCTGACCTCGTGATCTGCCCACCTTGGCCTCCCAAAGTGCTGGGATTACAGGTGTGAGTCACCACGCCTGGCCCAGAACATTTTTTAATAAGTCTCTGAACATAAAATTTAATTTCTGCCTGAGCCTTGTTTCCTACCTTATAAATGAGAAATAAGCAAACACAGACTCAGTCATCAGCTTTAAAGTAAACAAAAAAAATATTTTCAGAATATGGTATCAGTATCAGGCATATAAATAAGATAATCATTTTTCTGAAAAGAAAGAGGAGAAAACTAAAACTCATTGAGCATTACCATGTTTCCCCCCATCTCCCTATACTTCTAACAGTGGTTCACCTCTTCTTCATCTTTATTGTAAAGCATTTCTTAAAAATTGAAGAAGTGCTTGAAAGGAGGCAAAAGTTCCTTTTTGAAAATTGATTTATTTCTTGGTTTGGTTATGAGTATTTTTAGAAATATTTTAAATTCTTACTCATGCTAGGGAATGGCTGGTACAGGATGATAGGCAAGCTGCTTTAGTTTGGACCTATGTCATATAAAGGCCTTACAGCTCTGTTTCAGGAAGCCCATACTTAGATTCCAGGATACATTCCTGGGCCAGACATCTAGAGATACTCTTTGGTATGCAAGGTTTACAAGTCCGTTTTCAACATTTTGTCCTAAGTGTTCTGCTTCACTTCATAAACTAGTAATTGCAGTGTTATTATCATTTACCCTACCTTTGAACCTTATATTTAAAAGACTTACAGTAGTGTGAATTGGCACATAACCAAGGTCTTTCCATTTCTTAATAAAGCCATTAACTACTTTCTTTATTTGGAAAAAGAGATTTACAATAATCGTTAATTTTATTAGGTCTGCTTAATACATATGCTCTAACAAAAATTCAGTAATCTGCTGTAAATCCAGTGCCATAAGATATTTTCACCAAAGATTCTTGCTCTTTTGAGTACATGAAGAAAATTAAATGTTACTGTTGAGAGAAATGTCATTGTAGTCTAGAAAATTTTTTCAGAAAACCGATAGATTTTAATAGTAGAGTAACTTGATAAACAGGATTAGTATTGTACACTTTAGCCAAGTAAACGTAGAATAATGTGTCTAAATTCCCCACAACAATCCATTTCTTTCTTTAAAGATACTCATCTCTTAATGCAAAACCTGTTTGTAAAAGATGTGTCAATTGGATTTTCCATTTACTTGTATTTCAGTTTACAAATGCTCTATTTTCACTTCACTGATTACTTTAGCTGGTTATATGACAGAGCTTTGTTATTTTGTCCTGCCTTTACCACTTCATACTTCTTTTTCCTCCTAGCTCTAAGTAGTCAGTGATTTGTTTGTGTTACTTCATTTATGCAAAAAATATTAATGAAGCAACTACTATGTGTCGTGAGAATGTGTCATGTGCTAGGTATAGAATAGTGCCCTCACAGATTTGAATGTAGCGGGATAGAGTGACAAATAAGCGCTTACATTAAATAAGTGGTTATAGAAACAACTTACATTTAAATATCAGTAGGGGATGGGTTAAGAGATGATGATGTCTCCATGGGATGAATATTTTGCAGCTGTTAAAATATATAAAACATTTGTAAAAAATATGCATAAGACGATATTTGTAGTAACATGGGTTTCATGGGGACTAGACTTGTTATTATGTATAATCTTGTACCTTAAAAAATTTATTCACATATTTTCAGCTAAACTCTAATAAGATTTAAAGAAAATTTGCAGCATATGGAATGAGCAAATAAGTAAGCAATTACATTTCCATTTAAAAAATCTGGAGATAAAACATTGAATTATTAATCACTCATTGCCCTGATTTGTACATTTTCTCCAAATTGCCTTCTTTTAACACATTTGAAGTGAGCACAGACAACTATTCGTTCTACATTGTTCTGTTGTTGGCTGCTGGATGATGCAACAGTAGTCTAGTATACACTTGTCAAAGTAAATATGGACACGGATTTCCTTGGAGAATTGAGCCAGAAACCTTTTTAATGTTGATATCATAGTATCTTAGAGCTGAATTTAGATACAGATTATCATATGTGATTATTCTGTTAAAACTGAGATTGTCGCTTGTCCCTTTTACCCCTTCTTGGTTTGTGTGTGAGTCTGAAAGTTATAGTAAATTTTGAAAATTATAAATAAATAAATTCACACTTTTGCACATTAGGTAAAATGGATATGTATAGTCATTAGAAGCTGTTTATTTGAATAAAGTGATATTTTCTTTCAATAGTGGAACTGGCTTCTCCATGTATCGAATTTGACAAACTCTTATAAAGCTTGACATTTGAATAAATACAATTATTTGTTGTGCTTTTGCTGGGAATATTTCAGTCCTATGGGTGACCACTTAAAATTCCAACCAAAACAAACAAAACTGCATATCTATAATTTACTGAGTATAACTCTACCTTTCAGCCATATTAGTTTATATTTAGAAGTGGTCCGAATTATGTTAATCTTAGTAGTTTGTTGATATAATGCCACTATTACAGATTTTCTTTATAGATTGTTTAAAAAATTTTTTCTTATTATCATGTGAAACAAAATGATGTTATTTTAGCAGCTGAACTACTATGTAACCATGACTAAAAATTTAGTAGGTGATAGGCAACGGTGTTGGTTAATTTCTTCTGAATAAAAGACATGCTATATAATATTTTTACAGTAATATTCTAATAGTGTATTACTATATGATGCCAGAAGATCAGAATCAAATATCATTAATGATGAGCAACTACTTATTTTTTATCTAATTTTATTAACGCGTTTCTGCTGTTAAAGAGTACTTCAAATATATATGTAAAGCTCAGAAAATAATATAACCCCATGTATTTCACTCAGATTGAACAAGTATTGATATTTTGCCATATTTGCTTCAGATTGCTAGAATAAAATACAGATGTAACCTTTTTTTTATCTTTTGAAGTTTTGATGGTTTTTAAAAAAATTTTTTTTATATCCGTAAGTTTTTGGAGGACAGGTGGTATTCCGTTATATAAGTTCTTCAGTGGTGATTTGTGAGATTTTGATACACTCATCACCCGAGCAGTATACGCTGAACCCAATTTGTAGTGTTTTATCCCTCACCTCCTTCCCACCATTTCCCCCGAGTCCCCAAAGTCCGTCGTATCCTTCCTATGCCTTTGTATCCTCATAGCTTAGCTCCCACTTATGAGTGAGAACATAGGATGTTTGGTTTTCCATTTCTGAGTTACTTCACTTAGGATAATAGTCTCCAGTTCCATCTAGGATGCTGCAAATGCCATTAAATTCATTCATTTTCATGGCCGAGTAGCGTTCCATCTCTCACACACACACACACACACACACACACACACACACACACACACACACACACACACACACAGTTTCTTTATCCACTCATTGATTGATGGGCATTTGGTTCCACATTTTTGCAATTGCGAATTGTGCTGCTATAAACATGCATGTGCAAGTATCTTTTTCGTATAATGACTTCTTTTCCTCTGAGTAAATAACCAGTAGTGGGATTGCTGGATCAAATGGTAGTTCTATTTTTAGTTCTTTAAGGAATCTCCACACTGTTTTCCATAGTGGCTGTACTAGTTTACATTCCCACCAGCATTGTAGAAGTGTTCCTTGATCACCACATCCACGCCAACATCTATTATTTTTTGAGTTTTTGACAATGGCCATTCTTGTGGGAGTAAGGTGGTATCACATTGTGGTTTTGATTTGCATATCCCTGATTATTAGTGATGTTGACCATTTCTTCATATGTCTTTTGGACATTTGTGTATCTTCTTTTGAGAATTGTCTTATTCATGTCCTTAGCCCACTTTTTGATGCGATTGTTTTTTCCTTGCTGTGGATTCTGTATATTAGTCCTTTGTCAGATTCATAGTTTGCAGAGATTTTTTTCCCACTCTGTGGGTTGTGTTTATTCTGCTGACTGTTCCTTTTGCTGTGCAAAAGCTCTTTAGTTTAATTAAGTCCCACCTGTTTGTTTTTGTTACGTTTGCTTTTGAAGTCTTCGCCTAAGCCAATGTCTAGAAGGATTTTTTCCGATGTTATTTTCTAGATTTTTTTATAGTTTCAGGTCTTAGATTTAAGTCCTTGATCCATCTTGAGTTGATTTTTGTGTAAGGTGAGAGATGAGGTTTTATTCTGCTACATGTGGCTTGCCAGTTATCCTGGCATCATTTGTTGCATAGGATGTCCTTTCCCCACTTTATGTTTTTGTTTGCTTTGTCGAAGATCAGTTGGCTGTAAGTATTTGGGTTTTTTTCTGGGTTCTCTATTCTGTTCAGTTGGTCTTTGTGGCTATTTTTATACCACTACCACACTGTTTCGGTGACTTACGGCCGTATAGTATGGTTTGAAATCAGGTAGTGTGATGCCTCCAGATTTGTTCTTTTTGCTCAGTCTTGGCTTTGGCTTTGTGGGCTCTTTTTTGGTTCCATGTGAATTTTAGAATTGTTTTTTTCTAATTCTGTAAAGAATGATGGCGGTATTTTGATGGGGATTGCATTGAATTTGTAGATTTGGCGGTATGGCAATTTTCACAATGACCATAAGCTCATTTTCTAATTGAGCTTCTTTGGATCTTCTCTCTTCTTTTCTTGGTTAATCTTGCTAATGCTCTATCAATTTTATTTATCTTTTCAAAAGAACAAAAATACACTAAAAAAAAATCCAAGGTATACAGGCAACAGATAGGACGATGAATGGAATAGTACCTCACATCTTAATGTTAATATTGAATGTAAGTGGTCTAAGTGCTCCACTTAAAAGGTACAGAATTGCAGAATGGATTCGAATTCACAAACCAAGCATCTGCTGCCTTCACCTAAAACATAAGGATTGACATAAACTTAAGGTACAGGGGTGGAAAAAGACATTTCATGCAAATGGACACCCAAAGCGAGCAGGAGTAGCTATTCTTACATCAGACAAAACAAAAAACAACAGCAACTAAAAAAGACAAAAGGCCTTGTCCAACAAGGCCTTTTACAATCCTAAACATATACAAGGCCTTGTAACAATCCTAAACATATACACACCTAACACTAGCGCTCCCAAATTTATAAAACAATTACTACCAAACCTAAGTAATGAGATAGACAGCAACAAAATAAGTAATAATAATAACTCCACTGACAGCACTAGACAGGTCATCAAGACAGAAAGTCAACAAAGAAACAATGGATTTAAACTCTACCCTGGAACAAATGAACTTAACAGATATTTATAGAACATTCTACCCAGCAACCACAGAGTATACATTCTATTCATCAGCGCATGGAACTTTCTCCAAGGTAGACCATTTGATAGGCCACAAAACAAGTCTCAATAAATTTAAGAAAACTGAAATTATATCAAGTACTCTCTTAGACCACAGTGGGATAAAACTGGAAATCAACTCCAAAGGAACCTTTAAAACCATGCAAATATATGGAAATTAAATAACCTGCTCCTGAATGATCATTGGGTCAACAATGAAATCAAACGGAAACTAAAAAATTCCTCAAACTGAACAATAATAGTGATACAGCCTATCAAAACCTCTGGGATACAGCAAAGGCAGTGCAAAGAGGAAAGTTCTTAGCCTTAAATGCCTACATCAAAAAGTCTGAAAGAGCACAAGTAGACAATCTAAGGTCACACCTCAAGGAACTAGAGAAACAAGAACAAGAACAAACCAGACCCAAACCCAACAGAAGAAAGGAAATGACCAAGATTAGAGCAGAACTAAATGAAATTGAAACAAAAACAATACAAAAGATAAATGAAGTATATATAACTTCTTAATCCCACTTTCCTTCCTCACTTTCCAGAGGAATTTTTATTCTGAGTGTTGTGCATACCTCCTGTCCACATTTTTATTCTTATATTATGTAAATAAGTGTGCATGAAAGCATGTTTTTATATCTTTTTAAAATTTGTAAGAATGTATCATCCTACATATATGTATGTTTTGCAACTTTTTTCACTCAACATTGTGAAATTCATGTAAGATTATTCATGATTGATACTTGTAGGTATACTTTGTTCATTTTAACTGTAGATTAAATTACCATATATGAATAACCACAATTTACTATTTATTCTCTATTAATGGACATCTAGTGTCTCCTTGTGGACATGTGCTAAAATTTCTTTAGGGTAATCTTAGAAGGATACATTCTCAGTCTTATTATATGTGCATTTTCAACTTTGGAGCAATTCAGCAATATTTTCTAAACAAATTATTCTAATATTACGTTCCTACCTTTAATGTATATGGGCTACCTTTAATGTATGTTACGGGCTTAATTGCTTCCCCCACCCATCCAGATTCATATGTTGAAGCCCTAAACCCCAGTCCCTCAGATGTGATTGTATTTGGAGATAGTCCCTTTAAAGAGATGATTAAGTTAAAACCAGGTCATTAAGGTGGACCCTAATCCAATGTGATGGTGTCCTTATAAGAAGGGGTAATTTGGGCAAACAAAAGAGGGGAGGCTTGCAGACAGAGGAAAGACATGTTGAGGATACAGTTGAGAAGAGGCAGACTTCTGCAACCCAATGAGTGAGTCCTCAGAAGAAACCAAACCTGCTGATGCCTTAATCATGGACTTCTAGCCTCCAGAACTGTGATAAAATAAATTTCTGTTGTTTAAGCCACCCATTTTATGGTATTCTGTTATGGCAGCCCTTAAAAACAAATTAATATGTGAGATTTCCAGTTTCTCTGCATCCTTATCTCACTCAGTATCACACTTTTTAATTGTCGCCATTTTAATAGAGGAGAGAGTATCTCTGTTTCAATTTAAATATCCTGGTTACCAAAAATGCTGATCATTTCTCAGGATTACTGATGAATGAAGTCCTCTTCTATGAACTGCTAGTTCATATACTTTGTACATTTTTCTATTACATTGCCTTGCCTTTTTCTTACAGATTTGAAGGAGTTCTTTATAAAATCTATATAATAATCCTACATTAATTATATATTTTCCATTCTCTTCTCTCCACCTGTGACTTGTCTATTAATTTTATTGCACAAAAATTGTTAGTTTTTTTTTTTTTTTTTGAGATGGAGTCTCGCTCTGTCGCCCAGGCTGGAGTGCAGTGGTGCGATCTCAGCTTACTGCAACCTCCGCCTCCCAGGTTCAAGTGATTCTCCTGCCTCAGCCTCCCGAGTAGTTGGGACTACAGGCGCCTGCCACCAACCCTGGCTAATTTTTTTTTTTGTATTTTTAGTAGAGACGGGGTTTCACTGTGTTAGCCAAGATGGTCTCGATCTCTTGACCTCATGATCCACCTGCCTCAGCCTCCCGAAGTGCTGGGATTACAGGCATAAGCCACTGTGCCCTGCCCAAAAATTTTTAAGTTTTAAGGCAGTCAGATTTATTAGTCTTTCTTTTTATGGTTTGGGCTTTTAAAAAAAAATCTTATTTAAGAAATTCTTTTCTCTCCCAAGATCATGAAGAATGCAAAATTTCTTCTAAAATTTTTAAGTTTTGTTTGTAAGATTGTTTGAATTTTCTGTGAAACCATCTCTTATTGAATTATTTTTCCTTTCCATATTAATTTAGAATGATACCTGTGTCATATGCTAAGATCTCTTTCTAGGTGCTTTATTCTGTTCCATTAGTCTTATCTGGCTTTGTGCCAATACTACACTGTTTCCATTAGTAAAACTTTGTTTTGTTTTCTGATGGGGGGAAATCCTATTTTTTTTCTTATTTTGCAAAATGAACTAGCTTATTTTGGAGATTTTGCTTTTTCATAAGTATTTTAGGATCACTTTGCTAAATTTAATTAAAAAATCCTTTTGGAATTTTTATTAGAATTGTATTTAATTTATAGATCAATTTGGGAAACAACTACTTCTTCAGAAAATTTATAATTTTTTAATGTATGAGGTATGTTGCTGTTTGTTAGATTTATTCCTTGAAAGATTATGATTCTGCTGTTACTGTTGTAAATGTGATATTTTAAAAAACACATTTAGTAATTTGTGGTTGTTGTTGTATAGAGACTTTAATTTCTGTACATTGATATTGTATATAGTGATGTCCCTGAACTTTATTAGTACGATTTGTAGATTATCTTGGATTTTCTGTATTAAAGTTTATATTATCTGAATAACATTTGTTTCTTCATTTTCTACACTTGTAAGTCTTACTTCTTTATCTTATTACCTCAGCTAAGGCCTTCAGTACAGTGATGAATAGAAGCATAGATGGCAGGCCTGTCTTCTATTGTTCTTAGATTTAAAAGGAATGCTACTGATGAGTTGATCCATAGAATGTGATATTTATTATGAATTTCTAATATTCCTTACTGAATTAAAGAGTTTACCTTCCATTCATTCTTTCTTGTTAAGGTGTTTATAATGAATAAGTATTAAATTTTATCTAATGATTTTTTGTTTCCATTGAGATTGTAATTTTATTTTGTTTTAATTTGTTAATGTAATCAATTTAAATTAATAGTTTTTCTAATCGTAAACCAATGTAGTATTCTTAGGATAAAGTTGAGATAGTCATGTATTTTTAAATATATTGCTGTATTTACTAATGGATCATTTGGGAGTTTGAAAATAAGCTTATATTTGAATTAGTCTTTAATTTCTTTGTTATCCTTGTCTACTTCTATATCAATCTTATACTAATCTCAGGAATGGAATTTTAGAATTTCCTCTCTTTTTATATTTCCTAGATTTTGATTCGATGTTTTATGAATATTTGTAAAACTCATATAAAAATGCTAGAACCTGGCCAGGCACGGTAGCTCATGCCTGTAATCCCAGCACTTTGGGAGGCTGAAGTGGGCAGATCATGAGGTCAGGAGATCGAGACCATTACTGGCCAACATGGTGAAACCCCGTCTCTACGAAAAATACAAAAAAATTAGCTGGGTGTGGCGGCGCATGCCTGTAATCCCAGCTACTTGGGAAGCTGAGGCAGGAGAATCACTTGAACCCGGGAGGCAGAGGTTGCAGTGAGCCGAGATTGTGCCACTGCACTCCAGCCTGGCAACAAAGCTAGACTCCGTCTCAAAAAAAAAAAAAAAAAAATGCTTGAATCTAAAGTTTCAAAAAATTCAATAGATTTTTGACCACTGAAAATTTTTATATATTATTGAGTTCATTTTGTAGTTTAATTCCTCTAGAAAGTATGTTTTTTATGTTTTTAAAGCAAGTGCCTGAAAATATAGTAATTTTTGATATGTTTTAAAATTCCTTATCTGTTTGTGATTCTCTTTTCTTTCCTAATATTGCTTATTTGTGCCTACGTTCTTTTTCTTAATTAAGATCTTTATTCTTTCCAATGTTCATGGCATAATTGTTGAAAGTATTTAAGAAAGGCAACCTGTTTTACATGAATTATTAAGTGCATTTTTGATGGGAAAAGTTTAATTTCTCAGAGAGCCGTGTAATCATTTCATTTAGGCTACAACTCACTAGTTTTTCATATTCTGATTGCAAAGCAGTAATTTACTGGTTTTCATATTATGTTTTAATGCATTGAATTCCTTTAGAGTGGGGCTAATGTTTGGGTATTAGAATGGTACCTTTTTGTTTGAATAAAGATTTTCATCAAGTTTTTATTTGGGAGAATAATTTTTGAAATACATATCAAATCTCAGAAAAACTTAACATGTAGGCATCCTTAAAGGCTTTTAAAATAGGAATGAGGATCATCTACAGGAAACCCTAGTGATTAGCTGTTTCATGTTTTGTGATGTCAGATGTAAGCAGTGAACCAGGCCAGCCTATATAGCTATTGCTGCAGCTGCACAGTCCAGCTTTCTTGGATTTACCTAATAACTAATGATGTCTAACGTCTTTTAGTGTGCTTAATTCGCCTTTTTGTCTTTTTTGTTCAAACATTTATTTAAATCTTTTTGCTTATGAGGTTTTTTCTTTTTTTTCCTGATGATTTGATACTTTATGTAGTCTGGATACAAGTCCTTTAACAGATGTAGGATTTAAAAATATTTTCTTGGCCAGGCGCAGTGGCTCATGTCTGTAATCTCAGCACTTTGGGAAGCCAAGGCGGGTGGATCACCTGAGGTCAGGAGTTGAAGACCAGCCTGGCCAACATGGCAAAACCCCGTCTCTACTAAAAATATAAAAATTAGCCGGGTGTGGTGGCGCGCTCCTGTAGTCCCAGCTACTTGGGAGGCTGAAGCGGAAGAATCACTTGAACCCGAGAGGTGGAGGTTGCAGTGAGCCAGGATCGCGCCACTGCACTCCAGCCTGGGTGACAGAGTGAGACTCTGTCTCAAAAAAAAAAAAAAAATTTTTCCTCTAGTCTGTGGGTTATCTTTTCATTCTCTTAACTGTGTCTTTCTAAAAGAAGAGCTTTTAATTTTAGTGAAATCCAGTTTATCAATTTTTTCTTTTGTGGATCACACCTTTCTGTCATAGCTAAGATAACTTTGCTGAACTGAGGGTCAGAAAGGTATATTTCTTGTTTTCCTCTTGTTGTGAAAACTGTCTGCTAAATTATCTTTGTGACTTTATTTAAAAAATAAATTGAGTGTCCATTTATGTGTGGGCCTATTCCCGGACTCTTTTCTGTTTCATTATGCTCTTTGTCATCTGTCTTTATACTAGTACCTCACTGTCTTGATTATTGTATGTAGTTTTATAATAGGTCTTTAAAAACTTTTTTTAAATTTTTTAAATTTTTGTTCATTCATTCATTCATTCATTCAATCAGTCATTCAAACACCAACTCAAGCCAGATACAATAGGTCTTAATATCAGATGGTGTTTGCCTTTTAGTTTTATCTTTTTCTGATTTGTATTGAGTATTCTAGATGTTTGTGTTTCCATATGAATTTTATTACTGGCCTGACAATTTCTAAACAAATTCAGTGTTGTTTTATAATTTTAAATTTATAAGTCGTGCCCATCTTTTGCCAGATTGATACTTAATTTTTTTCATTTTTTTTTGCTATTGTAACTAATAATGTGGTTTAAAATATTAATTTCCAGTTGTTTTTTGCTAGAATATAGAAATGTAGAATATAGAAATATAGAATTGAATTTTGTATGTTGATGTTATATTCTGCAACCTTGTTAAACAACATCAGATTTTCAACATAGATTATCATGTTATGTGAACCGAGGATAGCTTTGCTTCTTTCATTCCAATTTGAATGCCTTTGTTTCTTTTTCTTGCCTTGGTCTACTGGCTAGAATTTCCAATATCGTGGTGAGTAGAAGTGGTGAGAGAGGACATCTTGTTTTGTTTCTGATATTAGGGGCAATATATTTATGCTTTCACCATTAACCTATGGTGTTAGCAGTAAGTTTTTAATAGATAATTGTTATCAGGTTGAGGAAATTTCCTTAATTTCCTAGTTTCTGACACCTTTTTTTTTTTTTTTGAAACAAAGTTTCGCTCTTGTTGCCCTGGCTGGAGTGCAATGGCACAATCTCGGCTCACCACAGCCTCTGTCTCCCAGGTTCAAGCAATTCTCCTGCCTCAGCCTCCCGAGTAGCTGGGATTACAGGCATGCACCACCATGCCTGGCTAATTTTATATTTTTAGTAGAGACGGGGTTTCTCCATGTTGGTCAGGTTGGTCTCGAACTCCCAACCTCAGGTGATCCGCCTGCCTCGGCCTCCCAAAGTGCTGGGATTACAGGCGTGAGCCACTGCACCCAGCCATTTCTGACACTTTTTATCAGGAATTTACATTAGACTTTTGTTAAGTCCTTTTTCTGAGTGTATTCAGATAATGTGTTTTGTAAAATTTTGTTTAAAAAAAATTTTGTCTATAGGAAGAATTACATTGATTTATTTTTTAATGCTAAGCCAATCTTGGATTTCTAGGATAAACCTTGGTTAACCATGATTTACTATCTACATTACATATGGTTGGGTTTGGTTTGCTAAATTTTTTTATAATTTTTATATTGGTGTTCATGAGAGATACTGTTCTGTAATTTTTTTTCTTACTATATCTTTCTCTGGTTTGATATCCAGATAATACTAACTTTATAGAAAGAAGTAGTCCCTCTAGGTTTTTTTGCCCAGTGTGGCTACAATAGGGGTTGGCAAACTATGGCTCATGGGTCACATCCTACCAACCACCTCTTTTTTTCATGGCCAGCAAGCTAAGAATGATTTTCCATTTTTAAGTTGTTACATTTTAAGTGTCATACACACACACACACGCGCGCGCGCGCGCGCGCGCGCGCGCACACACACACACACACACACACACACACACACACACACACACACACACACACACACACACACACACACACACACACACCCCCCAAGTAATAGCCTTGATTTTGCTTGTTGGCCTATAAAACCGAAAATATTTATTAGGAAAAAGTCTGCCAGTTTAATTGATTTTCTTTCTTTTTTTTTTAAAGAACCAGATTTTAGTTTTCATTGGTTTTTATCTATTTTTCTTTTTCTCCATTTCATTGATCGTCTCTCTGATCTTTATTACTTCGTTTCTTCCACTTAATTGGAGTTTCATTTGCTCTTTTTTTCTTAGTTTCTTAGGGTAGACGCTACAATATATAATCTGCAGTAAATCTCATTCTTTATATTTTTCATTTCAGACATTATAGTTTTCATCTGTAGTAGTTCAACTTGGGTATCTATTAAAATTTTTTCTTTCTTTCTTTCTTTTTTCTGAGATGGAGTCTCACTCTGCCACCCCGGCTGGAGTTCAAAGGCGTGATCTCGACTCACTGCAACCTCTGCCTCTTGGGTTCAAGCAGTTCTCCTGCCTCAGCCTCCTGAGTAGCTGGGATTACAGACGTCTGCCACCATGCCTGGCTAATTTTTGTATTTTTCATAGAGACAGTATTTCACCATGTTGGCCAGGCTGGTCTTGAACTCCTGACCTCAGGTGATCTGCCTGCCTCAGCCTCCCAAAGTGCTGGGATTACAGGCGTGAGCCACCGCACCTGGCCTATTAAAATTTTAACATCTTTTTTATATCTTCCCTGTCTCTAACTTTTGAACATATGAAATACAGTCATAATAACTGTTATTTCTATGGTGATTCTAACATCTGTGTCAGTTTTGAGTTGGTTTTGATAGATTGATTTCACTCTTCTTTATGGGTTGTCTTTTCTTGTTTTTTTGCAAGCCTGGTAACTTTTGTGGATTCCAGACATGAATTTTACCTTGTTTGTTACTAGAAGGTCTTGTATAATTTACAAATATTCTTAAATTTTGTTCTGGGATGTAGTTATGTTATTTTAAAATAATTTGATCCTATTTTGTCTTTTAATAATTGTTAAGTGGGACCTAAGCAATGTTTGGTCTGGGGCACATTTTCCTGCTATTGAGGCCAAATCCTTCTGAGCATTTTACCCAGCATCCCATGAATTACGGTTTTCTAGTCTGGCTGATAGGATCAGGAACTGTTTCTACCTAATCTGTATGAATGCCAGGTACTACTTCCTCTAATCCTTTTAGAGAGTTCTTTCCCCAGCCTGAGTAGTTCCTTATGTGTGTGTGCTGATGAGTACTCTGCTAATTCCAAAATGGTACCTTTGCAGATTTCTGGAATTCTCTGTCCTCTACAGTTCTCTCTTATTCAAACTCTGTCTTGGTCTTTTTAGACTCTTAGCTCCATTTCTTCAACTCAGTGAATGTACTGGCTCCATCTGCATTTCCCCTCCATACACTGTGGTCTGGAAACTCTCTGAATGCAGTAAGCTGGGACAGTCACAGGGCTATCATCATTTGTTTTCCTTCTCTGGTGATCACTGCCCTTTGTTGCCTGATTGCAATTTTATTAGATCATTGTTTAATACATCTAACCTGGATTTTGAGTTGTTTCAGGCAGGATGGTAAATGTCTTGGCTAGAAGTGGAAGTCTTATATATCTGTATCTTTGGCATGGTGAATGTAAGAAAGCATTCTGTTCCCTAAGTATTCAGAAAAGAGACTGTTCGTGCATATTGACTCTTTTCTGGATGGAGTTTGGAAAGAATAGTTCTCCTGTATTTTTTTTTTAGAGTGATTTTTCCAGTAATTTTCTTTTCCAGTTTTTTTTTTCACAGTTGGATTAGATTATTAGGCAATATGGATTACTAATTCCATTATGTTTTATTAGAATTAGATTGGAACTCTTTGTGGAAAGCTACTGAAAAGATCACATGCTATTTTTTTCATGGCTGTTTTGCCTCTGATGTTTATTCCACCAATATTTGAAGAAAGAGATAAAAAGGAGAACCTAGACATAATCTTTCTATTGTCAATTTTTCTATCACTAACATATGTTCTGAAAAAGGACATTCCTGTCCTATAG
The DNA here is from genome assembly GCF_000001405.40 of Homo sapiens. NCBI lineage: Eukaryota > Metazoa > Chordata > Mammalia > Primates > Hominidae > Homo > Homo sapiens. The sequence goes on from NC_000014.9 coordinate 65,613,310, forward strand.
TATATTGCTGCCAAAATAAATCCCAAGAGATTGAAGTTTTATTCTATTTTCAAATTGTTTCCTAGAAACCAGCCACCTAATTCACAAAGAGATTAAGAGCCAAGTCTTAGAAACATAACTTTAAAAAACTATATACCAGGACATGCCTCATTTGTGAATGTATGCGTGCTCATAAATTGGGTAATTGTGCACCTAACTACTGTATTCATTTTTTATTATTCGCTTTGTGCTTATACAAATGAAGGCTTTTTCATTCATATTCTGTAGCCTTGGACACTCATGATTGGAGGATAGTTACTTTTTATGCTCCTGTTCAATGTTAATGCGTACAATTTTACAGGAAATTATAAAATGTCTCCAATTACTTTGGTATAGCTGTAACAATAGCTACTTTATTAAACGTGTTCTGAAGTAGTGTAGGTAATTGACAGTTAATTTGGCTTTATCAGGTTATATAGAAAATGTTAGAGAAGCTATAAAAAACCTTTCGTATCAGAGTGTTTGCCTCAAAAGGCTATGTTGGCTGGGCGCCGTGGCTCATACCTGTAATTCAGCACTTTGGGAGGTTGAGGTGGGCGGATCACTTGAGGCCAGGAGTTTTAGACCAGCCTGGCCAACCCAATGAAACCCCGTCTCTACTAAAAATGTAAAAAAATTAGCCAGGGATGGTGGTGCATTCCCGTAATCCCATCTGCTCAGGAGGCCGAGGCACGAGAATCATTTGAATCTGGGAGGCAGTGGTTGTGGCAAGCCAAGATCCCATCACTGTACTCCAGCCTGGGTGACAAATCGAGACTGTGTCAAAAAAAAAAAAAAAAGACTGTGTTGACATCTGAATTTAAGTTCTGCCAACTATAATTTAAAACTTAAGTTCCCTTAAACTGGTCATGATGGTAAGAATAGATAGCCCAGACTTTTTGAGATTACAGCTCATCTCTAAAATGACAAAGCTCAGATATAATAGTAGCCTTCATAAAATTTATTGCCAGACACTGCTAAGTACTTTTACAGACATTTCCTCATTTAAATAGACTTTGAAAGAAAAATCAGCTATTTAATCTTTAGGACAATTTTGTAAAAGGATCAATATATGTACGTATTAATTTCCTATTGCTGCTTTGACAAATACCACAAACTTTATGGCTTAAAACAACATAAATTTATTCTCTTAAGAGTTTTGGAGGCCAGAGATCTGAATTGAGTTTCACTGCACTGAAACCAAGATGTCAGGAGGGCTGGATTCCCTAGAGAAGCTCTAGGAGAGCATCTGGGGTATTTTTGTTTGTTCGTTCGTTTGCCTTTTCCAGTTTCTAAAAATGTCTTCCTTGCTCATGGTTGCTTCTTCCATCTTCAAAGCTAACAGCCACATAACCTTTTCCTCTTCTGTAGTAAAATCTTCTTCTACCTTCCTCTTATGAAGACACTTGTTATTACAAAATGGCTCACCTAGATAATCCAATCTCAAAATCCTTAATTATATATTCAGAGTTTCTTTTGCCATAAAGAGTAATATTCACAGATTTCATGATTAGGTTATGGATATCTTTGGGAGACCTTTGTTTAGCCTACCACGAAATTGTATTATGTACATCAAAGTGGAGTACAGTATACTGCCATAAGTCACATAAAAACAAAACAGGAACAAGCACAGTTTGGAATTAAGTTGAACAGAGAGGTTGATAATATAAGTAAGAGATCTTGGATTGCTGTTCTGTGTTCCAGCTTTTATATTATTGACTGATTGTTTTTGTTGCTGATAGAAATGAATAGAACAATGATCTTCAATTTTTTATTTTTATTTTTTCGAGACAGGGTTTCACTCTGCTGCCTACACTAGAATGCAGTGACATGATCATAGTTCATTGTAATCTTGAACTATGGTTCAAGGATGGTTCAAGCCATCCTCCTTCCTTAGCTTCCTGAGTAGCTGGGACTGCAGGCACACACCACCATGTGCCCAGCTAATGTTTTCATTTTTGTAATGATGGGGGATTGCTGTGTTGCCCAGGCTGGCCATGAACTCCTGGGCTCAAGTAATCCTCCTACCTGGGCCTCCCAAAGTGCTGGGATTATAGGCATGAGTGGCTACACCTGGCCCAATTTTTTTCTAATATGTTTTATCTTCTACTCTTGTCTTTCTTTTTTCTATATAAGACCAATGCTTAGTAGTCTAATGTCATGAATTGAAAGACAGATTTACATAGTCTGATATTATAATTAATTTAGAAATACATTATATTTGATGTTTGAGCATGTCCTTAGACACATGTTCAGATATGCTTCGTTATTCCCTTTAAGCCTTTTCTTTACTTTTTCCTTCACTTTTGTTACTCTCAATGCTAATGAATAATTGACCTCTTTGCCACTGATCATGGTACTCTGGGGATGAAAGATTTTTAGGAAACAGCTCTAGAGGTTTGTTAACTCCTAGAAGATCATAGATTTCTGAAGTAGATTAATATTTTCTATTTTTCGTTATTATCATTTCATTGTCCATTTCACTGGTTAATCCTATACCTTTGAAGAGAAAATTCCATTTGGTACTACTTTTGTGCTATATGGTTCAACAACTTATGGAGTTTACAGTATAAATGTTTTAGAAAGTGAGCTTGTATTTTGTTGCACAGTTTGAAAGCTAAATGTTTACATTATCTTCCCTAAACTACAGGATACCAGAAGGCCCTATTGATCAGGGGCCAGCTATAGGAAGAGTACGCGTTTTAGAAGAGCAGCTTGTTAAGGCCAAAGAACAGATTGAAAATTACAAGAAACAGACCAGAAATGGTAGGTGATTATACAGTGTTTTCCCCTCCTCAGTATATGGGCTTTAGCACAGATAATTGAAAGTTTCCTTTTATCAAAATGTTGGAAATGCTACAACTCTCTATTCTTTGACTACAGGTCTGGGGAAGGATCATGAAATCCTGAGGAGGAGGATTGAAAATGGAGCTAAAGAGCTCTGGTTTTTCCTACAGAGTGAATTGAAGAAATTAAAGAACTTAGAAGGAAATGAACTCCAAAGACATGCAGATGAATTTCTTTTGGATTTAGGACATCATGAAAGGTACTATTCTCCTTTCACATTTTATTTGGGCTTTAGAAAAGATTATAATCTAAGAATGAGAAACAGACTTGTTAATCCATCTGTTGAGTGGTAAATATTAATAGCACCTACAATATTTAAGAGGCGAAGAGTACCTGAGGTCCCAAAGGATGGTAATTGCCAAGTGCAGTTCATCAACCAAAATATACCACCAGAAAGTATTAATTAAAATGTATTTCTAGAAATCTTTACATTCTAAATAAATTCTGAAGGTAGTGGTGCCAGCCAACAATACATTAAAATATCTTTCTATAAATGTTCTTTATATATAATCAGTATTTGAAGTGGAGTGTGCAGTTTTGCATTGCGGTACATTGGAACTCATAGTGAGTCCGATGGTTACATTTCTAATTCAAACATTAAAAACTTTAAAATAGCATTTTTTTAAGGATTTCTAATGAAAGGTTAACAGGATTTTTTTTTTCTTTAAGTAAAAAGGAGCATTCTGTTCATTGTTCTTTCATTAGTTGCTGGAAAGAGGTACCTGAGATCTGCCTGGTTAAATTTGTTTCTCCTATGCACACGTTGCTAAATAATATGAAGTTTATCTTCCACAGAAAAGAAAACATTTTGGTGCTGTTGTATTCATGCAGAACAAAATGTATCTGAAAATCATTATAAATACAGTGAAACCTGTCTTTAGGCCTGTTATATTTAAAAGTCTATGTTTCCAGTAGGATTCTGATGGCAATTACTGTCTCATTAGTGAACAATAAAAGAAAAATTGTTGTATTAGCACAACCTACTACTGTGAAGAGGAAAAGAATTACCCCATACAAGTAAGAGATTTCATATTTATTAACATCAGCAGCAATATTATAATGATTTTGAAAAATTGCTTGGTTGTTTTAGGTGAAATTATAAATAAAAATCTGTCTATTGGAATCATTTTAGCATTAATGAATCTACAGAAATATGATAGCATGGATTTCAAGGGGCAGTGAATTATTAGGCCACACATTGGACAGACTTTTTGATATATTTAGCCCAACTTGCAGTCAGGCCATACTTAGACCACTAAACCAAATGCTGACTAATTCTGTCATTAATATTTCTCTACCCTAAAGCTGATTCTAGGCACGAAGCATCTCTTAAATGGAATTTTGTGCTTGTGTTCTTTGCTTATCACAGTTTTTTAGGCCAATTCACATCTGAAGAGGATTTGACTTGGGTAGACTATGCTGTATGTAAAGGAGAATTTTGGCCACTGACTTCTGATGGAATGTTTAATTTTAAGATTTGAGTAATTGGGCTGGGCGTGGTGGCTCATGCCTGTAATCCCAGCACTTTGGGAGGCTGAGATAAGAGATCTCTTGAAGCTAGGAGTTTGAGACCAGCCTGGCCAACATGGTGAAACCCCGTCTCTACCAAAAATACAAAAATCAGCCATGCATGGTGGCACATGCCTGTGATCCCAGCTACTTGGGAGGCTGAGGCCCAAGGATCACTTGAACCTGGGAGGCAGAGGTTGTGGTGAGCAGAGATCATGCCACTGTACTCCAGCCTGGGCAACAGAGCAAGACTCTGTCTCAAAAAAAAGATTTGAGTAATCAAATAACTTGAGAATTTAATTTTCCAGTGTTTTTAAAAATTAATTCATATATATATATATATATATATATATATATATATATATATATATGTATGTATATATTTATTTATTTATTTTTTAGATGTGGAGGTCTTTCTATGTTACCCAGGCCAGTCTTGAACTCCTGGTCTCCAGTGATCCTCCCTCGTCAGCCTCCTGTGTAGCTGGGATTATAGGCCTGGGCTACCATGTCCAGCTGAATTGAAATAATTCTTTAAGGAATTATTTTGTAAATAATAATATAATTTGTTTATATAACTCGCATATGTTTTGTGACCATATGTACAAATGAAAAGTGAATATAAGAAATGGGCCCCTGAGAAACTGATATAAATCAGTTTTCCATTTTGTTGTTGTTGTTGTTGAATTATGATTCCTTACAGTGCCATTTAGTATGTTAAATAATGGTAGTTCATTGAAAACAAAAATGGTAAGTAAAGGTACCCAAGTCAGTTTATTTTCCTGTCTTAAACAGAAATGACAATGAATCTGGGACATAACTTCATAGGGTAGTAATTTAACTCCAGGAAGCCAGATTAGAATGCAGTAATACAAATAATGAGCAAAACACAATCAAACATTAGAGAAATAACCCTTAAACTGACGGACGTACAAATAGAAAGGACTTTTATTATGTAGAATATACCCTTTTACTGACCATTTTCAAGATCCTTAAGTATAAGAATTAAAATCAAAACAAACTTTTAGGTTTGCCTCTGGTAATTTTTATATGATACAAAAGTCCATTTTATTTTTACATTGGCTCAAATGATAGTGTATAGGTTTCTAGGTCTGTAGCTGGGACCATGGTCAGTGAGGCTGCCACCTGGGTATGGGCCTGCCTTCTTAAAAGAGCCCTCCTGAGTCTTGGGCTCTATTAGGGTTTTGCAGCCTTCTACCTGGGTTAGAAGATTATTAGCAGATTATTGAACTTGAGTAGTTCATTGTGGGAGCCCCTGATTTGACAGAGTGTGGGTACCCTGGCCACTTTGTACTTGCGATGGCATGTGAAGTGGGGTGTAGTATTATGGAACTGAGAGGTCTGGGCTAATTCTGGGTAGTTTGTGTCACTACCTAGTTGGTGTCCACAGAGATTTGGAGAATTATCTGATGTGGAAAATGCACATATTTGGTGTCAGAAGTGTTCTGTGGTGAAAAACAGATCATAATAGTAGTAGTAATACTAAGGGCAGCTAAAGTTGCTGGTTTTTGAGAACTACAACTACAGACTCCCTGTTTCTCTTTGTGAGTTCACCACGATGCCTGTGTTGTTTCCTGGTAGAAATCGCATTTCTCTGTAGGTTAGTGACCCCATCAGTGAGCTGTGGGGGTAAGACTCCTCCTTTGTTGCCCACTTGAAGCTGTTTCCTAGTAGTCAGGGCACCATGTTTCCTCTCCTGGAATCTGGCTCCTGTTGTTCATCACTTGCATTACCAGGCATTAAAATGCAGCCTGGGGGCCAAATATCATAAGTTTGATCTAAGATTCAACTCACCTGAGATTTTTAGCAAAATACTATTTATTTACCTGATTGGCCTTGATAGCTAATAACTAGTAGAGCCTAATCTCTGCCTGCAACCACAGTTGGGTAATCAACTGGTAGTAATTAGTAATATTCTTGGGCTTTTAGAAGCTTTTACAGGCTGTTTTAAGAATTTAGAGGTGTTGATGGTATAATAAATTTAGAGTAGCATATTAATTATTATCTGCTATATTGATATCAAGTTTTAGCATCACTAGATTTCTAAATGATGATTTCATTCTAGTGATTGCATATGACCATTCTTCCCAGTAATACAGTTAAATATACTTGTAGCTTTTGATATCATTGATCATGAATTGACCCTAGCCTACCTCTTTGCAGTAGAGAGAATTAAGCGGTTTAGAGTTAGTATTTTTGCCATTGTGGTTTTACCATTTATCTTGTATTGTAGGTTCAGTGCTTCGATTTATGGCAGTTTAGATGTGTACCTCAACCTCTAAGCATATCATGGAGTCTGTCTTATCAACCTTTCAGGCTGATGCAGAGACATGTTTAACTTAATCACTGTTGCTCTGATTCTTTTTATCATCTTCATATTGCCAAATACCAGTTTATGAAAAGGGTACCAAAGCTGCTTCTTTCTGCTTTTAAAATTACCATATTTTTTTTAAATTTATTCATTTATTTTATTATTTTTTTTACCAAGTTCTGTTTATGGTAATTTATAACAATTATAAAACTAAAGTACAGGAGATGAGCCATTTTTCAACTGTGTTGACTGAAACTATTGAAAAACAATCTGTTAAAGTAGCAATCTCATCTCCCTTACCTAGTTTGCATTTCTCATTATCAGTAATATATAGGGCAGCTGTGCTTAGACTAAATTGTGTTCTCCAAATAGTGAATGATACTTATGTTAATTATGCTGATTTGCTAATGTACAAAAAGACATTGTGGGGGATTATGTAACAAAAGAAATGACTGTGACTCAAGGGGTACACTGGGAAAGATTGATAGAATAGCTTACAGATTTTTTTTAAGTTTATGATCATAGTTGTTGTTGCCCAATAGCTTGTATTTTCATTCTGTTTGGAAGGTCCAAGAATTGATATTCCCACTCTTGAAAAGTTAAGTTTGGTGAACCTTCAAACCTTCTATTCTTTGTGTTTTATTTCATATACACAAAAACAGAGAGAGAGACAGAGAGAGGAAGGGAGGAAGGAAGATCTTACTAAGTTCTCTGAGATGTGATTTGATTGAGACTTATATTAAGCTGGGATGTGGATATTCTTTCTTGAATTTCGGATTTGTTTCAACAAAATGTTTTTGTATGATTGTCTTCTAAGGAATCCAAGCTTATTTTCAAGTGGTGCTAGAACATTCATCTTAATATTCATGTGCAAAGGGATACATTTCTTTATGAAGTCATCCTTATTCTGCTCATCACTTAGTCTCTATCAGCCAGATAATGATTCTTCATCGCCTGTAATGGAACAGTGTCTCCTAAAATAAAGTTTGCATTAGAAGAAGAATCTCCAGGTGGAAAAGGGTGTTTTTCATCTAGTAGTTCTAATTCTGTTTTGCTTCCTACGACCACACATCTTTTGGGTGTGATTTCCAAACTTAAGAATGATTTTAGATTAAAAATAATCACTTACTAAGGATTTCTTACATGCCAGTCACTATGATAAAGGTTCTGCATTCATTATGTTACTTTATCAGCACAGTAGTCCTACAAGGTATGCATTATTTGTTCCTGTTTTTTTTTTTGTTTTGTTTTCTGAGACAGAGTCTCGCTCTGTTGCCAGGCTGGAGTGCAGTGGTGTGATCTCGGCTCACTGCAAGCTCTGCCTCCCGGATTCAAGCGATTCTCCTGCCTCAGCCTCCTGAGTATCTGGAACTACAGGCACACGCCACCATGCCCAGCTGATTTTTGTATTTTTAGTAGAGACAGGGTTTCACCATGTTGGCCAGAATAGTTTCGATCTCTTGACCTTGTGATCTGCCCGCCTTGGCCCGTTTGTGCTAGGATGCTAGGATGACAGGCGTGAGCCACCACGCCTGGCCTATTTGTTCCTCTTTTTTTTTATTTAAGATGGAGTTTCGCTCTTGTTGCCCAGGCTGGAGTGCAATGGCACGATCTCAGCTCGCTGCAACCTCTGCCTCCCGAGTTCAAGCGATTATCCTGTCTCAGCCTCCTGAGTAGCTGGGATTACAGTCGCCTGCCACTACACCCAGCTAATTTTGTATTTTTAGTAGAGACAGGGTTTCTCCATGTTGGCCAGGCTGGTCTTGAACTCCTGATCTCAGGTGATCCGCCCACCTTGGCCTCCCAAAGTTGTTCCTTTTTGTTTTTGAGATGGAGTCTCGCTGTGTCATCCAGGCAGAAGTGCAGTGGCACGATCTTGGCTCACTGCAACCTCCGCCTCCCAGGTTCAAGCAATTCTCGTGCCCCAGCCTCCGGGTAGCTGGGACTACAGGCACACGCCACCATGCCTGGCTAATTTTCATATTTTTAGTAGAGACGGGATTTCACCATGTTGGCCAGGCTGGTCTCAAACTTCTGACTTCAGGTGATCCATCTACTCCAGCCTCTCAAAGTGCTGGGATTACAGGCGTCAGCCACTGCGCCTAGCTTAGTTCCATTTTTATAACTGAAGTTATATTCAGTTCTAGAGAAATTAGGTGGCTTAACACAGGCTAAGTTAACAGAACGGTTTTACTCCAAAATCCGTTCTCTTAATTGCTAAATACTTAGCTTTTCTGAGCTTTTTCTCTTCTACGTACGGGGATATAATTCCTATAGCACAGCATTGTGATGATTACATGAAGGAAAATATATAAAATACTTTACCTAGTGCGTGACACATTATAGATTCTAGTAGGCTCTGGTCAGACCTATTAATACATTAGGAAAACTTAACTCTTAGACCCTGCAGAGCTGGCACAGATAAAGGCAGATTATTGAAAGACTCAATAGGAAAAATGTTAAGGCCTGGAAACTAAATGTAAGCCTAGTGAACATCACTCACCAAAGTAACATAATTGTTGTCTTATATATGATAGTATAAGCTATTTTTGTTGTCATCCTTCTGGAGTTTTCCCCACCTGTGTCAGTTGTCAAGATGGTGGCATCCTAAAGTTCCTCCTTGAGATAAGGGAGGCAATAAGGAGCTTTGTTTTCTTGCCTGTCTCCTGGTCACATTTTTATCCTTAGCATTGCTTATTTTTGCTGCAGGAGCAAACCGAAGTAAAAGCAGCTTTGGACAAAACTCAAGTAATTTTTCTTGCCCATGATGCAGATTTGCCCATGGATTTGACTTTGAGAGTAAATCTTAGTCACATTTACCCCCGTAAGTGTTAATTCCTTCACCTTCTTGCCTGGATTCCATCTCTGTGCTGGCCCTTAGGGGGAGCTTCTCTGTTTTTTTTTTTTTTTTTGAGGCAGTGTCTCTCTCTGTCACCCAGGCTGGAGCACAGTGGTGCAAAAACGACCTGGGCTAAAGTGATCCTCCTGCCTCAGCCTCCCGAGTAGCTGGGACTATAGGCGTGTGTCCCTGCAGCCAGCTAGATTTTTTATTTTTTGTAGAGAGGGGGACTTGCCATGGTGCCCAACTCGGTCTTGAACTCCTGTGCTCAAGTGATCCTTCTGCCTTAGCTTCCCAAAATGCTGGGATTATAGGCGTGAGCCACCACGCCCGACCAAACTTCTCTCTTCAACATTTTGAATCAGGCGTAAACAAAAAGCCCTCTTTGTGTTTGGTTCCTCAGTGGCATAGAGGCAGACTAGAAGTCTTTTTTTTTTAATAGTTTTATGACTATTGAAATAGAAAACTAGAGAAATTAGCAGAAAATATAAGGAACATAAAACATAACCAATTTTTGAAATAGAGGTTTTAATACCTGTCATAGGTGGCTTGCTTTCAGAGTCATAAATTCTGTTCTACTTGGCGGGGCGCGGTGGCTCATGCCTGTAATCCTAGCACTTTGGGGAGACCGAGGAGGGTGGATCACATGAGGCTGGGAGTTTGAGACCAACCTGGCCAACATGGTGAAATCCCATCTCTACAAATACAAAAAAAGCTCGTCAGGCATGTAGCTCATGCCTGTAATCCCAGCTACTTGGGAAACTAACACAGGAGAATTGCTTCAACCCAGGAGGCGGAGGTTGCAGTGAGCTGAGATCGTGCCACTGCACTCTAGCTTGGGCGACAGAGAGAGACTCTGTCTCAAAAAACAATAACAACAACAACAAGTTATATTCTACTCGGTGTCTTCAGGCAACTTTATTGTATCCTCAAATGGCCAGCACTATTTTGCTGGTACCTTGCCTAGCTTTGTTATTTCCCAAACCTTGACCTGGTCTCATACTAGGTCTTTAGTATGCCCACTTATTAGATTTCTTGATATGTTCGTAGTCAAAACCACAACAGCCAGATTCCCTGCTTTCTGGGACTCTTCTAGGAGATCTGGTTTCAGGGTAGAGTTACTGAAAACCCAGGGCTTCTGCAGAATGGTTTTGAGTCACTATGGTTCCCTTGCTGATTTGATTATCTTCTTGTCTTTGACCAAAAAATAAATACTGCAGGATGATAACTTTCAAATATAATTGAATCAGTAAAGAACTAGTTTGAATTTAAGGTTGTATCCTGGACTTAATTGTCTTGCTTACATGGTCTCCAACAGAGAGGCCGAGAAACAAAAGATTTTAAAAACAAGCTTAATTTTAGTGGATCATGAAGTTACAGTAACTTATATTGATACCCTAACTGCATTATCACAAAACATTAGTGTACTCTTTTTTTTTTTTTTTATTTGATGTTTGGTCTTCTAGTTGCTTGGTTATTCTGCTTTCTAGGTAGAGACAGATGAATGTGAATAATTAATTGCCAAGACTTAGTACTGATGTAAACTTGGTAAAAACATTGACATAAACTAATTTATTAAAAAAAGTAGAGATCAGCTTTCATTCACAATGGTAAAGGAATGTCTTGATTCCTATGACAAGAAAGCATAAACCATGCTAATGCTTATATTTCAAGGCACTCTTCTCTCTAAATTAGACCTAATGCAGTTTTTACCTCCTTGAGGCTATATGATGATTGTCAATGAAATGTAATGCTTTTTGTTTCTGTATCTGTTCCTGTGCATTCGTGCACCCATGTGCATGTGTGTAGTGACACATTTGACGTAAAACTGAGAGCATATTGAATTTCCTTTTTTCCTTCAACAGACATTTGCTGATAAACTGGTTATTCCATTGTATGACATCTCCAGCACGATACTGTTATTTAAAACTGAGACTTGCGCCTGCGCAGTGGCTCACACCTGTAATCCTAGCACTTTGGGAGGCCAGTCACCTGAGGTCAGGAGTTCAAGACAAGCCTGACCAACATGGTGAAACCCTGTCAATACTATAAACAGAAAAAATTAGCCGGGTGTGGTGGTGCATGCCTGTAATCCCAGCTATTTGGGAGGCTGAGGCAGGAGAATCACTTGAACCTGGGAGGCGGAGGTTGCAGTGAGCTGAGATTGTGTGACTGCACTTCAGCCTGGGCAACAAGAGTGAAACTCTGTCATAAATAAATAAATAAATAAATAAATAAATAAATGTAAAGTTGAGACTTGCAACAAGTTTTGTGATTACTCCTATTTGATAGGTAGGAAAAAACAAATGACCACATTCTATTATGATGAAACCTATGAAATATAAAGAATAATGAGTGTGATGAGGGTGATGGGAAAGAGGCTTATGAAACTGAGAATATGTTTTAAATGAAGTTTTAGCCGAGCCCTATAGCCCTATTATAGTTAAAGACTTTTGTGTTTCCATGAGCAACTCACAATTTCATACAGATAGTGACTTTCCCCCTCAGTAACTATAAAAAAATACTGTAGTCTACATAATAGTCCATAGAGGACTCAGTTTTATAATCTGAAAAAACTTTGAAGTTGAAACTTTGCCTAGTCTAAAGACTTCAGGTTAATTTCTGCATTGTAGGTTTGGTTTTTGCAGCCAAAGTCTCTTTCATGAAAAGAAAATGTTTTGAATCCTAGCTGAGAATAACAAATAAGAAAATGGACAAGGCATCACATATTGGCCTCTTGCCTGTTTTAAAAGGGTGAAAATGGAAGTAGATAAGCTGCAAAGTGTCCTGTGTGTGATGAATGTTGACACATGAAACAAATGTCTAAAGTGCTTCACAAATGGAACTGTTGTTCCAAAGCATCGTTCAAAGTTGTTCCACTATTAATTTAGGATGAATAGTCTAAATGGTGGCTAAGATTTTTAATTTTTAATTGAATTAATAGTTTCACTTTATTCAAAAGGGGCTATTATCACGTATTCTCTGTTAATCATGTGTACTTCTAATGGCTTTCTGTGATAGTAAATAAGACTTTCCTGTGGGCTGCCATTGCATTTTTGCTAAATAATTTAGCATCTAGTTAAGAATCAGGAATAAAAGAGTACTAAGACTGTGTCACAAGCAAATCACAGTTGTTGAGGGCATATTTCACCATCTCTTAAGTGATTCCTTCTCATTGATCAATCCCCCTTCTTCAGGGTGTTATATGGAACTCAATATTGGATCATTTTTATAATTGATTATCAATACCACGTGTTACTGTTACCCACATCTAATGGCTCCTTCCTCTTGGTAGTAGAATTATTAGTAGGTACTCTTCAGACACAGTGTAAAAGCTCAGAAACAACTCTCTGAGGACCTCTAGCATTAAAAAAAAAAAATAGCGGCTACCACATGTATTACTATTTTGTGTGTATTTTTTAAAGAGCTTTAGAGAAGGTCTTTTGATACTTTGTCTCAGAGATGTCAAAATAATTTTCCTAGGACACAAAATTAGTAGGAGATAGAACCAAAATTGAGAAATTGGTATGTCTGGCTCCCAAAGCTCTCTCCTCTGATTCAGACTTTCTGATTTTTGGATATTTACATTGAGGAGAGGACACATTATTGTGCTCTGGACCTCCTACTTTGATATTTGTTAGTGTAGTAATTAGAAGCCTGGACTTTAAAATTCATTGCTTGGGTTTGATTTCCTACTCTGACATTTCTGAGGTTTGTGACTTTGAGCAAATTATTTAACCTCTCAGTGCCTGCCATTTCTTACCTAGTTTGTAAGATTATTGTGAGATTAAATGAAATAATGTAAAGCACTTAGAATAGGTGTACCTATTTATTGTTGTTCTTTTTTATTTATTGTAATACATCAGTTTTCTCTAAGTACTCTTGGAATCTCCAGCTAATGCTTTATGTTTTTAGTTAATACAGTCATTGTAAGTGATTTCTAGATGTGTAATTTTTCTGACAATATAAATACATTTCTGACTTTATAATTTTCATAAGCAAATAATCCATAATCTTAAGCATGCCAGAGGAGTTAATACAAAGTGTTGAGAAGGGATGAAGCTGGAGCTACACCTGGGTAAGGATTATTCCCCAAACCTGTCTACCATCAAACTGGATTTGTAAAAGATAAAAATTATCACCGTTATCTCATTATATAAACTCTTGAAGGTTTTTCTTTTGCTACTTTTTCATTCATCTAAAGATATTTATCGAATATTTTGTCTGTGACATGCACTGTTCCACATGCTGATTTTAAATAACAAAAAACAAAAAAATAAAAGAAGCAACCAAAAAAAAGTTCATTCTTTTGGAGCTTAAATTCTAGTAGGGCAGAAAGATAAGAAGTAAGTAATATTGTATATTGGAAAATGATAACTGCTTAGAAAAAAAAAATAAGCAGGGAAGGAGTGTTAGCAGCAGTGAATCCATACGGGCCTGCAGCAGCTCGATTCTTGCTTCCTTGGAGGAAATAATTTGGCCAGGGGAACATAAGGCAGAGTGAGAGATCAAGGCAAGTTTTAGAACAGGCATGAGAGTTTATTAAAATGTTTTAGAGCAGGAATGAAAGGAAGTAAAGTACACTTGTAAGAGGCCAAGCGGGCGACTTGAGAGGGTCAAGTGTGCTGTCTGACCATTGACTTGGGCCTGTATATATTGCTATGGTTCCGGGGTTTGCATTTCTTCTTACCTGATTTTTCCTTGGGGCAGGCTGTCTGCATGAGCAATGGCCTGCCAGCACTTGGGAGGGATCGCATATGCAGTGTGTTTACTGAAGTTGTGCACATGCTCATTTGAGGCTTTTTTTCCTTACCAGTTGAGTGTTCCTAGAGGAAGGTCATATAACAGTTAAAGTCTGCCATTTTGCCTCTTAGTACGCGTTTGAGCCAACTCACACAACTCTTGAAAACTTATCAGGAAGCTGCTGATGACCAGCTTCAGTTGTTTTCTATCTATTTAGGAGACTGCCGTTCCCTGGCACCAGCTGTGACTAGTTAAATTATTTTAGAGAGATACTTTAACAACTGCCTGACCATCACCTGATGGTCGCCTGACATTGCTTGGAGGTTAAGGGGGTGCCTTCTTCTGCCCTCTTAAGTCTGCCTAGCTACCTACTCAAACAGGAGGAGAGGGAAAACCAAGGGTTGAGGGTGATAGGCGGGAGTGTTGGATTTTTAAGTGGGATAATCTGGGAAAACCTTATGAAGATGGTGACATTAGAGCAAAGATTTCAAGGTCATTTAGATGAGCCATGTGAATAGATATCTGAGAAAAGAGCATTCCAGGGCAGGGAGGATCAAATAGAAAAGCTCTGGAGTAGGAATATACCTGGCAGTGTCAGGGGTTAGCAACAAGACCAGTGTGACTGAAATAGAGAAATCAAGAAGGATGGTAGTGGGAGATGAGATCAAAGTGAGCCATATTGGGTGGGGTCTTTTAGGTCAAAGTAGTAATTTTGGCTTTGACTCTGAGCTGAGGAGCCAATTCATGTTAAGAACAAAGTAGTAACATTATTTGTTGATGTTGTAACAGGATCTAGCTGATATATTGAGAACAGACTTTAGATGTAGGCAATGGTGGAAGCAGGGAGACCTTGTTAGGAGGTTGTTGTAATCCAGGTGAGAGAAGATGGTGTCTCAGTTGGTAAAAGTGCTGGTGGTGATATGTGAAAAATTAGAAATTAGCTATAAATTTGCTGACAGATTTGTAGGGGATGTTAGACAAACAGAGACTCTTGCTTTTTACTTTTCTTTCTTGCTAAATGCAAGTCATAATTTTTATTTAATGCAATATAAATAAAACCATTTGTAGCAGCCCTAAAGTTTCTCTTTTTAGTTTACTGGAGATTTTACTTTACTCTGCAGGTAATCCAGCATGTTGTAATTGAAATTACTGATGCTACACAGAATGGGAATTACTGATGCTAAATAATCATTTTATTAGTTTAGACCAGGACTCAGCAAATTATGGCCCAGAGACCAAATCTGGCTCATTGCCTGTTTTTATAAATAAAGTTTTATTCAAACACAGCCACACCTATTCATTTGCATATTATCTATGGCAGCTTTCTGCTACAAAGGCAAAGGATCTTAGAGATCTGTAGAGACTAAAATATTTACTGTCTGGCCCGTTAATGAAAAAATTTGCTGACCCTTGGTTTATACTGTTAAGAGTTGTGTAAAAATTTTCCTCTGATCTTTTTCCAGTCACTCAGAGTGTTTAAATATGAAGAGAAAAATTAAAAGGGGGCATGAAATGATAGTAGAGAGAACCAAGAGGTACTAATACTAACGTCAACTTCTTTCTCTATGTTAATTTACTCATTTGTTTGCTTTGCGTATTCACTTTCCTCCACATCTTTGTAGTGCTTTGTCTGTGTTGAGAAACAAGTGCAGCTGACTAGCTTGAACAAAAAAAGTATATTTTCTCAACAGTGAAAATTTACTATAGGAATGACTATTGGATTTTAAGAGACTAATTTTTGAATTGCACAACCTTGATAGAAAATAAAAGATGAGTACCAGTGTCAATGCGAGCATCAATCTTTATGAGGAATCTGGCATTCTTCTTAAGACTTTGTGTAATCCAGTGAAGCAGTACAGACAAGTTCGATCTCCATTGTTGTTTGTTTTAACAGGTCTATAATGACGGATCTATACTACCTCAGTCAGACAGATGGAGCAGGTGATTGGCGGGAAAAAGAGGCCAAAGATCTGACAGAACTGGTTCAGCGGAGAATAACATATCTTCAGGTAAGAAGGTTGGGTTAAGAATAAATTTGAGTGAAAAAAAGAAGGATCATAATATAACTAAGAGTAATAATTTCAGTTGTTTTTAGTCTTCCTGGCCCTTGAAAATCAGTACTCACACATTTTACATATTTATTCAGAAAGACACTGTGTTATGCCTTGAGTGGAATACAAAGATGGCTAAAACAAAGACCCTGTCCTAAAGGGAGCTACTTCTTACACACGTACACACACACACACACACACACACACACAATACAATACAAATATAACATCTTACATTTTATAGGAGAGAAATAGATGAAATGCTTATTGGAGTTTTGAGTAAGGAGACATCAGGGATAGTCTTGTAGAGAATGTATTGTTTGAAGTAAACTGTAAAAGATAGTTAAATAGGATTTGGACACACAGAAATGAAGGAAAAGAATGTACCAGCTGGAGGTTATCAGCTAAGCAGTGGCTCGTAACTGGGAAAGAACAGTACAGGAACCCATATGATAAGTGTGGCAGTTCAGTTTGTCTGGAATTTTAGGTTGTGTGAAAGGAGGGATGGAGAATAAGTTGGAAAGGTAGGCTTGGAAACAGATTACAGAGGTTAAGGTTTATGGTACATAGGCAGTAAGGGGTCACTGAAAGATTTTACTTATTTGTTTTATAAATGTTATTATAACAAATAGAAAGTATTGGTAAACATCAAGTCTCAGACCCTTTAAAATTAATTTCACTTTGTTTTTTGTGTTCTTTTCTAGTTCTTATTAATATGTACACACCGTCTTACATATATGTAAGAAAATAATTTATTTTTGATTTTGTTTTTCTGCTTAATATGCCATAAGCATTTTTCTATTTTGGAGTCACAACCTGCTTTTGAAATGTTTTACATACAAAAGTGGTATGAGAGTGGTACTTAAGTGATATTAATCTGAAACTAGTATTTTAGTTGAACTTGATTATTTGAAGAGACTAGAAGCAGGGAGACCATTTAAGATAAGAGGACCATAGTGCAGGTAAGAAGTATTAAGGTATGTGGCAGTTTGCTTTGGAAGTGAAGAGACAAATTTGAGAGAGATTGGGAAGATAAAATTGATAGGCCTTTCCAAGTAGATGAAAGAACTGAAATGGCTGGGATAATGGGGACATCATTATCTGATAAGGTGCTGAGGGACAGAATAGTTTTCAGGGGAAAACAATGAGTCAGTAGAATCTTCAAATCTCAAAATGTTTGAAGTTGAAATGACCTTGGAACATCCTCCACCCTCATCCTTTTCTAATGCTGTGGATGGCATACTGTGTACGCTCTACTTTCCCTGTAAAATTAAAGTATTGTATAAAAGCAAAATGACAGCCAGTGATATGGTTCTGTATATTTTAAGGTGCACATTTTTCTACACTTAAATAGGAAAAAATAGAAAATCAAGTGTTTAAAGAGATCATTAAAAACCAAACTGATCTTGGCATGCTATCTTGGTCTCATACCCACATGGCCATTCATCAGAGGTGTCTGCAGAATGAGAAACACTTCACCTCCTGTAGGGAAGAGGTAATTATCTCCTATCAACTAGAACCTCACTCAGTGAACTATAAACAGCTGGTGGTGCAGAACCATCATCCTTATTTAAAATGGAAATAACTGTGGTTTCTGAGCTTCCTCCATTTCCTCTTATTCGTTAAATTTTCACCAACTATATCTGGTGATAGTTCTAAACTATGATCTAGTGATAGTTCAGCTACCTAAACTGTAACAAGTACCTGCCACCTGTTTTAGTTTCCTTTTTTTTTTCCTCTTGGTTTGTGGGTGGCCAAGTGCTTTCACCTGTAGTACTAATTTGATCCTCTATATGCTGATTTTTGTGGTTCCGTATTAGAGAATTTCATTTGCAAATCATGCTAATAATTTAAAGCTACATTGGCTTTTTAAATCTTTTAAACTATAGCAAAACCTAGCACTTTACTTGGACCTTACCTTCAGTTTCAGATATTGCTATTTAACTTTACTTTCATGCTTTTCCTTTTTCCCCCCATTGGAAGGAAAAGGTGATTTTTTTTTTTAATTTTCAAGGAGATAGGGACAATCTCAGTAGAAAAAAAGTGCTTTGGAAAAATATTTTTCTTTTTTTCATAGGTTGTTGGAGTACAGGTGGTATTTGATTACATGTTCTTTAGTGGTGCTTGGTGAGATTTCTGTGTGCCCATCACCTGAGCAGTATACACTGCACCCTATTTGTAGTCTTTCATCGCTCGCTCCCCTCCCACCCGTCCCTCCAAGTCCCCAAAGTTCATTGTATCATTCTTATGCCTTTGTGTCCTCATTAGCTTAGCTCCCACATATCAGTGAGAACATATGGTATTTGGTTTTCTATTCCTGAGTTACTTCACTCAGAATAATAGTCTCCAATCTCATGGAAGTCGCTGCAAATGTCGTTAATTCATTCCTTTTTATGGCCAAATAGTATTCCACTCTGCATATACATATACATATACACATACATATACATATGCCACAATTTCTTTATTCACTCGTTGATTGACGGGCATTTGGGTTGGTTCCACAATTTTGCATTTGCGAACTGTGCTGCTATAAACATGCATGTGCAAGTATCTTTTTCATGTAACGACTCCTTTTACTGGGTAGATACCCAGTAGTGGGATTGCTGGATCAAATGGTAGCTCTACTTTTAGTTCTTTAAGAATCTCCACACTGTTTTCCCTAGTGGCTGTGCTAGTTACATTCCCACCAGCAGTGTAGAAGTGTTCTCTGATCACCGCATCCAGGCCAAACATCTACTGTTTTTTGATTTTTTGATAATAGCCATTCTTGCAGGAGTAAGGTGGTATTGCACTGTGGTTTTGATTTACGTTTCCCTGATCATTAGTGATGTTGAGCATTTTTTCATGTTTGTTGGCCATTTGTATATCGTCTTTTGAGAATTGTCTATTCATAGCCTTAGCCCACTTTTTGGTGGGATTTTTTTTTTCTTACTGGTTTGAGTTCTTTGTAGATTCTGTGTATTAGTCCTTTGTCAGATGCAGACTTTGCAAAGATTTTCTCCTGCTCTGTGGGTTGTGTGTTTACTCTGCTGACTGTTCCTTTTGCTGTGCAAAAACTCTTTAGTTTAATTACCTCTGAGCTATTTATCTTTGTTTTTATTGCATTTGCTTTTGGGTTCTTGATTATGAAATCCTTGGCTATGCCAGTGTCTAGAAGGGTTCTTCCAATGTTATCTTCTAGAATTTATATAGTTTCAGGTCTCAGATTTAAGTCCTTATTCCATCTTGAGTTGATTTTTGTATAAGGTGAGAGATGAGGATTCAGTTTCATTCTCCTACATGTGGCTAGCCAATTATCCCGGCACCATTTGTTGAAAAGGGTGTCCTTTGCTCTCCCCTCTCCCCTCTCCCCTCCCCCCCCCCGTCTCCCCAGGGTCTCCCTCTCCCTCTCTTTCCACGGTCTCCCTCTGATGCTGAGCCGAAGCTGGACTGTACTGCTGCCATCTCGGCTCACTGCAACCTCCCTGCCTGATTCTCCTGCCTCAGCCTGCCGAGTGCCTGCGATTGCAGGCGCGCGCCGCCACGCCTGACTGGTTTTCGTATTTTTTTGGTGGAGACGGGGTTTCGCTGTGTTGGCCGGGCTGGTCTCCAGCTCCTAACCGCGAGTGATCCGCCAGCCTCGGCCTCCTGAGGTGCCTGGATTGCAGACGGAGTCTCGTTCACTCAGTGCTCAGTGGTGCCCAGGCTGGAGTGCAGTGGCGTGATCTCGGCTCGCTACAACCTCCACCTCCCAGCCGCCTGCCTTGGCCTCCCAAAGTGCCGAGATTGCAGCCTCTGCCTGGCCGCCACCCCGTCTGGGATGTGAGGAGCCCCTCTGCCTGGCTGCCCAGTCTGGAAAGTGAGGAGCGTCTCTGCCCAGCCGCCATCCCATCTAGGAAGTGAGGAGCGCCTCTTCCCGGCCACCATCCCATCTAGGAAGTGAGGAGCGTCTCTGCCCGGCCGCCCATCGTCTGAGATGTGGGGAGCGCCTCTGCCCCGCCGCCCCGTCTGGGATGTGAGGAGCGCCTCTGCCCGGCCACGACCCCGTCTGGGAGGTGAGGAGCGTCTCTGCCCGGCTGCCCCATCTGAGAAGTGAGGAGACCCTCTGCCAGGCAGCCGCCCCGTCTGAGAAGTGAGGAGCCCCTCCGCCCGGCAGCCACCCCGTCTGAGAAGTGAGGAGCGTCTCCGCCCGGCAGCCACCCTGTCCGGGAGGGAGGTGGGGGGTCAGCCCCCACTCGGCCAGCTGCCCTGTCCAGGAGGGAGGTGGGGGTCAGCCCCCGCCCGGCCAGCTGCCCCGTCCGGGAGGGAGGTGGGGGGTCAGCCCCTGCCCGGCTAGCCGCCCCATCCGGGAGGTGAGGGGCGCCTCTGCCCGGCCACCGCTACTGGGAAGTGAGGAGCCCCTCTGCCCGGCCACCACCCGGTCTGGGAGGTGTACCCAACAGCTCATTGAGAACGGGCCATGATGACAATGGCGGTTTTGTGGAATAGAAAGGGGGGAAAGGTGGGGAAAAGATTGAGAAATCGGATGGTTGCCGTGTCTGTGTAGAAAGAAGTAGACATGGGAGACTTTTCATTTTGTTCTGTACTAAGAAAAATTCTTCTGCCTTGGGATCCTGTTGATCTATGACCTTACCCCCAACCCTGTGCTCTCTGAAACATGTGCTGTGTCCACTCAGCGTTAAATGGATTAAGGGCGGTGCAAGATGTGCTTTGTTAAACAGATGCTTGAAGGCAACATGCTCGTTAAGAGTCATCACCACTCCCTAATCTCAAGTATCCAGGGACACAAACACTGCGGAAGGCTGCAGGGTCCTCTGCCTAGGAAAACCAGAGACCTTTGTTCACTTGTTTATCTGTGGACCTTCCCTCCACTATTGTCCTATGACCCTGCCAAATCCCCCTCTGCGAGAAACACCCAAGAATGATCAATTAAAAAAAAAAAAAAAAAAAAGAAAAGGGTGTCCTTTCCCCACTTGTTTGCTTTGTTGAAGATCAGTTGGCTGTAAGTTTTTGGCTGTAAATAAATTTCTGAGTTCTCTATTCTGTTGCATTGGTCTATGTGCCTATTTTTATACCAGTACCATGCCATTTTGGTGACTATGGCTTTATAGTATAATTTGAAATCAGGTAGTGTGATGCCTCCAGATTTATTCTTTTTGCTTAGTCTTGCTTTGACTATGCGGACTCTTTTTTGGTTCCATATGAATTTTAGAATTGTTTTTTCTAATTCTGTGAAGAATGATGGCGGTATTTTGATGGGGATTGCATTGAATTTGTAGATTGCATTTGGCAGTATGGTCATTTTCACAATGTTGATTCTGCCCATCCATGAACATGGGATGCGTTTCCATTTGTTTGTGTCATCTATGATTTCTTTCAGCACTATTTTGTAGTTCTCCTTGTAGAGGTCTTTTGCCTCCTCGGTTAGGTATATTCCTAAGTATTTTATTTTATTTTTATTTTTTGCGGCTTTTATAAAAGGGGTTGAGTTCTTGAATTGAGTCTCTGCTTGGTCGCTGTTGGTGTATAGAGAAGAGCTACTGATTTGTGTATGTTAATGTTGTTTCCGTAAACTCTACTGAATTCTTCCTCAGTTCTAGCAGCTTTTTGAAAGAATCTTTAGGGTTTTTGAGGTAAATGATCATATCGTCAGCAAACAGTGACGGTTTGACTTCCTCTTTACCGATTTGGATGCCCTTTCTTTCTCTTGTCTGATTGCTCTGGCTAGGACTTCCAGTACTGTGCCAAAGAGGAGTGGTGAGAGCGGGCATCCTTGTCTTATTCTAATTCTCACAGGGAATGCTTTCAACTTTTCCCCATTTAGTATTATGTTGGCTGTGGGTTTGTCATAGCTTTTATTACACTGAGGTATGTCCCTTGTATGCCAATTTTGCTGAGAATTTTAGTCATAAAGCGATGCTGGATTTTGTTGAGTGCTTTTTCTGCATCTATTGAAATGGTCATGCAATTTTTGTTTTCAATTCTTTTTATGTGGTGTATGACATTTATTGACTTGCGTATATTAAACCATCCCTGCATCCCTGGTATGAAACCCACTTGAACATGGTGGATTATCTTTTTGATATGTTGTTGGATTTGGCTAGCTAGTATTTTGTTAAGGATTTTAGTGTCTATTTTCATCAGAGATACTGGTCTGTAGTTTTCTTTTTCAGTTAATGTCCTTTCCTGGTTTTGGTATTAGGGTGATGCTGGCTTCATAGAATGAATTAGGGAGGGTTCCCTCTTTCTCTGTCTTGTGGACTAGTATCGAAAGGATTGGTACCAATTCTTCCTTTAAATGTCTGGTAGAATTCAGCTGTGAATCCATTTGGTCCTGGACTTTTTTTTTTTGTTGGTAACTTTTTAATTACCATTTCAATCTTGTTGCTTGTTATTGTTCTGTTCAGGGTATCTAATTCTTCCTGATTTAAGCTAGGAGGGTTGTATTTTTCCAGGAATTTATCCATCTCCTCTAGGTTTTCTAGTTTATGTGCATAAAGGTGCTCATAGTAGCCTTGAATGATCTTTTGTATTTCTGTGGTGTCAGTTGTAGTATCTCCTGTTTTGTTTCTTATTGAGGTTATTTGGATTTTTTCTCTTCTTTTCTTGGCTAATCTTGCCAATGATCTATCAATTTTATTTATCTGTTCAAAGAACCTGCTTTTTGTTTCATTTATCTTTTGTATTTTTTTTTTGTTTGTTTCCATTTCATTTAGTTTTGCTCTGATTTTGGTTATTTCCTTTCTTCTGCTGGGTTTGGGTTTGGTTTGTTCTTGTTTCTCTAGTTCCTTGAGGTGTGACCTCAGAATGTCAGTTTGTACTCTTTCAGTCTTTGTGATGTAGGCATTTAGGGCTATGAACTTTCCTCTTAGCACCACCTTTGCCATATCCCAGAGGTTATGGTAGGATTTGTCGTTACTGTCATTCAGTTCAAAGAATTTTTAAATTTCCATGTTGATTTTGTTTTTGACCCAGTGATCATTCAGGAGCAGGTAATTTAATTTCCATGTGTTTGCATGGTTTTAAAGGTTCCAGTTGGAGTTGATTTCTAGTTTACAGTCATATATAGCTCAGTTGTGAGAAGAAGTTTGGTCTCAATTTTATTAACCTGTATATTGGTTTTACTTGAGAGGAGCAATTTCACAGGACATAATGGAAAATTGAAAAGGCACTTTGGGCAACTAGAGTTTAGTGGGACAAAGTTCATAGTTGTCAAAATCATTTTCTCTTTAGAGTTGAAGGCAGTATGGCATGGTTTACAAAGATTAAACTGATTAAAAGATTATAATACTCGGATTGAAGACAACCCTAATAGACAAGTATGCTATCAGGCTCAAATAGAATGGATCAAGCAAATCTTGTAAGGGCTTTAGTCTTTTACTGTATATGTTTATCTAAAAAGTTTTTTCCCGCAAAGTGAACATATAATATTGGGTTGTATTAAATGCCATTTTGTCCTGGTCTTACTCTTGTGTTATATAATCATAACATTGAGAAAATGCTATTGTTTCTATTTCTGTAGTTTCTGATGAAGTCCATTTTTAAAACTGCACGTTGCTGATATATATTCATTATGAGTCCACATTTTACCATAATATAAGTCATTTTCCTAGACTTTTGGGTGATTTTATGTGGAAGAGATTATCTTTAGAAAATTTATGTTGCGATTTCTGATGAGCTCATGTTAAACAGGCACGATGAGTGAGATCTGTATACTTCAAGCCTTAGTTTTTTAACTTGTTTGGAGCAGTTGGAAGTTGGCAGTTCTCATGTAAAGTGCTGCTAGTTAGAGCAAATAGCCTCTGCAGAAGGATATCTCCGAGTTTAACTTGAAATTATCTGTCTCTGATATACGAAAATGGATTTTGTTTTCTGCATAGCCCCAAAGTTGATATTTTAAGCAAAATTAAGCCCATTTCAGGTGAATAAAGTATGTAAAAAGAAATAACAGTAAAGATTTATTTATATTTATTTATTTATTTTGTGGAGATGGGATCTCCCTATTGTTGCAGTCTGCTTAGTCCCTAGCTCAGCTAGGTCTGAGTTCTTGTTCCACAACCAAGAAGAATAAGGCGTGTGGACACCAGAGAGTGAGTAGAGTAGGATTTCTTAAGCAAAAGGAAAGGTCTCAGCAAACAGAGGGGCCCTGAAAGCAGGTTGCCAGAAACGGGACTTACTTCTGGTCTTTTGTGTGGCAGAAGCCAGGAAGTCGTCGTGGATTTTGCCCAAATAGGAGAGGTAAAGCTCCCTCCTAGGGGTGTTGCATCTGCCCACGCTTGGAGTTGGCCAGAGTGACTTCATCTTGGTATTACTCATGAGTGCCTAAGCCAAACCCACAGGTGCTAAAACCACAAAGTTAATGTCATGTTAATGACATAATGAGCTTGGTCAAGTTAACAACATTTAGGTTGATTTATTGCACCTGCGCCTAAGTTGGGTCAGTCGTTTCTGAGCAACACCCTGGCACAAGGTGAAGTTCGTAACCACATTTCTTCTGGTTAGCTGCAGAAGCAGTGTAGGTGCTGTCCTACAGTTGTTCCTGTGAACATTGTCCTTCTCCCAAGACCCTCCGTCTCTATCTGCCTAACCAGCCCCTAACTGCCTCCTCTCTCACTGTGTTGCCCAGGCTGGTCTCAAACTTCTGAGCTCAAGCAGTCCTCCTGCCTCAGCTTCCCAAAGTGTTGCAATCACAGGCGTGAGCCACTGTGTCCGGCCAGAAAGATTTTTTGGTTTGCCCCCGTGTTTTGCTTGCTTTGGTTTATGTTTTGAATAGGACTTTTACTGGAAATTGGTAGATTATTTTTCTTTTTTTTTTGAGAGAAAGAGAGGAAAAAAGGTGTGAAAATGGAAAACAACTATTTCACTTTTTAAATGAGGATAGGGATTTTTTTTCATTCAAAAATAAGTTTTATTGGAGAAATAGAAAACTTCTCCAGTGACAGTATATGATCCTTTGGAATAAGGGGAATGTTAATGCTGGGGATACATTATTGAGGCTATTAAACATACATTTCAGCTTATGGAACCCCTCACTCCAACACAGGATTTGCCTGATCTCATTTTTCTTTGACAGGACTAATTCGTTAAGATAGATTTAAAGCCAGAATATAACTATATACGTTATTTATGTGCTTGTATACTGACTCTGAGATCAAATTAATCATCACATATTCTTAGAGTTGTGAATTGTGTTCTACCAAGTAATTCAGATTGCATTTGTATTTCCGCCTAACCAAAATAAAGCCAGAAGTGGTAATATCTGTAACTCATTAGAAAAAGTTGTCAGCCTAACTACATTAAAATATTTGCTAAATATTTAATACAACTGGGATGGGCAGAAACCTTCAGAGCTTTTCCCTATTTGAAAGAAATTTTTAGTTTAAGAGGAAACCATCTAGGAAAAAGCAGGCAGTTTCTCAGAAGTAAAACCTAAGAGTATACTGAGAAAGAAAATACCTTTTCCAAGATAAAAAAAAAAATGAACAACTTGACTAAGGACAGAACAAGAAGTGGTAGTGGATATAGTGGCATGGGTAGATTTCATGAAGTAGCAGAGGGGATTGCTATACTGGAAGTTGACTAAGGACATAGGCTGGTGATAGGAAGTAAAGAAGAAAATTTATTGAAGGAAGTTTTCTAAGCATTATTAAAAACAACTTTATCTTGAATTCTTACAGATTTTACAGAGCTCTTGCTTGTGGGAGCGTAGGTCCAATTGAATAGTTCATTGGTGCATTCATTCCTTAAGTATTTGGATATACTGGGCATTAGGTACATTGCTGGTGATATAGTCATAAATCAAATAGACATAGTGTCTGCCCTTAGGAAGTTTAAAGTCTAGTAGCTTAAACTTCCTGTGAGTATTGTCTTCAAATCCAGACACACACACACACACACACACACACACACTTTTGAAACTTCCCTACAATTCTTTGTTTTGATAGTTATATTTCTGATACTTTTTTTGGATCTTTCTACTATTTCCCATATCTCTGGTACACTAAGTTTTCCTATGGGCTCCTTCGTCATTCCTTTTTAGAAAACTTTTATTATGGAAAACTTTAACATGTATAAAAATAAGAGCTGGTGGACCCTTTTGTCCTCATCACCCAGCTTTATGATCAGTTTTGTTTCATCTGTACTACCAGTGCTACTTACCATCTCTAGGTTCATTTTGAAGCAAATCCCAGACATTTTATAA
This sequence comes from Homo sapiens, assembly GCF_000001405.40. Classification (NCBI taxonomy): domain Eukaryota; kingdom Metazoa; phylum Chordata; class Mammalia; order Primates; family Hominidae; genus Homo; species Homo sapiens. The sequence continues at coordinate 65,639,832 of NC_000014.9, forward strand.
TTTCATTTGTATTTATTTCAGTATGAATTTCTAAAAGATAGTTTTTCAAAACGTAACTACATTCTATTTTACACCTAAGTAAATTAAGAATCATTGTTTAAAATCATCAAATAACCAGTTGTTGATCAAGTTTCCCCAACTGCCAAATACATTTTAATGTGCCATTTAAAAAATGATTATGAATCATCACAGGAGCAATTTGATTGTAAGCTCTGCATATACTTTTTCTTCCTGGAATGGAAAAATGAGAGAAGTGAATGGTCAGAAGAAAAATTAGTGTGGCCTGACTTGAAATAAAGAAATAAAGCAATAAAGAAATAAATACAAGCAAATGATGATAGAATAACTTAGAAGAATGCAAAAACTAAAAGCAAAATTAAGATGAAGAAAAATAAAAGGACCAAACCAATGGATCTAAGAAGAAAAGAAAAAAAAAATGCTACAGTCATCTCAAGTGAAAAAGCAGATGGTAAATACTAGAGCCAGTTTTATAAAATTATAGTTATGATATTGATTTTTTAAATTATTACTTAGTTGAATTTCTCCAGCTAACAGCTTCTATTTCTCTTAAGCGTTTAACATTCTTGGTCAAAATACATAATATTTTTGGAACATATTTTTAATGTAATTGTTATTTAATGCCTTCCTAAATAATGATAATGTGAACTTAAACTCTTTATTGACTTTCATACAAAAGTAGAAATCTGTCAACAGTATTTACTCATATTATTTTATTTAATTTGAAGATAAGAACTTGGAAGAATAACATCATATTTGTGTTCTCTAACATAATACTTCATTTAGCTTTAAAGAATTTCCCCCAAAACAAAGTGCTACATTAGAGAGTATTAACATAGAATGGATATAAATAAATGAGTTAATGAGTAAATGAATTATCAATGTAACACTAAGAGAACTGATATATTATGGTACCTTTGATTCTGTGCTATACTCCAGAGCCTGGAACAGTGCCTAGCATAATTATAAATACTCCATAAATATTTTTGTATGAATAAATTAAAAACCTAACTTGAATTGACTATAGAAAGGCATTTAAAACAAAAGAAAAATAGAACCAGATGTTTAACACAAATATGAAGGCTTACTGATGACTTAAACTCAAGGGTAATCTCTTTATCATTTGGCAGTAGTTTCTTTTTCTTTTTTTCTTCTACAGCCTTATTGAGATATAGTTGACACAAAATAAACGGCACATATTTAGAGTATACAATTTGTTAAGTTTTGACGTATACAGACACCCATGAAACCATCACCACAATCAAGATAGTGAACTTATTTAACACTCTGAAGTGTGCTCATGTCCGTTTGTGTTTCCTCCACCACTTCCCACCTTCATCCACAGGTTTAACTCAGATCTGCTTTCTATCATTATAGATGAGTTTGTGTTTCGTAGAATTGTATATAAATGGAGACCTACAGTACATACTATTTTGTCTGGCTTCTTTTACTCAGCGTAATTATTTTGACGTTCATCTATGTTGTATGTATTAATAATTTGTTATTCTTAATTACTGACTGGTATTCTATTATATGGTTATGCCAAAATTTACTTATTTGCCTGTTGATGAACACTTGGTTGTTTCCACTTTGGGGCTGTTATAAATAAACTGTTGTGAATATTTATGTACAAGCCTTTCTGTGGGCATATACTTCCATTTTTCTTGGCTAAATACCTAGGAGTGGAATGGCTGGGTCGTATAACAGTGTAGGTTTAACTTTTTAAGAAACTGTTTGAACTGTTTACAAAAGTGATTGTGCCATTTTATATTTTCATCCAGCAGTGTCTGAGACTTTTAGTTCTCATATACCCTAACTAACACTTTGTATGGTTATCTTTTAAATTTTAGCTATTTTAGTGTATGTGTAGGGGTATGTCATGGTTTTTTTTTGTGTGTATGTGGTTTTTTTTTTTTCATTTTCCTGTAAGTATTGTTGAATATCTTTTCATATGCATATTTTCATCTGCATATCATCTTTGGTGAAATGTCTGCTTAAATCTTCTGCCTATTTTTTAATTGGGATGTTTGCTTTCTTCTTATTGAGTTAAGGTTCTTTATATATATTCTAGATATGAGTCCTTTGTCTGATGTGTGTTTTGGAAATTTTTGTTTGGAAATTCTAGTTTGCAGCTTGCCTTCTAATTTTCTTAACAGTGTCTTTTGAAAGGCAAAAGTTTTTAATTTTGACAAAGTTCAGTTTATTAAGTTTTTAAATTTATGCTTTTGTATTTCGTATTTATGAAATTTTTGTGAAGCCTAAGGTGACTAGAATTTTTTCTGGTTTCTTCTAGGAATTGTATAATTTTAGCTCTTACATTTAGGTCTAAGATCCATTTTGAGGAATCACGTAAACTAAGAATTGAGGTTCATTTTTTTGCATATAGCTATTCAATTGGTCTAGAATCATTTTTTCAAAGATTATGTCTTTCCTATTAGTTGCTTTAGAACTTTTATCAAAAATCAATTGACTGCTGGGCGCAGTGGCTCATGCCTGTAATCTCAGCATTTTGGGAGTCTGAGGTGGGTGGATCACTTGAGGCCAAGAGTTTGAGACCAGCCTGGCCAACATGGTAAAACTCCGTCTCTACTAAAAATACAAAAATTAGCCAGGCGTGGTGGCGCACACCTACAATCCCAGCTACTTGGGAGGCTGAGGCAGGAGAATCTCTTGAACCCAGGAGGCGGAGGCTGCAGTGAGCCAAGATGGTGTCACTGCACTCCAGCCTGGGTGACAGAGTGAGACTCCGTCTCAAAAAAAAAAAAAAAAAAAAAATCAATTGACCATACATGTGTGTCATGTGTGTCTGTCTTTCTGTTAGTACCACACTGTCTTGGTTACTAGCTTTGTAGTAAGTGTTACAACTGGGTAGTGTGATTTATCGTTCTTTTTTTGAAATTTTGTTCATTATATGTTCTTTGCATTTTCATTTAAATTTTAGAATCAACTTGTCTGTGTGTTGCTAGCACATAGAAATACAATTGATTTTTTATATATTGATCTTGCATCTTGCCAGTTTGTCAAACTCACCTGGTGCTTTTTTGTAGATTTCATCAGAGTTTCTACATAAAGTATCATGTCATCTACATATAGATACACTTACTTCTTCATTTCCAATATGGATTCTAGTTGGCAGTAGTCTCTTTGAGTCATTAATCTTAATTAAATAGTACAGTTTACTATTAGGATAACTTACAGTAAGCCACAAATTAATTCCTCCTTCATTTAAAACTAAAATCCTTACCAAAGTCCAAATTTCAGCTTTTAGGTTTTCTTAGCAAGAGTTTTAAAATATTTTGAGATTCCTAATGGTAATGAAGGAATTTTTTTAATTCCTGAGAGTACACTCACTAAGCTGACAGCATTTTGACATTTTTCAGTTTACATATTTTTATATATTCAAATTCTCTTAATTATCAATAATAAAAGGCTTTCACAACATCATTCCTTATTGAGGGTATAAAAGGGAATACATATTTAGGTCATTAACATCTGTGACCTGGAAATAAAATTGACAGATTCTGGCCCAGCGTGGTGGCTCACGCCTGTAATCCCAGCACTTTGGGAGGCCGAGGCAGGCGGGTCACGAGGTCAGGAGATCGAGACCATCCTGGCTAACATGGTGAAACCCTGTCTCTACTAAAAATACAAAAGATTAGCCGGGCGTGGTGGCGGGCACCTGTAGTCTCAGCTACTCAGGAGGCTGAGGCAGGAGAATGGCGTGAACCTGGGAGGCGGAGCTTGCAGTGAGCAGAGATCATGCCACTGCACTGCAGCCTGGGCGACAGAGCGAGACTCCGTCTTTAAAAAAAAAATACACACACACACACACACACACACACACACACACACACACACACACACACCAGATTCCATTCTAGATGCTATTCCTTAACTCATTTAATCCTTGAGAGTAGCAACACCCAGTAGAGGTTTTATCCTTTTAACTTTCTTGAATATACGTTGAACTTAAATTCAAATTTCTTTAATTTAGGTATATCAGCCCAATATGTACTTGTTTTAAAGTTATTTCGAAAGTAATTTTCTCTTTCTAGAAATATGCCTCATTTTTTTCAAGAAATGGCAGGTTTCGCTATAGTTCGACTCTGATCTAAGTCACAATACAGTTCTAGAAACAATTTTCCAAATCTTAAAGCAGGTCTGGTTTCCACATAGAAATAGAGTAATAATGGAAGTTCTGATTGTAACTACCAAGACTCAAGATGGAATTTCTTCTTCCATAATAGTGGTATGAGTTCCAGCGAAGCAAGAATTAGGGAGTAGCAAGACGCCTATGAAGGGAATACGTAGGCTCTTGAGCAGAGGCAGATTCAGGTTTGGGGGAGTCACCTGAAACCTATTCAACTTCTGGTGCTGTCTTTATGAAAAGGAATACAAAATATTAAATGTTTACAATTGGCTGTCATTATTCATGTTATATATATATATTTTTTTTTTTGAGACGGAGTCTCACTCTGTCACCCAGGCTGGAGTGTAGTGGTGTGATCTCCGCTCACTGCAAGCTCCACCTCCCAGGTTCATGCCATTATCCTGCCTCAGCCTCCCGACTAGCTGGGACTACAGGCGCCCACCACCGCCTCCCGGGTTCACGCCATTCTCCTGCCTCAGCCTCCCGAGTGGCTGGTTCTGCAGGCGCCCATCACCATGCCCAGCTAATTTTTTTGTATTTTTTAGTAGAGACGGGGTTTCACCGTGTTAGCCAGGATGGTCTCGATCTCCTGACCTCGTGATCCGCCTGCCTCGGCCTCCCAAAGTGCTGGGATTACAGGTGTGAGCCACCGCGCCCGGCCAATTATATTCTTTAATACTGAATTAGCAATAGTGAACCACTATTCCTAGGGGAAATACAGAGTTAGGTTCCTGTGAGATCAACATTTTCATCAACTGATTAACATATATAACCTTGTTTTATGTGTGTTTCTATTTCAAGAAACCTTATTTAATGTATATTGTTGATTTATTAACATGGATAACTCATATGTGAACAAAGCTTATCTGACATACATACTTTCTCTGTAAAGCACACACAGCTTTCTTGCCCTTAGGGACACTGGACAGCACTTCACTACTATGTTTGGGGGCCATTTTCAACAGTGAAATCACTGGAAAAAAAGCACAAAAATGAGAAAAACAGCTAAATATACTGCAGAAAGGACATTTGTTTATAGTAAGAGATTTGAAACAAGAAGGCAAAAAGCCACCTTGGCTGAAATTACGTGCCTTGGAGTACTCAAAATTTTCATTGCACGTGTGCATGAATGACCGTGAAAGCACCACAAGTATTGATTTGGGTGTTACAAATAAATTCTAGTTGGTAAATTCACATGGAATCTGTGAATAGTGAGGATTGACTCCAGGATGAAAAAAGAACTCCTAACAAGTTACAATTGTATAAAGCTGACAAATGCCACAAATACTAAACCCCAGAAAAATAATTTTTAATTAACTGCTTGATGCTCTCTATAATACTGTTTTCCCTTACATTTCTTAGCTGCATACCCTTTGATTGTATGACAGTGATTTGTAATGTTTTCTGTAAAGAGAATTGAGAATGACTTTGTAATATTAATATTGTCTATAAAGAGAATGGAAAATCTGAAAAGATTTTTTTCTCTAGCATGGTTGATTTAAAATGTTGTTTTTAAATTATTGATATTTGTGGTACATAACATTTGAAACTTCACATACATACATACTTCATATTTGTAGTACTGCTGTAAGCTTGTGCCGTTTAGACAGGATTTCAGATAATTTTATTTTATGTGATTCTCATCAGAAAAGGAAAAAATGGTTCATATAATTGCTTGTGCTACATTTTTAATTGTCTACACTACATTTTCAAGACTATTAGTGACAGAAGAGAACTTCTATTTTGACTAGGCATCATTGAGAAATGCCTCCTTCATTTCTGTTATTACCTTGTACTTACCATGCTAGGAACCATGGGACACATTCATATCACAGTGCAATCTCTCACCCTGTATCTATTTATGTGACAAAAATATCTCTGCACAAAAGCAACTGTGAACTACATAAATATATCTCTAAATCCAAACTAAATAGTTCTCAGCTTAATTTCTCCATCACAGGATCCCAGAAATGCAGATGGCCACTTTATTTGCTACCCAACACTAATACCGACGCTGGAAAACTGAGATGGCACCGAATCCTGAGAGACAGATATCTTAACTTATTTAACTTAACTCATTTAACTCATGATGGTGAAATTTTACAAAAACACATCCAGGTAACATAGCACAAGCCTCTCCCAGGGCCTTTGAAGGGAACCGTGCAAGCAAGGGTCCCTTAAGCTTACATTTCAGCAAATCTCCTAAGGAAGCTCTTCCCATTGAACTAGGAGGGCACCTCAAGTTCCTAAGGGGTTCTCAGTCCTGCTCCCAAGATAGGAGATTACTTGAGAAAACCAACATTAAGAAACCTGAAATAGAGAAAGCTATATTGCAAAATTAGATGAAAGGTAATAGATGCTGACCCTTTAAGATTGAGTTCTGTCTCTAATACAAAGATATAACAGAGAATGTCCAGATTGCCTCTAGTTAAAATTTTGTTTTAATTTAATACTAGAACAGCAGCTTTCCATTAAAAAGTGCTAACCTCTGACTAGGACTCACTTTCCATCTCTCCTTAGAGCCTGCAGCACTTTCTCAGATTGACCAGCCTACAATTGTGTATCAACTGCTTGTTTACTAACTGCCAAGAACCTTTGTGTAAGTCAGCCATACCCTAGGTGTGAGTGTTGGTTATGGCAGACCATAACTGAGCAGCCTTTCCAATGACTTTTTTTTTTTTGGTCTCTGTTCAGTAACCTTCACTGCCTCCTCTTCCTCTATCCCTCCCCTCTAATTGCCTAGCTAAGGGTAGATTACCAAATGAGAATCTAACATCAAGTAAGTTGTAGATATGGCTCATTGATAAGTCATAAATGCATACAAATACATCTCTGTGCAATTGATTAAAACATATGGATAAGCTCTGACCCTGAAAAATGAACATGATAATTCTCACACATTAAATATTGTTCTGTGGTAGGTTGTCTAAAAAAGTATTTGGATGTTTGTGTACTTGGATTATGCAAATTCATGTATCATAAATTTGACCTATCTAAACCTAAAATACCAATTGTGATAAGTAATTTAACAGGAGTGATGTATGTGATTTGCATAGCTTGTATCACTTGAAAAACTTCTCTGTGAAAGGTTCGCACTGATTTCTTTTCTATAGAAAATTGTGACATTCTAGTCATTACAGTGATGTTATACTAGGCTCAAGGCTTAGGTCAGTTGTATTTGATAGATGATAAAATACCCAGATCACTCAAGGTCTTATTAAAGTCCTTTGGTTGTGATAGGGAGCAGGTGTTTCTTCTTGTTCCTCTAGTATGTTAAAGTACATTAAAGGAAGCTGTGAGGTTGAAGAACATTTGTAAGCTGCCATTTCTGAGCACTTTCTGTATGCTTAGTATTATGCAAAGTAACTCTTATGATGCAGGTGTTGTAATGTTCAATATGCAGGAGAGTAAATTGAGACTTAGAGAGGTTTGTACTTATCTTTGTCTTTAATGATAGTATGAGAGGTGATTTTTCTTTCTCTGGGTTATAAAAACTTGAACTTAATAGTGATAGAATGTAGAATTATGTGCTAAGTAGATTAAAACTGATAATCAGAGGTATGGGTAGAAAGCCTGACATTTTACAGTTGAAGTATTAAACACATCCTAACCTGTCCATTACACCTATGGGACATCTTCTTTCCAGCTTATAGGAAATGAGTAATAGTTGCTCTTAAATTTTGTTCCATATATAGTAGAGGTATCCTGGAAGATTCAAAATATATTTATGATCTAAGTAAATGTTGTCAGGAAAATTTCAGTTTTAGCAGATCAGACATTAGGAAAATATTGCTACTAGTGTGAATAGAAAGTAATGTGGACATTGGAGAATTTCCTTAGGTTTACTGAGGACCTAAATGTATGTGTCTCATTAAAGGTTAAAAAAAAAAAAGAAGTCTCAGAAGTTATATTAAAGCAAAATACAAAATGGAACAAGACCTTGGGGTTTTGCTTAGGGAGCATATATTTCTGCCCACTTTGTTGGAGGTTGCTCTTCCTTTTTGCCACCATGTTTTTACAGATTTTATTGGCCTAGACCAGAGGTCAGCAAACTACCACCCTTAGGCCAAATCCAACCCAACTGTTTTTGTAAATAAAGTTTTGTTGGAGCATAACTATGTTCATTTGTTTGTATATCATCTACTTTCAGGCTACAGTTGCAAAGTTGAATAATTTTGACAGAAAATGTACAGCCTGCAAAGCCAAAGATATTTACTGTCTCCTCCTTTACAGAACAACTTTACTGACCCTGGCCTAGACAGTGATGAAAATAATTCTTAAATGTTTTTCCTCCTATTTTCCTTTTCTTCCTCTTCCTGTTCCTTCTATTCCTTTAGCTATATATGAACTCTTGTTGGTATTCCAGGTGTCAGCTTTCTGAGCATATGCCTTTGTCTGCCTCCTGTTGAGGTTCCCACCTCCAAACAGTTATTTTTTTCCATTTTTGAGGCTAAGGATTTTTACTCGTTAGAGCAACAGGACTAGACATCAGGAGTTATGTAAGTACTCAGGAATATACCCCTTGCTATCTTACAGACTGACCACCATTTGTTTGCCTTTTGAAGAGCACAGTGATCTTCTTAAAATGTAGTCATGTTACCGATGATAAAGCTGTCAAATGTACAATGATGTCTTTTTAAATATTGGGACCAAATCCCAATTTATTCTGACTAATATCGGGTTCCACAAGAGGGAATTTGAAGCATCTCTGCTAATGAAATCAGTTTTCATTTTAATTTATCTTTGATTTTTTGCATGTTGGAGGTGAGGAGGGAATGAGGGTAACACTTTTCATTTAGTTCTTAATTTTCTTCTGTTCTACTCTACAATAAAGTTCTGATGGTATATTGGAGCTATTATGGTCATGCTATCACAAGAGGGTCTAGGATCTAACAGCCAGAAAGATTAAGATGCAAATGCAAAAGGAACCATACAGATTTCAATTTGGAGAAGTAGGGAGTCTCTGACGATATTTGAATGGAAAGAGACATGTCATTATTTTTACCATTGCTTCTTATTTTCTCTCAACTATTCCATGTATTTTCCGTAGTTCTTACACCTTTTATTCCTTTCTTTTCATTGGTATAAACATTGTTCATTGTTAAACAAAATATATCACCTATAAACATCTGACACTTTTGTATGCCCATAGACTACCATTTCTTTGATAAAGATGAAGCATATCAGAAACTGTCTAGGATTGTTAGAATTCTAGTTAACATTCTGCCAATAAAACAGCCCTAAGCTTTGGACATTTCTCTTTCTCAGATCTACCTGAGGTTGGTGATTTTTTGTTTGTTTGGTTGGGGATGTTTTGGTGGGAAGGGATTGTTTTATTTTATTTTTAATCTGAATCTTCTTCCCTTGGAGTGATAGCCGAACTTGCTGAGTTTGTGAGTATCAGGGATAGAAGATATCCTGAAGCCACAAGTCACATCTGAAATAGAAAAGTTGCTATTGTGTCCCATGTGAGATGGTTGATTATGTTTAAAGGGCTAAGGACAAGATAGATACTGTGTGTTTGGCTTTGCAACCAAAGGACCTAGTGCCCTGCCTTTTGTACTTAAATAATGGATGAAAATGGAAATAAAGCTGAACTCTAAGGAAAAGCTTTTAAATCTAAAAGAGACCATTCAGTATTCAAAGCCTACACACTACAGAGGCTTTGAATAATCTCCTTAAGTTTTCACTATGAGAGTTCATTTCAAATAAATGTTATATTTTCCTTTTAAATAAAAAGATATAATGATATTGTTCTCAAGATTGAGAGATTGTTGAAAAAAGTTGGTTTACCATTTTTAAAAGAAACATATTAGCAAATGCCTCTGAAAATACACTTATTAGTTTGCCAATAAATGAGTAATGTTGCAGTTGTGAGTTAAATGTGCATTAAATGTTTGAGAATATATTGGGCTTAAAATACAGTTTTAGGCTTCTATTTCTGGATAAGATATAGTAAACACATCATACACTATATATATTAGTCTATTCTCACACTGCTATAAAGAAATACCTGGCTGGGTGCGGTGGCTCACGCCTGTAATGCCAGCACTTTGGGAGGCCAAGGCGGGCGGATCACGAGGTCAGGAGATCAAGACCATCCTCGCTAACACAGTGAAACCCCGTCTCTACTAAAAATACAAAAAAAAATTAGCCGGGCGTGGTGGCACGCGCCTGTAATCCCAGCTACTCGGGAGGCTGAGGCGGGAGAATGGCGTGAACCTGGGAGGCGGAGCTTGCAGTGAGCCGAGATCGTGCCACTGCACTCCAGCCTGGGTGACAGAGTGAGACTCTGTCTCAAAAAAAAAAAAAAAAAAAAAAAAAAAAACCTGAGACTGGGTAATTTATAAAGAAAGGAGGCCTAATTGGTTCACTGTTCTATAGGCTGTGCAGGAAGCATAGTGGCTTCTGGGGAGGCCTCAGGAAACTTACAATCATGGCAGAAGGGGATGTGAGATGTCTTACATGGTGGAGCAGGAGCAAGAGAGAGAGCAGGGAGGTGCCACACACCTTTAAACAGTCAGATCTCCTGAGGACTCTATCGTGAGAAAAATACTAGCAGGGTGTTAAGCCATTTGTGAAAAACGGCCCTCATGATCCAGTCACCTTTCACCAGGCCCCACCTCCAGCACTGGGGATTGCATTTCAACTTGAGATTTGGGTGGGGACACAGATCCAAACCAGATCACTGTAATTCCTGCTAATTACAAAAAAAAAAAAAAAAAAAAAACAAAAAAAACCACAAACTTGTAATTTCCTATTTTTTGTGTGTTTACTTATTTATTTTACTTCCTATATATCCCAGCCAAGGGTACTAGAGGCCTGCAGCTAGAAACCTTAGTGGACAGAGAGGGGGGAAAAAAAAGCCCCATTTTAATGATATCTATCCAGTTGCAGTCCCTTCCCCAGGTGCTGTAGCTATGGAGATTGTGCATGTAGCCCTGTCCCTCATTCCTGTCCTGCAATAATGAGGGTGCCCCTCCCACTCCCACTGAACACTGTTCCTACCACTCCCACTGGGCACTGCTGCCATGGAAACTGTGGATGGAGCTGCAATAACAAGTTTGCAGCCCTCCCCAATGGATGCTACAGCCACAGAGACTGTGGGCAAAGCCCTGACCGCCGTTTCCATCCCCTAACCCTCCCAACTAGAGTGTGGAGGGAGGATTAAAAAGAGGAGGGAGTTAGAGAAAGAGACTTAAAAAAATCTGTGTTTGAAATCCTGGGCAGATTTCTTAGCATCCCTTTCATGAAACTGATTAGAATCAATACAGAAAAAGGTTTTAGAATTGGGCTCTGCTGTGTTATACCACCCAGGTTTCAGACTGGCCTCTGGGTAGCCCAGTGGGGCAGAACAGAACAACACTAAAAAGACCCTAACAATTAAATTGACATTTGATTCACAGCCCATAAAAGTTGGCTAAGACATGCATTGTGAATCTAAACAACTTGATTGCCTATCAAAGTAGAAAATTTAAACAACAGAGTCTCCTAACATAATATTCATCATATCAAGAACCAAGAAAATCTTAATTCGAATGATGAAAGTTAATCAGCTGACACTACACTAAGTTGACACAGATGTTGGAATTGTCTGACAAGGATTTTAAAGAAGCTATAATAATAAATATACTCCAATTACAATTACAGTCTTGAAACAAATGAAAAAATAGAAAGTGTCACCAAAGTAATAGATGATATAAGGGAGAAACAAATGGAAATTTTAGAACTGATAAATATAATAAACTAAATTAAAAATTAGCTCAGTAGTAAAATAGAGATGACAGAGGAAAGAAATGGTGCACTCAAATTTAGATCAATATAAATTATGCAGTCTGAACAACAGAGAGAATAAAGATTTTAAAAAGGTGAAGAGAGTCTTATGGGGACCTCTGAGAAAATTACAGAAACATCTTCATATTTGTATCATTGAAATCCCAGAAGAAGAAAAGTAGGAGTGAGAGATTGAAGAACATATTTGAAGAACAGAGAGACACAGGGAAAAAGCCAGTGAAGTCAGGTAGTGATTGGAGAGATGTGTCTACAAGCCAAGGAATGACAAGGATGGCTGGCAACCACCAGAAGCCGGGAGAGAGACATGGAACAACTTCTTCCTTAGAGCCTCCAGAAGAAGCCAACCCTGCCAACACCTTGATTTTGGACTTCTGGCTTCCAGATCTGCCAAGAAACCAAAAGACAGGATGAGAATCAACACTTTGTAAGAGCCTTCAGTGGACCAGAAGCTGGAAAGGCCAGATACTCGCTTTCCTAGCACCCTCCCTGTTTTGTATGCCCTCTGCTAGGATGGCTGTGCGATTTGCTCCTGGTTGATTCAATATAAGAGGAAGTTGGCTGGTGGGAACGTCAGAGAAATGTTTTTCTTTCTGATAAAAATGGAGAGCACATAAGAAAAAAACTTTTAGTGTACTTCTTCTTCTGGCCTTTGGATATGATGTGAGAAGCTTGAGAGGACATGATGCTTTGGAGCTGTTACAACCATCTTGTGACCATGAGGCATTCAGATAAAAAGCTAACATTCTGAGGCTGGTGAAGAAGAGACTGGCTGGAAACAGGAAAACATTCCTGGGACTGTCTTCTGATTTTCTTATTAGGTAAACAACGTGTTCTTAGTGCTTAAGCACTTTTTTTTTTTTTAAATACAACCAAAAGCAGTCTTAACTGATGCACAAGCCAGGTGCCTGACACAATGGGGGTCAATATGTATTTATTGGATAAAGGAATAAGAGAAAGAATGAATGAAACTTCTACTAAACCTACCTATACTCCAGCTGTCCCTGTTAACAGGACCTCATGTGGAATACTTGAAGGCTGGGCTGGAATCATCTGAGAGCACATTCTCTTGGCTGATGCTGGAAAGAGCCAAACATTTGGAGCATGCGATAGCAGGGGATCATTGGCCATCTCTCTCTGTATTGGTCTTTTCAGTATTGCAACTTCAAGGTAGTAGGATTTTTTACAAGGTAGCTGAGGGCTCCAAAGGTAGTCACTTCAAGAGGCAGAGATAGATGGAGAACAAGCCAGGAGGAATGTGTGTCCTTGATATAACCTAGCCTCAGAAGTCACATAGCATCACTTCTGCCCTACTGTATTGGTTAGAGCAGTCATGAGCCCCACTAGGTAGAAGAGGAGAGGTAGAGATCTCCTCTCTTGGTGGAGAGGGGATGGTTGTAGAAAAGCATGTGGAACTGGAAATATTGCCAGGGCTATTTATTTATTTATTAGTTTATTTTTGAAAATCCAGTCTGCTACAGTGCCTTATATACACCTCTATTATCAGATTGACCATCTCGATGTCATTCATGTCTTTCATGTCTATCCTTCTGACTGAAGGATGCAAGCACCTGGAAGTTTTAGTCTGTGATTTATTAACTTTAGTATCTCTGATACCTTTATAAAGATATGTTTAATAAATGCCTTATTTTGAAGAAAAGAAAAGAAATTGAAGAAGTGACAGAAAACTTCTTAAATTTGGCAAACCTAAATATTCAAGAAGCTGGGCAAACTCCTAACAGGAAAAACTCAGATCCATTCCCAGATACTTTTTAAGTAATTTGCTGAAAACTGAAAACAATGAAAAAAATCTTGAGAGCAGCCAGAGAGAAGCAGCGCATTAATTGTAGAGGAACAATTTGAATGACTCTGGGTTTCTTATCAGAAAACATGGAAGCCAAGAGAAGTAGGAAAACTGTATCGTTTGTTTTGAGCCAACATCTTGCTATTTTGCCCATTCTGGTCTCAAACTCCTGACCTCAAACAATCCTCCTGCCTTGGCCTCCGAAAGTGCTGGGATTATAGGCTTTGAACCAGATTTAAAACCTTGTGCTGAAAGGAAAGAATTACCATCCAGAATTTTTCACCTAGGGAAAATACAACGAAGTGAGAAAAAGACATTTTCGGATGAAAGAAAACTCGGAGACTTCATTGCCAGCAGACTTGCGTAAAAAAGGAAGTTCTTCAGACAAAAAATGATGACAGAAGGGAATTCTGCTGGAACATCAGAATGAAGAAAGTACAAATTAATAGGTATAGGGAATTGCCTAATCTTCTCCTGTTGAGTTTTTAAAATGTTGGGTAAGAAGCAAAATTTTTTACAATGGCCGATGTGGTTCTTAATGTTTATGAAGGTGATTTTTAAAACAATGTCATAAAAGTGGGGAGAGTAAAGGAACCTAAAAAGTAGGAAGGTTTCTGCATTCCATTTCAAATGGCAAAATGTTGAGTAGACTGTAATAATTGTTGTATATAGATATAATTATCCCTAGATTAACTACTAAAAATGCTCTATAGGCCAGGCACGGTGGAGCACGCCTGTAATCCCTGCACTCTGGAAGGCCAAGGCAGGCGGATCACCTGAGGTCAGGAGTTGGAGACCAGCCTGACCAACATGGAGAAACCTCGTCTCTACCAAAATACAAAAATTAGCCGGGCATGGTGGCATGTGCCTGTAATCCCAGCTACTCGGGAGACTGATGCAGGAGAAGTGTTGCTTGAACCTGGGAGGCGGAGGTTGCAGTGAGCTGAGTTCGTGCCACTACACTCCAGCCTGGGCGACAGAGCAAGATTCTGTCTCCAAAAAAAAAAAAGCTCTATAAAAAGATATTTTAAAACACTATAGAAGACCATACTTTACAGGAACCATTTCTGTAGTTCCTTAAAACACTATAGATAAATCAAAATTAAATACTAAAAAAGGTTCAGAGTATGCATAGACAAGGAGAAATGGGAACAACAAAAGGAGCAAATAAAAAACAATAAAGTGGCGTACTTAAATCCCAACATGTCAATAATTGCATGAAATATAAATACAAATGATCTAAACATACCAGTTAAGAAAGAGAGAAAAAAAAATACAGGACAAAGACTGGCAGAATGGTGTTTTTTTGTTTTTGTTTTTGTTTTTGATACAGAGTTTTGCAGAGACAGGGTTTCTCCATGTTGGTCAGGCTGATCTCGAACTCTGACCTCAGGTGATCCGCCCACCTCGGCCTCCCAAAGTGCTGGGATTATAGGCGTGAGCCACTGTGCCTGGCCTATTTTTTATTTTAATGATCCAACTATATGCTGTCCCCCCAAGAAACTAACTTCACATATAACGATATAGGTAGATTAAAAGTGAAATGATGGGCAGATACACCATGCAAACAATAATCAAAAGAAAGATAGAATGACTGGGCTGGGCACGGTTGCTCACGCCTGTAATCCCAGCACTTTGGGAGGCTGAGGCGGGCAGATCATGAAGTCAGGAGATCGAGACCATTCTGGCTAACACGGTGAAACCCCGTCTCTACTAAAAATACAAAAACAAAATTAGCTGGCATGGTGGTGGGCACCTGTAGTCCCAGCTACTCGGGAGGCTGTGGCAGGAGAATGGCATGAACCTGGGAGGCGGAACTTGCAGTGAGCCGAGATCACGCCGCTGCACTTTAGCCTGGGCGACAGAGCAAGACTCCGTCTCAAAAAAAAAAAAAAAAAAAGTACAGTGACTGTATTAATCTCAGACAGAATAGACTTCAGAGCAAAGAAAACTAGCAGAGACAAAGGAAGATATAACGATAATAAAATGATCAATTTACCAAAAAAATGTAATTTTAAACATGTGCACTTAACAGGTTTTCAAAATATATGAAGCAGAAACTGGCAGAACTGAAAGGAGAACAGACAAATATAGTTGGAGACTTTAATATCCCTCTTTCAATAATTGATGGAAGCATTAGACCGAAAACAAACAAGGTCATTCATCATGACCAAGTGGGATTTATCCCTGGGACACAAGAATTGTTCAACATACACAAATCAATCATTGTGATACATCATTATCAACAGAATGAATGACAAAAACCGTATGATCATTTCAATTGATGCTGAAAAGCATTTAATAAAATTTAACTTCCCTTCATGATAAAAACCCTCAAAAAACTCGGCATAAAGGGAATATACCTCAACATAATAAAAGCCATATACAACAGACCCATAACTAGTACCATAATGGGGGAGAAACTGAAAGACTTTTCTCTAAGATCTGGAGCATGGCAAGGAGGCCCACTTTCACCACTGTTATTCAACATAGTGCTGATTACTCTAGGTAGAGTAATCAGACAAGAGAAAGAAATGACCAACATCCAAATTAGAAAGGAAGAAATCAATTTATTCTTGTTTGCAGACTATATGGTTCAATATTTGAAAAAATCTAAAGACTCTTCCAAAAAAAAAACTACTAGAACTGATAAATTCAGTGAGGTTGCAGGTACAAAGTCAACACACAAATATCAGTATTGTTTCAAAGTCAACACACAAATATCAGTATTGTTTCTATATGCCAACAGTGAGCAATCTGAAAAAGAAATTTAAAAAAGTAATCTCATTTGCAATAGCTACAAATAAAATTAAGTAACAAGAAATTAACCAAAGAAGTAAAGGATCTCTACAATGCAAACTATAAAACATTGATGAAGGAAATTGAAGAGAACATAAAAAATGGAAAGATATTCTATGTTCATGGATTGGAAGAATAAATATTGTTAAAATGTTTATACTATCCAGAGTAATCTATAGATTCAGTGTAATCCCTATCAAAATAACCAGTGACACTCTTCACAGAAATAGAAAAAAGAATCTAAAACTTACATGGAATCACAAAAAAACCAGAATAGTCAAAGCTATCCTGAGCAAAAACCTCAAAAGTAGAGGAATCACACTGCCTGAGGAAACTGGAGGAATCACACTGCCTGACTTCAAATTATATACTACAGAGCTATAGTAACCAAAACAGCATGGTACCGGCATATAGACCATAGACCAATGGAACAGGTGGAGAACCCAGAAACAAATCTGTTATCTACAGTAAACTCATTTTCAACGAAAGTCACAAACTTACACTGGGGAAAGGAAAGTCTCTTCAATAAATGGTGCTGGGAAAACTGGATATCCATATGCTCAGGAATTATATTAGACCCCAGCCTCTCACCATATACGCAAATCAAAATGAACTAAAGACTTAAATCTGAGACCTCATACTATGAAACTACTAAAAGGAAACATTGGGGAAACTCTCCAGGACACTGGTTTGAGTGGGTAAAGATTTCTTAAGTAATACCCGATAAGCACAGGCAACCAAAGCAAAAATGGACAAATGGGATCTTATCAAGTTAAAAACCTTCTGCCTGCACAGCAAAGGGAGCAGTCAACAAAGTGAAGAGGCAACACACAGAATGTAAATTAGTACAACCACTATGAAGAACAGTTTGGGCGTTCCTCATAAAAGTAAAAATTGAACTACCATATGATCCAGCAACCCAGCTGCTGGGTATATAATGAAAGGAAATCAGTATATTGAAGAAATATTTGCACTTCCATGTTTACTGCAGCACTTTCCACAATAGCCAGGATTTGAAAGCAACCTAAGCGCCCATCAGCAGATGAATGAACAAAGAAAATATGTGATACCTATACACAATGGAGTACTATCCAGCCATAAAAAAGAATGAGATCCTGTCATTAGCAACAACATGGATGGAACTGGAGATCATTATCTTAAGTGAAATAAACCAGGCAAAGAAAGACACACTTGGCATGTTCTTACTTATTTGTGGGAGCTAAAAATTAAAACAAATTGAACTCATGGAGATAGAGACTAGAATGATGGTTACCAAAGGCTGGGAAGGGTAGTTGTGGGGGCGGGTAAGGGGACGTGGTTAATGGGTACAAAAAATAGTTAGAAAGAAAGAATAAGAAAGAAAGAATATCTCACAGCACAGCAGGGTGATAGTCAATAATACATTTAAAAATAACTAAAAGAGTATAATTGGATTGTTTGTAACACAAAGGATGGCTACCCCATTTACCCTGATGTGATTTTTCATGCATGGTATGCCTATGTAAAAATACCTTATGTACCCCATAAATATATATACCTACTATGTACTCAAAAAAATTAAAAATTAAAGAAAAACAATGCTAGAAAAATAGAAACTTTTTACTTACCAGCAACCCCGTTAAAGAGGATGAAAGAGAAGCCATAGACTGAGAGAAATCTTTGCAAATCACATGTCCAACGAAGGCATGTATAGACAATGTATTAAGAACTCTCCAATCTCAATAGTAAGAAACAATCTAATTAGAAAATAGGCAAAAGTCTTGTACAGACGGCTATGCAAAAGACATATACAGATGACAAATAAGCACATGAAAAATGTTAAAAAATCATTAGTTATTAGGGAAATGCAAAAGACATGATGAGATACAATTAGTCACCTGTCAGAATGACTAAAATAAAAAATGCCAAGAATGTGGAACAACCAGCTCTTTCATGCATTGCTTATGAGAATGTAAAATGGTACAGCCATTCTAGGAAACAGTTTGGTAGTTCTCCATAAACATACCATTACCAATATGATCCAGCAATCACATTCCTGTATATCCTAGAGAAAACCCATGTCCACACAGAAACTTGTACACTCATGTGCATAGCATCTTAGTTTGTAATAACCAAAAAGTGGAAACAACCCAAATGTCCTTCAGTGGGTAAATAAACTGTGATATAATCCACATAATAGAATACTACCTAGTAATAAGAAATGAGCTATTACACACAAGTTGGATGGATCTCAAGAGCATTGTGCTGAGTAATAAGGCAATCTCAAAAGATTAACTACTATCTAATTCCATTTATAATGCTCTTAAAGTGACTAAATTATAGTGATGGAGAGCAGTTCAGCGGGTTCCAGAGATTAAGATTTGGGGAAGAGTGTACCTCTAAATTGGAAGTATAAGGGGTTTCTTTGCTTTGATGGTACAGCTTGTATCCTAATTTTGGTGGTGGTTGCATGAGTGTATACGTATTATAAAATCTGAGTGCACGTGAAAACTGGTAAAATCTAAAAAAGTCTGTAGTTAATAGTATTGTATAATGTCAATTTCCTGATTTTGATAAGGTACTATTGTTAAGTAATATGTTCTCCTTGGGGAAAGCTTTTTGGAAGGTACGCTGTAAGTATAGTAACTCTCTGTACTATTTTGGCAGTTTATTATGGATCTTAAGTTATTTCAAAATAAAAGTAAAAAAATACAGTGTTAAAAATATTTGAGGAGTAAAGAATAAAATGAACTGGTTACAGTACTGTTCATTGAGGTGGTTTGAGAAAGGTGATCTTGAGGTGTTTTTTGTTTTTTGTTTTGTTTTTTTTTCATTAAAAAAACAATAATAGCTGGGGATTCCAGAGAAATTCATGCTCAGCTAACAGTGTATTTTTCATGTATGGCTGGCTGCATGGAGAAATGAGACAAAGACTCCGTCTTCGAGAAGAGGTATCCAGATTTGAAATCTAGTCTAATTGTTGTTGATGGTTTGGTTTTAAAGCCAGTGAATAGACAAGTGCTGTAAGTACCAGTACTACCCAGAAGAATGGTACTTTGCAGAATGGAAAAACCAGCAAAACTGTGTAACTTAAAACTCTGACTTTTATTTAAAACGAAACATTTGGAGCAGCTTTTGCACAGGAACAGTTTCAACCATTGTTTTCCTTTTGCAAGTACTTCATCTTTTACACTTGATCTTAGCCAAAAGGCCGAGAACTGATACTTTATCTTTTTACTCCTGTGTAGTAAGACAGGGCTAACTATTCATAGGCATGCTTTTTACTCCTTTTCCCTTTCCACCCTCTTCCTCTTCCCCTTTCTGTCCTCTTCTCTCGTCCGCCTTTCTTCCCCTCTGTTCTCCTCCCAACTCCCCTTTTTTCTATCTTATTTCCTCCTCTCCTCTTTTCTCTTCTCACTCCCTTTTTGAAAAGAGTACCTGTCATATTTTTGAGGAAAGAGACCGTAATGAATTCTGTCAACTAAAATGATGACGGAGGACCTTTCTAAAATTCAATCTTAATTTTGTAAGCATGCTCTTTATAACCTCAACAGTTAAATTGATTCTGAGACCTGGGAATTAGGGTATAAACTTACAGAGAAAAGTTGAGGTGCTTGAGAAGATACATTTTCTGTGCATTTATATAGGATTGTCAGATTCTGGCTCCTCATGTAACTCAACTTCTGTATCCTTGGAGGTAGTTTTATTTACATTATATTCTTGAATGAGAATATGCATCATTAATTATCTGCCTTTCCTTTGTGGCCCTTCTGATGGCAGAAAAATATTACCAAGGTTATTCTAGCATGCAAGTCTCTTGAAACTAAGTTGAGGGTTTTCTAGAGACCACCTGGAACTCCCAGAGGTAACAGAATACTGTCTTGAAAGCCTCAGTGGAAGAAATGCCCCACATTTGCTTGTTGCTTTCTATTGGATTTATGGAATTTCCATCTTTTAAAAATGACTTTAAAGCATTTAATAGAGACTTTCAGGTAAAGAGCAAAAGTTTTTAAAATGTATTATTTAAAGTAAGCTAAATGTGGCTTTACTTACCAAGATAAGCTTTCCTCTTCTATGACCATATAGTAACTATCTGCCTTTGCTGCAGTCTTTCAGTCTATAAACTCTGTATCTTGGTATCTTTCCTCCCTTTAGTTTCTACTCTTAGATTTTACAGAATACCCATAGGGAAATTGATTTCCTGAAGCACTTGGTAAACTACTTGGGCCTGAGCTATTGTGTTGTCCTTACTACTTGGTACAGATTAGATTGTTCTTTGCTAGAGGGGTGGAAAGGATGCCTTAGTACAGTCTTAACTTTGCTATGGAAATATTCTTGTTTAATATGTTAAGGGACAATAATTTCTGGTCTTGGCTTTTAAAAGTGAGCATGCTTTTTAATTGCCTCTTTCATGGTTATTAACTGAGTCTTCATTTTAATTACCACAATGGAGTACTTCAGTTCTCTTATTTGCTTCATTACCTTTTCTCCTTGGTTTTGAAAATAATGTTAGAGAAATAAAATCAGATTGTTTCTAATATAATGAAATGCTTTCACTACACTATTAATGAATTCGTTCTTCATTACCAGCACAAAGCTAGATATTGCAAATCTTTTTAAACAAATAAAAACTGTTTAGTCTTCTGATTAGAGCAGACAAAGAGCACAGTAAAATTTAACTCACCTGGCCTGATCCCTTTTTTTGGTTTTTACTGAGCTGTCTTCACTGGAAATAGGAGCTATCTTTGACTTAACTCCTTCCAATAGAAGGAATTTCTTAGGGAGGAGCTGGAAGGATCTCCTGGGGTTCTGATTCTTAATTTTCAGTTTACAGAAATAGCCAGATAGGTGTTTTGAGCCTGGACTTCTTGCTGCATCTTGTATTGAAGACATCATGGTGAAATCGATAAGGGCAGTGGACAGTGGATCAAGAGCCCTGAACAGGTCTCTTGAACCTGAACAGATTTGCCACCTGTTAATTTATTTTTATGACTATGGACTTGACATCACCTTTGTCTCTGTAGATGTAATTCAGTTGAACTAATGGTTATTGAGCATTTACTGTTTGCAAAAGGCAGCTGGAGATATTATGTCCAGTTTATATTTACTAAATGTTTTCTTTGTTGTTAATTTAGCCTTTTTCTGCAATGTTTTTGGTCAGTAGTAACTCTGGGCAGGTGAGGGCAATTACATTGTGGCTGGAAAATTTGTACTCTGAAGTTGCTTTTATTGGTGTGTAGGAAAAATCTTTATTAAAAGTCATAGAAAAAAATCATTTAATTTATAAGCCACAAAATCAGTACTATTTTGTAATATGTTGTAATTCACATTGCTACTAATTTACTAAGTGGAGTCAGTGGAAACCCATAAATCCTAGTAGTAGTGCCTAAGTAGTAGAAGAACGCCTATGGTTTACTAGTTGATTGAAAATTGTTCTTTTTTTGCAAAGTGGAAATTAACCTGGTGTGCTAATTTGAAATATGTCTAACAGTGACTATTTTTATATTTTAACCTAAGTAAAATATCTCAGCGTTATGATGGTGTGTTTACTGAATTAGTAATCATTTATTTCTAAGGACTGCTGCTTTCCTTCAAATACCATTTTGGTTAGAGGCTTATTGATTCAAGTATTGTTCCTAATTGTTGATTTACAGGGCAGAGAGAGCAAATACAGCTTTCAGCTCTGTTGAAGCAGGGTCATTCTTGGAAACTAATAGTGTCAGATGAAATGCCTCAGATAGTGTAAAAGAAAATAATTGGGCCAGGAGTGGTGGCTCATGCCTGTAATCCCAGCACTTTGGGAGCCTGACGTGGGAGAATGGCTTAAGCTCACAGGTTCGGATCAGCCTGGGCAACATGGGAAAACCCATCTCTACAAAAAACTAAAAAAGTTAGCTGGGCTACTTGGGGGGATGAGGTGGGAGGATGGCTTGAGCCCAGGAGGTTGAGGTTGTGGTGAACTGTGATTGCACCACTGCACTCCGGCCTGAGCAATAGAGCCAGACCTTGTCTCAAAAATAATAATAATAATTGAAGAAAATAAAAAGGGACCTGAATTCAGAAGAATCCTGTTATATCTTAAATCCTTATTTCTTGATTTATATGTACTATGATGACAGCTTTGCTGATGAATTATAATTACAAAAATGTTACATAATGTTGTTAGCATATAAAGACTCGTGATTGAGCTACCTTGCAACACTAATACTCAAAAAGAACACACACATACAAAAAACTGGATTTATTCAGTGTGAAATAATGTCTCTTGAAATTATGAGAATAAATAAGTATGTTCAAATTAATTTTGTGCATACACCAGCTCATTTATTTAGCCTCATAGTAGCTCTGAGAAAGAAGGGCGAGTGAACAGGGAGAGGTTGTGTAGGGAGGTAATTTTTGTGTCTATTTTAAACTAACCAATTGAAACCAAATCACACAACTGAGTTCATAACAGAACCTTCACTGGACCAAAATCATATCTTTAACCTCTCTATCCAAGCTCTTTCATTAGAGAATGTTGTCTTAAGTAATTTTCACAGATTTACCTTGTATTTCTAAAACTTGAATTATCATTATTGCAAGGAGCTAGAATATATCTGCCTATTAGTGAGTCTGACTTTTAAGTAGATCCCATATATAAAAATCTCATATTATAAAATATAATTTATTATGTTTATAGTTTAGAGTAAAGCTTCTTTTAGTAATGAGACCCTTCTATATATCTTGCTCATGGATATGACACATTTTCTAGTCTTTTGCAGGCATCAACTGGATAGTATAAAACTAGGATCAGTGGTAACTGACAAGAGCTATTTGGTAAGAAATTTGAAAATTACAAAACTATGGCTCTGTATCCCTTTTATAGAGTCCCATAAATCTCTTTATATTTGTTGCTATTCTGGAACTATGCTGAATAACAAAGGCTTAGCTCAGAAGAGGGGTTTTCTATGAAGTTCTTTTCATCAGAATAAATTCCTGTTCATTTCAGAGTTGTTGCTTTATTTTTTTTTTCTAGATACGTACTCTGATAAACCTAATCTTGTGTTAGGAACATAAATACCTTTTCTGTTCTTTAGTGTCCTCTGCCTTTTTCTGGAACTTTTATGAGCAAGTTATTTTGAATTTTCCAGACTTTTAAGTATTATTTGGACAAAAAAATTGGGCTATGGCTCTGAGCTTTTTCAGTGTTTAATTTACTGTTATCAGTACAGTCATTCATTTTCTCGTATCACCCTTCAAGTCTTCCATTGATTACCTTATATGTATAGACCTTTCTCATTTCAGAATCAAGCATAATGGATTTTCCCTCTTTCTTTATGTCCTCTATGACATAAACAGAAAAGAATTAATATAGTCTATCTTCAGCTTGATTTGAGATATACTAAGCATCATTCATTAAGCCGCTTGTACAGATTGCCCTTTTAGGTCTCAGCTCTTGTGCTCAAAGCTTTAGGTTCTAGTCAAACTCTGTTCTCAACACAGTGAATATACTTTCTTAAATGCAGATGTGAGTCTTCTTTTAAATAGAAAATCTATAGTTTCCAAACTAAAGGTCAGATGTTTCAATTATTATGTTCCTTCACTCTTTTTTTCCTTAAAAAAGAAGAAGAAGACTAACATAAGATGTAATAGTAGGGGAAATTGGGTGTTAGGTATATGGGGATTCTCTGTACTATCTTTGCAGTAATTCAGTACATCTAAAAACTGTTCTAAAAGAAAAGGTTTATTGAAGAAGATATGAGGGACATTTTCTTTTTCATTCATATGAATTTTAGTGATATTCAGGTACTCTATTTCTCATGAAAATCTGACAAATGTCACTGTTGTTTGTCCGTACTTTTGATCAACTGAGTCAATAATAAACCTTTGAATCAGTTCGAGAATATTATTTATTCCCAGGATCCTTATATAATATTGTACAGAAATTAAATGATACAGATCTCCCATTCCCACATGATACCACACTCCTCTGTTTCTCTCAGATCTTTTGTGGCTATAGCAACAAGTGTGAGAATGCTTATTGCTTTAGGAGTCTGCCATGAGTTCACATTTTCAAAGAATCAGCAACTCTACTACTTGATTGTGGAAACAATATTGACCAAATCTTGCTGAATTTTATCAGGGTTCTCTCAGATTCAAAAAGGCTCTTAACTCTTCCTAAGGTACTTGATGGTATGGGTTCTGCTTTGATCTAAAAAAAGACCAGCTTGCTGTGACACATTTGAATATGAAAGGTACTTCTTCTGGAGGTAACTTGTAGTTTCCCTTCTCAGTCTTTCCTTTGGAATCATTTTATAGACTGCAGCTTTTGTTTCTAGGGCTCTGCTTGACAGGACAGATAATATCCCTGGAAAATAGTTTTAGAGTTGATGTTTGGTGACTGCATTATTCAAGGCTCATATAAATTGAGAACTGGTTACATTGCCTCTTGCTATGTAGGATAAAAGCTTCTGTTCTTGGAATTACCCGTCCTCTCTCTTGTAGACAAAATAGCTAGGAAAACTGCTCAGACTGATTTTGTTATATGAAGAACTAAGATGCCTAGGAATAATTTAGCAATAGCTCATCCAAATTAAAGCAGAGTTGAACTTTAGAATGGAAAAAAAAAAGAAATTATCATGTTAGCTAAACATTTGCTGTCTGGATCTCCCAGTTAAAAAGTGGCATAATACTTCTCAAGTTAGCCAGTATAGAACATGTTCCACATTCAGTTGTGAAAATGGCTGGTAGCTATTATCAAGTATGATTTTTTAAATGTTCCATGCCTGATATTTTGTAATTGTTGAATTCAGATATCCCTCTACTCAGTGGCTTTTACTTCATAATGAAAAAGTAGATTTGGTTGTAATATATAAAATTGTGAAGATAGATGGAATTAATAGAGAAATTAGAGTTTTTCTTTTAAGATAATTTGAGTTTCATCATAGAAGGTAAGCTCAGAATGCTGAAATGCTGCTGGAATAAATGAACTGTTTTACTTTTTTCATAAAGATATTGATGTATGCAACTTTGAATTCAGAGATGATTCCATTTGCATGTTCTGAGTGATGAATAAGTGAAAGAAATAAAAGACTGAGGAATAAAGAAGTGAAAGAAAGAACTTATACACTGCTGGTGGGAGTGTAAATTAGTTCAGCCATTGTAGAAAGCAGTGTGGAAATTACTCGAAGAACTTTTACTACCATTTGACCCAGCAGTCCCATTACTGGATATATACACAAAGGAATATAAATCATTCTACCGTAAAGATACATGTATGCATATGTTCATTGCAGCACTATTCACGGTAGCAAAGACATGGAATCAACCTAAATGCCCATCAGTGGTAGAATGGCTAAAGAAAGTGTCATACATATACACCATGGAATACTGTGCAACCATAAAAAAGAATGAGGTCATCTCCTTTGCAGGGACATGGATGGAGCTGGAGGCCATTATCCTTAGCAAACTAATGCAGAAACAGAAAACCAAATACTGCATGTTCTCACTTATAAGTGGGAGCTAAATGAAGAGAACACATGGACACAGATGGGCACCACAGACACTGGGGCCTATCGGAGGGTGGACAATGGGAGGAGGGAGAGGATCAGGAAAAGTAACTAATGAGTACTAGACTTAAAACCTGAGTGACTAAATAAAGTGTACAACAAACCCCCATGACACAAGTTAACCTGTATACAAACCTACACGTGTACCCTTAAACTTAAAATTTAAAAAAAAAACAAAATGCAATGTTAAAAAAGAGAAGTGAAAGAATTTTTTAAATGTAACTGCTTAATTTCACATTGTTTACAGTTCTTCTCAAGTAAGCTTCTTTTCACTGCAATCTCCTTAAATATGTACATACGGTTTTCTTTGGATTCACTGAAATCCAATCCAGCAGGATTCTTTCCTGAATAAGAAACGTACTGGATCAGTCCTGACCTATTTTATGATTTTTGGTACTTGTCACCTGTAAAGAGAAGTTAAGGGAACATCACCACCAACCCCACAGAAATACAAAAATACCATCAGAGACTATGTTCATAACACTCTGTGAACACAAATTAGAAAACCTACAAGAAAAAGATAAATTCCTGGAAACATACAACCTCCCAAGACTGAACCGGGAAGAAATTCATACCCTGAACAGACCAATAACAAGTTCTGAAATTGAATCAGTAATAAAAAGCCTGCCATCCAGAAAAGTCCCAGGACCAGATAGCTAAATTCTGCCATACGTATAAGAAGACCTGGCACCATTCCTACTGAAACTATTCCAAAAAATTGAGGAGGAGAGACTCCTCCCTAACTCATTCTGTGAGGGCAGCATCATTCTGATACCAAAACCTGGGAAAGACACAAGAACAAAAAGAAAACATCAGTCCAATATCCTTGATGAACATAGATGCAAAAATCCTCAACAAAATAATAGCAAGCCAAATCCAGCAGCATATCAAAAAGTTAATTCACCGCGATCAAATAGGCTTTATCCCTGGGATGCAAGATTGGTTCAACATACACAAATCCATAAATGTGATTCATCACATAGGCAGAACTAAAAACAAAAAAATTATCTCAATAGATGCAGAAAAGGCTTTCAATAAAATTCAGACTCTCTTCATGTTAAAAATCCTCAACAGACTAGCCATCGAAGGAACATACCTATAAATAGTAAGACCTACCTGTGACAGACCCACAGACAACATCATACTGAGTGGACAAAAGCTGGAAGCCTTCCCCTTGAGAACCAGAACAAGACAAGGATGCCCACTCTCACCATTGCTGTTCAACATAGTTCTAAAAGTCCTAGCCAGAGCAGACAGGCAGGCAAGAGAAAAAAATTAAAGGCATCCAAATAGGAAGAAAGGAAGTCAAACTACCTCTCTTTGCAGGCAATATGATCCTAAACCTAGAAAATCCCATATTCCCTACCCAAAAGCTCCTAGATCTGACAAACAACTTCAGCAAAGTTTCATGCTACAAAATCAGTGTACAAAAATCAGTAGCATTTCTATACATCAGTAATATCCAAGGTGAGAGCTCAATCAAGAATGCAATCCTAGTCAAAATTGCCACAAAAAGAATAAAATACCTAAGAATACTGCTAACTAGGGAGGTGCAAGATCTCTACAAGGGGAATTACAAAACACTGCTCAAAGAAATCAGAGATGACACAAACAAATGGAAAAACACTCCAGGCTCATGGGTAGGAAGAATCAGTATCATTAAAATGGCCATAGTGCCCAAAGCAATCTACAGATTCTATGCTATTCCCATCAAACTACCGATGACATTCTTCACAGAACTAGAAAAAACTGATTTAAAATTCATACAGAATCAGAAAAAAGCCTGAATAGCCAAAGCCATCCTAAGCAAAAAGAACAAAGCTGGAAGCACCGCATTACCCGAATTCAAACTATACTGCAAGGCTGCAGTAACCATGGTATGGGTACCAAACACCATGGTACCCATACCATGTATCACCATACCAAACAGCATGGTACTGGTACAAAAACAGACATATAGACCAGTGGTACAGAATGGAGAGTCCAGAAATAAAGTCATATACCTACAACTTTCTAATCTTTGACAAAGCTGACAAAAACAAGCCAAGGAGAAAGGACTCCCTATTCAATAAATTGTGCTGGGATAACTGGTTAGCTATATGCATAAGATTGAAACTGGACCCCTTCCTTTCACTATATACAAAAATTAAGTCAAGATAGATAAAAGACTTAAATGTAAAACCTAAAACCATAAAAACTCTAGAAGAAAACCTAGGGAATACCATTGTGGATATAGGCCCTGGCAAAGATTGCATGATGAAGACGCCAAAAGCAGTTGCAACAGAAACAAAAATTGGCAAACAGAACCTAATTAAAGAGCTTCTGAACAGCAAAAGCAATTATCAACAGAGTAAACAGACAGCCAACAGAATGGGAGAAAATATTTGCAAGCTATGAAAGGTCTAATATCCAGAATCTATAAGGAACTTAACAAGGAAAAAGCAACCTTATTAAAAAGGCAAACACTTTTCAAAAGACAGACTCTTTTCAAAAGACATATACACAGTCAATACGTATCAAACATCACTAATCATTAGAGAAATGCAAATCAAAATCACAGTGATATACCATCAGAATGAGGCAACAGAATGCTGTTATTAAAAAGTCCAAAAATAACATGCTGGTGAGGCTGCAGAGAAAAGGGGCATTTATACATTGCCAGTGGAAATGTAAATTAGTTCAACCATTGGAAAGTGGTTTGGCAGTTTCTCAAAGAACTTAGAGAGCTACTATTTGACCCCGCAATCCCGTTTTTGGGTATATAACCAAAGGAATATAAATCATTCTGCTATAAAGACACATGCAATTAACATGTTTATCAGAGCACTATTTGCAATTGCAAAGACATGGAATAAACCTAGATGCCCATCAGTGGTAGACTGAAAAAAGAAAATGTGGCACATATATATCATGGAATAGTATGAAGCCATAAAAAAGAATGAGATCATGTCCTTTGCAGCAACATGGATGGAGCTGGAGGCCATTACCCTAAGCAAACTAATGCAGGAACAGAAAACCAAACACTTCATGTTCTTATTAAAAGTGGGAGCTAAACATTGAGTACATATAGACACAAATAAGAGAATAGTAGACACTGGGGCCTACTTGAGGGTGAAAGGTGGGAGGAGGGTGAAGATCAAAAAGCTGCATATCACTTACTATGCTGATTACTTGGGGTGTATACCAAACCCCACGACACACAATTTATCTATAGAACAAACCTGCATGTGTACCCCTGAAGATGAAAGATTAAAAAAAAAAAAGAGCAGTTGACCTCTCTGTACAACTTATCTTTATTTTCATTTCTCTTTCTCCCTGACAGAATCCCAAGGACTGCAGCAAAGCCAAAAAGCTGGTGTGTAATATCAACAAAGGCTGTGGCTATGGCTGTCAGCTCCATCATGTGGTCTACTGCTTCATGATTGCATATGGCACCCAGCGAACACTCATCTTGGAATCTCAGAATTGGCGCTATGCTACTGGTGGATGGGAGACTGTATTTAGGCCTGTAAGTGAGACATGCACAGACAGATCTGGCATCTCCACTGGACACTGGTCAGGTAAGGAGCTTGTGCAGCATATGAGATCTCTGGGCTGTTTCACTCAATTACCAGATTATTAGATTTCTAGGTAGACCTTCATGGAACATACTTATCTTTTCCTCTGGATCCATGAATACTATACATTATCCAGATAAAATCTAGAAGAACAGTATTTTATCTTAAAAGTATTTTATTATGTATTTCATTTCTGATGCTCATTTTTATGTGAATTTAGCAAAATCACTGAGTTTTTTTCAGGGAGCATAATTTAATCTTTTAATAATAATGATATGACTTTCACTCTATAAGATGATTTCACATTATTGAACTCATTTTAATATGAAGTAATCATCATATAAAGTAGTCCAGTTTATATGGACTACTATATATGAGTAGCATGAGCATGCATGAGAATCATCTGGAAGGTTTCATAAAACTCCATTTTCTGTTAAGGAAGGTCTAGGCTGCAGCCTGAGAGTTTTAATATCTGACAAAAGTTTTAGGTTTAGGGACCGTGCTTTGAGAACCACTGAGGTGGACCTTGCTGGTAACTTTATCTTCAAATGAAGCCTAATTTGTTTATGTGATTTTAATTGTATTCAGGAAACATTTAATGAATAGTAATGTGACTAAGGTACTATACTAGGCATTATAAGCAGATAGAAACATCAGTAAGAAATTTCCTTTCTCTCCAAGGAAGTGGTGAAGGAGTAGAATATAGAAAAGAATTTCTTACCGCTAGTCTAGTGCTTTTCTTTCTACAATCATGATCTTTAAGATCTAAAGTTGGGCTACCTTGTTAAAATTGTGGCTTTATTGTTTTGTAATCTTGGACAAGTTACTTAACCTAGGTCTTAGTTTCCTTATCAGTAAAATGAAGAGTAATCACTTTATTGAATTGTTGGTAGATTAAATGAAATAATATATGTAATGCACTTAGTACTGATATATGAACTTATATCTAGTAATTTTTAGCTATTATGAATAGCCTTTATTCATTAAACAAATGTATAATGAGTGCCTACAGTGTGACAGATACTGAATTAAGTGATCAGGATAAATACTAAGCAAGACAGTACACATCCTCTGCACTCATATCTTGTGGGAAGTCCAACATTTTTCAAAAAACTGAGGCACTTCAGTTAATATCATTTATTGTGGGGCTAAGCACCTTTTTTCACGAGCTACAACACTAGATACGAAATAGGGAGCTATGTCATCAGCAAAGTAACTTTGGTTCCTTCATTTCTTTTGCCTCCTTTGAAAAAAAATCGGTAATATCTGACTCTTTGCAGAAGTGTCATGAAACTTAATTGAGTACTTTCTATAAAATACTTTGAGTTGCTCTGCAAGAGGTCCTGTATGGATTAAAAGTATTGTGTTTTGTCTTCTGTAGGGTGTTTTAGAAGCCTTATTTTATATATCACCCGATTTTTTATTTTTAACTCACTTCAGATTTTAAGGTGAACCTCTTTATCTAGAACCTAGTTAAGCTTTAGTTTTAAGGTTATATCTTCCACTGATCTGGTCTGTACTTTTCACGGCTAGTGCCAACAGATTAGTTATAAAGGTTAGGAAGATACTAAATTTGTCATTCAGGAAAAGAAACTCTACCAGCCCCACTATGGCTAACTTTTTTCATTTCATGGACTTAGTTCAGTTTAAACTTCCTTGATTGTGGAAATAATAGCCAGGGCCAAACTATGTTTCCCTGGTTCTAGGGGGAGACAACTTTTTGTATGGTAGTCAGAAAAGTGAAAAGTTACAGATTTATCAGGTTTAATATATAGTTTAGCCCTGCCCGTGTGCTACAAGTGGTTATTTGGTTTGTTTGATTTTTAATCCTTACTTGTACATTTTGTAGTCGGTAGTGGCAACCACAGGGTATGAAAATTTAACATGGCTTGAATTTCAAACACTCAGAATTTCTTAATGTTACAACTAAAGAGGATGTAGAAAGCATCCTTTCTTTATTCATCTGGAATCAAAGGCCTAGTTAAGGCTAAATGACTTACCCAGGGTCATACAGCTTATAAATGCCAGAACTCTGGTTAGCACATTCACTTGTACATACCCCCAGTCTAAGTCCTTATCAGTAAACTCATGCCAAACACTTTACCTCGTTACTAGCAGAATAATCTACCATCATTACTAGAAGAATGATGATTAGAGGCACAGAAACTGCCTGGAATATCTAGGAATTAAATAATTTTAATAATTTAGATACCAATCTTTTATCTGAAAAGAGATTTCTTTTAAGCTTAGAATATTTTTGTTTTTATGAAGAGTATGGCTGCCATCAATTTATCTGCTTATTTACATTATCTATATATGTGCCCTTTAGAGAAACTATTGAACATATTTCCAAGAATTAGAGGAAATAGTGAATTTTAATAAGCTCCTTGACTTTAATTCTTTAGTTAGTCATAAATCAGCTGTGTCTGTTGTCATTCTGAGTTGTACAAAAAATCTTGGGATATTTCCTTTGTCACCATTACTGTGAAATTATTATTGTTCATACATAACTTGACATGATGTCCTTGCAGATGGAATTTAGTAATTCTTGTTCAAGTCTGTCCACCAGTGCAGGAATTAGTTTGTACAGTGATCATTTCATAGCTATATCATACCTTATTATGGTTGGTGTCTATTTTTCTCCTCCATTATTTTATGTTTGTGTGTGAAACTATATCCTTTGTACCAAGTAAAATGGTTAAGTGAAGGAAAATACTAAAGGTAATGCTTCCAGTAAAAAGTAATCAAAATATTTCCCATCACCTGTACATGCCATGTCTATTCCTAATAGTTTATGTGCCCTAAGGTTGTTGATGAAATGATCAATTTAGTTTTTTACACC